>NC_000011.10:3999393-4302424 GCF_000001405.40 Homo sapiens | reverse complement strand
TAAACATGGAAAGGAACAACCGGTACCAGCCACTGCAAAAACATGCCAGATTGTAAAGACCATTGAGATTAGGAAGAAACTGCATCAACTAATGAGCAAAATAACCAGCTAACATCATAATGACAGGATCAAATTCACACCTAACAATATTAACCCTAAAAATAAATGGGCTAAATGCTCCAATTAAAAGACACAGACTGGCAAATTGGATAAAGAGTCAAGACCCATCCGTGTGCTGTATTCAGGAAACCCATCTCACATGCAGAGACACACATAGGCTCAAAATAAAGGGATGGAGGAAGATCTACCAAGCAAATGGAAAACAAAAAAACGCAGGTGTTGCAATCTTAGTCTCTGATAAAACAGACTTTAAACCAACAAAGATCAAAAGAGACAAAGAAGACCATTACATAATGGTAAAGGGATCAATTCAACAAGAAGAGCTAACTATCCTACATATATATGCACCCAATACAGGAGCACCCAGATTCAAAAAGCAAGTCCTTAGAGGCCTATAAAGAGACTTAGACTCCTACACAATAAGAATGGGAGACTTTAACACCCCACTGTCAACATTAGACAGATCAATGAGACAGAAAGTTAACAAGGATATCCAGGAATTGAACTCAGCTCTGCACCAAGTGGACCTAATAGACATCTACAGAACTCTCCACCCCAAATCAACAGAATATACATTCTTCTCAGCACCACACCGCACTTATTCCAAAATTGACCACATAGTTGGAAGTAAAGCACTCCTCAGCAAATGTAAAAGAACAGAAATTATAACAAACTGTCTCTCAGACCACAGTGCAATCAAACTAGAACTCAGGATTAAGAAACTCACTCAAAACCGCTCAACTACATGGAAACTGAACAACCTGCTCCTGAATGACTACTGGGTACATAACGAAACGAAGGCAGAAATAAAGATGTTCTTTGAAACCAACGAGAACAAAGACACAACATACCAGAATCTCTGGGACACATTCAAAGCAGTGTGTAGAGGGAAATTTATAGCACTAAATGCCCACAAGAGAAAGCAGGAAAGATCTAAAATTGACACGCTAACATCACAATGAAAAGAACTAGAGCAGCAAGAGCAAACACATTCAAAAGCTAGCAGAAGGCAAGAAATAACTAAGATCAGAGCAGAACTGAAGGAAACAGAGACACAAAAAACCCTTCAAAAAATCAATGAATCCAGGAGCTGGTTTTTTGAAAAGATCAACACAATTGATAGACTGCTAGCAAGACTAATAAAGGAGAAAAGAGAGAAGAATCAAATAGATGCAATAAAAAATGATAAAGGGCATATCGCCACTGATCTCACAGAAATACAAACTACCATCAGAGAATGCTATAAACACCTCTATGCAAATAAACTAGAAAATCTAGAAGGAATGGATAAATTCCTCGACACATACACCCGCCCAAGACTAAACCAGGAAGAAGTTGAATCTCTGAATAGACCAATAACAGGCTCTGAAATTGAGGCAATAATTAATAGCTTACCAACCAAAAGAAATCCAGGAACAGATGGATTCACAGCCGAATTCTACCAGAGGTACAAAGAGGAGCTGGTACCATTCCTTCTGAAATTATTCCAATCAATAGAAAAAGAGGGAATCCTCCCTAACTCATTTGATGAGGCCAGCATCATCGTGCTACCAAAGCCTGGCAGAGACACGACAAAAAAAGAGAATTTTAGACCAACATCCCTGATGAACATCAATGTGAAAATCCTCAATAAAATACTGGCAAACTGAATCAAGCAGCACATCAAAAAGCTTAGCCGCCATGATCAAGTGGGCTTCATCCCTGCGATGCAAGGCTGGTTCAACATACGCAAATCAATAAACATAATTCAGCATAGAAACAGAACCAAAGACAAAAACCACATGATTATCTCAATAGATGCAGAAAAGGCCTTTGACAAAATTCAACAACTCTTCATGCTAAAAACTCTCAATCAATTAGGTATTGATGGGACGTATCTCAAAATAATAAGAACTATCTATGACAAGCCCACAGCCAATGTCATACTGAATGGGCAAAGACTGGAAGCATTCCCTTTGAAAACTGGCACAAGACAGGGATGCCCTCTCTCACCACTCCTATTCAACATAGTGTTGGAAGTTCTGGCCAGGGAAATCAGGCAGGAGAAGGAAGTAAAGGGTATTCAATTAGGAAAAGAGGAAGTCAAATTGTCCCTGTTTGCAGACGACATGATTGTATATCTAGAAAACCCCATTGTCTCAGCCCAAAATCTCCTCAAGCTGATAGGCAACTTCAGCAAAGTCTCAGGATACAAAATCAATGTGCAAAAATCACAAGCATTCTTATACACCAATAACAGACAAACAGAGAGCCAAATCATGAGTGAACTCCATTCACAATTTCTTCAAAGAGAATAAAATACCTAGGAATCCAACTTACAAGGGATGTGAAGGACCTCTTCAAGGAGAACTACAAACCACTGCTCAAGGAAATAAAAGAGGACACAAACAAATGGAAGAACATTCCATGCTCATGGGTAGGAAGAATCAATATCGTGAAAATGGCCATACTGCCCAAGGTAATTTATAGATTCAATGCCATCCCCATCAAGCTACCAATGACTTTCTTCACAGAATTGGAAAAAACTACTTTAAAGTTCATATGGAACCAAAAAAGAGCCTGCATCGCCAAGTCAAACCTAAGCCAAAAGAACAAAGCTGGAGGCATCACGCTACCTGACTTCAAACTATACTACAAGGCTACAGTAACCAAAACAGTATGGTACTGGTACCAAAACAGAGATCTAGACCAATGGAACAGAACAAAGCCCTCAGAAGTAATGCTGCATATCTACAACCATCTGATCTTTGACAAACCTGACAAAAACAAGCAATGGGGAAAGGATTCCCTATTTAATCAATGGTGCTGGGAAAACTGGCTAGCCATATGTAGAAAGCTGAAACTGGATCCCTTTCTTACACCTTATACAAAAATTAATTCAAGATGGATTCAAGACTTAAATGTTAGACCTAAAACCATAGAAGAAAACCTAGGCAATACCATTCAGGACACAGGCATGGGCAAGGCCAACACCAAAAGCAATGGCAACAAAAGCCAAAATTGACAAATGGGATCTAATTAAACTCAAGAGCTTCTGCACAGCAAAAGAAACTACCATCAGAGTGAACAGGCAACCTACAGAATGGGAGAACATTTTTGCAATCTACTCATCTGACAAAGGGCTAATATCCACAATCTACAATGAATTCCAACAAATTTACAAGAAAAAAACAAACAACCCCATCAAAAAGTGGGCAAAGGATATGAACAGACACTTCTCAAAAGAAGACATTTATGCAGCCAACAGACACATGGAAAAATGCTCATCGTCACTGGCCATCAGAGAAATGCAAATCAAAACCACAATGAGATACCATCTCACACCAGTTAGAATGGCGATCATTAGAAAGTCAGGAAACAACAGGTGCTGGAGAGGATGTGGAGAAATAGGAACACTTTTACACTGTTGGTGGGACTGTAAACTAGTTCAACCATTGTGGAAGTCAGTGTGGCAATTCCTCAGGGATGTAGAACTAGAAATACCATTTGACCCAGCCATCCCATTACTGGGTATATACCCAAAGGATTATAAATCATGCTGCTATAAAGACACATGCACACGTATGTTTATTGCGGCACTATTCACAATAGCAAAGACTTGGAACCAATCCAAATGTCCAACAATGATAGACTGGATGAAGAAAATGTGGCACATATACACCATGGAATACTATGCAGCCATAAAAAAGGATGAGTTCATGTCCTTTGTAGGGACATGGATGAAGCTGGAAACCATCATTCTCAGCAAACTATCGCAAGGACAAAAAACCAAACACCGAATGTTCTCACTCAGAGGTAGGAATTGAACAATGAGAGTACATGGACACAGCAAGGGGAACATCACACACTGGGGCCTGTTTTGGAGTGCGGGGAGGGTGGAGAGGGGACGGATAGCATTAGGAGATATACCTAATGTTAAATGACCAGTTACTGGGTGCAGCACACCAACACGGCACATGTACACATATGTAACAAACCTGCACGTTGTGCACATGTACCCTGAATCTTAAAGTATAATAAAAAAAGAAAAAGAAGACCTTGTCTTTTGCTAGGCATTCAGCATGGGTATTGATCAATCTAGTCAGGAGTTGAGATGGTTTAGGCTTTGTTGTTGTTATAATGATCCTGAATAAACCACATGTTTAATGGCCTCTAGTGTTACTCTCTTAGTCTATTTCTACTGTTATAACAAAATGCCTGAGACTGGACAATTTATAAATAATAGAAACTTATTCCTCACAGTTTTTGAGCCTGGAACGTGCAAAATCAAGGTGCTTGCAGGTTTGGCATCTGGTGAGGGCCTAGTCTGTTCTTCCAAGATGCCACCTTGAACACTGTATCTTCACAAGACAAAAGAAACAGAAGAGCAAAAAGGGCCTAGGCTAGTTCCCTCCAGCCCTTTGATAAGTTCACTAATTCCATGTAGGAAGGCTCTGCTCTCACGACTTAATCACTTCCTAAAAGCCTTGCCTCTTAATATTATCACATTGGTGGTTGAGTTTTAACATATGAATTTTGGGGAATATCTTCAGACCATAACTTTCCATCCTTAGCCCACCAAATTCATTTCCTTCTCACACACAAAATACATTCATTCCATCTTAATAGCCCCAAAAAGTTATAACTCATTCCAGTACCAATTCAAAATTCTAAGGTCTAGAGTCTCATCTAAATCAGATATGAGTGAGACCCAAGGTACAATTCATCCTGAGGCAAATTTCTCTCCAGCTGTGAGCCTGTGAAATCAAATAAGTTATGTGTTTCCAAAATACAATGGTGAGACAAGCATAGACTAGACACTTTCATTCCAAAAGGGAGAAATAGCCAAGAAAAAAGGGGGGTAATGGGTCCCAAGTAAGCCCAAATCCAAACAAGGTAAATAACATTAAAACTTTAAGCTTGAGAATAATTTTTGACTCCATGCCCTGCCTTCCAGACACACTGGGGTGGCGGTTGGGTCCCAAGGCTTCAGGGGACCCGACCTCCATGTCTTTGCCGGATGCAGCCCATGCTGCAGCTTTCACAGGTTGGAGTTCAGTGCCTGTGGCTCTCTCGAGCTAGAGTTGCACGTTGGTGATTCTACAGGTCTGGAGTGTTGGGAGCAGCCCAGCCCTACAGTTCTCTTGGGCATGACCCAAGTGGAACTGTGAGGTGGCTCCACTATGCATTACCCTCTCTGTGTGACTCTGCCCCTGTGGCAGTTCTCTCTGTGGGCACTGCACTTCAGCCTGGGTGACAGAGACTGTCTCAAAAAAATTAAAAAGGCAAAAGATCTGGACAGACATCTCATCAAAGAAGATACACAGATGGCAAAGAAGCATATGAAAAGGTAGTCAACAACATGTCATTGGAGAATTACAAATTTACACAACATGAGATACCACTACATACCTATTAGAATGGTGAAAATCCAAAACACTGACAACAGTACATGCTGGGGAGGATGTGGAACAGCAGGAGCTCTCATTCACTGCTGATGGGAATGCAAAATGGTACAGCCACTTAAGAAGGCAGCTTGGCAGTTTCTTACAAAACTAAGCATACTCTTACCATACAATCCAGCAATCATGCTCCTGGGTATTTGCCCAAATGAGTTAAAAATGTATGTCCACACAAAAACCTGCAGACA
This sequence comes from Homo sapiens, assembly GCF_000001405.40. Lineage (NCBI taxonomy): Eukaryota > Metazoa > Chordata > Mammalia > Primates > Hominidae > Homo > Homo sapiens. The sequence goes on along the minus strand of NC_000011.10, from coordinate 4,296,675 downwards.
GATATTTATAGCAGCTTTATTCATAATTGCCAAAATTGGCAATCAAGATGTCCTTCAGTCAGTGTATGCACAAGTAAATTGTAAAAAAAAAAAGCAAAAATCAAATAATAACACCTAAATAAAAGATATTCAGGTCAGAAAGGAGGATGTAAACCTGTATTTATTAAGAGATGACATGGCTGCGTATGTAAAAAAAAAAAATCCTAAGAATCTACACAACACTTGGGATAAATAAATGGATTTAGCAAGGTCAGGGACACCAAGTTTAAAATACAAAAATAAATTATGCTTTATATAAAACCAGCAAATAATTTAAAATACCATTACAAACAATTTTATTTATCATAACACTAAAACAAAGCATAAAATATCTAAATTTTATGGCTGGGCACAATGACTCTCGTGTGTTATCCCAGCACTTCAGGAGGCCAAGGCAGGCAGATTGCTTGCACTCAGGAGTTCAAGACTAGCCTGGGCAACATGGTGAGCCCCATCTCTACTAAAAACACAAAACAACTTGGCTGGGCATGGTGGTACACGCCTGCAGTCCCAGCCACTCTGGAGGCTGAGGTGGGAGGATCACTTGAAAGCAGGAGGGGTGGCAGGGGCAGTGGTGGAGGTTGCAGTAAGCCAAGAGCTGAGATCGCGCCAGTGCACTCTAGCCTGGGTGACAGAGCAAGACCCTGTCTCAAAAAAAATCTAAATTTTAGCGGAGCTTAACATTTGAATGTGATCAGAGAAAGAGACATGGCCCAGCGAGCAAGTTGGTCAGTTGAAAACAAGGCAGTTCTGGAATGGCAAAAAACCTGAGGGTCCCACAGGGCACTCTTGGGAGTGCTAATTATTTACAAGAGCCAAAGGATCTTGTGGAACACACCCAAAGGATCTTGGAGGATGCTAAGCAGATGTGGGGCACTTTAACAGTCATGCCAATGGGTCATGCAGTACTAGCAGAATGTTTAGAAAAACCGTTCAGCTCCAAGAAAGACCATCCTCCTATTTATCCCTCAACTAAATTCACTTGGTGGGTCAAATTCAAAATCCAGCAGAAGGCCTCTAAAAGCTCTTCACGGTAAACAGTTTTCTAGCCTCTGCTCGCAGTTCAACCAAGACCAGAGATGGTCAGAGTCCCCACCAGCCAAATCATTAGCACCCAATTACTATTATTACCACTAAACATGTCCCTGGAACTGAGAAATATTCTGTGACAAACAAAAAGATATTTCTTAAACATAAAACTGTTTCTCCTTTACAAATATGTATATATACAGTTACTTGGACTAATTAAATAAAAAGATATGAAAAGGATACATAAAGAAAGAGATAAGTTTATCAGCAGGAAGAAGATTAGTGAATAAGATAACTGAAAATTAAACGTGGATTATTTGGTGGCCAAAGAAAAAGAGGGTACAGAATGTTTTTCATAGTTGACCTTGACTTACAGAAGTAGGGAAAATTGATTTTTAAGTGATATTTAGGTATTCCCATGTAAATATTTAAAATATTATTATTACAAATACAAAAGTTTAAATGGCTTTTTTGAAAATGTTATAAACTTAATTCAAGTTCCAAAGAAACACTTTTGATAAAAAGTGTTTCTTAAGTAATTAATATGATTTTCAGGCCGGGCATGGTGGCTCATGCCTGTAATCCCAGCATTTTGGAAAGCCAAGATGAGAGGATCACTTGAGGCCAGGAAATTAAGACCAGCCTGGGCAACATAGGGACACCCCATCTCTACAAAAAAAATTAAAATATGTAAAATTTTCAAAAGAAAATTAATCCCAGATCCCATAAAATGGAAACAGGAATAATTGTTGTAGCAATGCTAACACTCTTTTGTTAGGAATAAGTACATGAGCATACATAAGAAGGGATGGAGATTTAGAGAAAAAGGTGGACTAGGCAGGCTTGGAGAGCCATAATGACTTGGCCAACATGTACGGAATTGAGGAGATGTTGAAAAGATGGTTCTATATTTGGGCTCCCTGGAATAATAGCAGCCCCTCAGGCTTTCAGGCCAACACATAAAATCTCAGTTCCCTGTCACCCATCATTCTGACAGCCTTGTTGTCACTCACCCCATTCTAGCCCAAGAGAACTCCATTTAAAACAGGTAAGTGATTTTTTTTATTGCTGTGAGTAAAATTACAGTCTAGATAGGAAAGGCCCCATCTAGACTAGATGTTATGGGACCTAAAGTAGGTGGCTGAAAGCACTAGTACTATTGTCTGGACTTGGGTAGACAGAGTTGGAGAGACTAAAGCAGTGTGGGGTGGAGCCACTTGTACTGGCTCATCTGTGCATATTCCTTGCAAACTTCACATTCAGTGATGTCACGTTGATACCTTGAAAATGACCTTGGTGGGAGTACATACACTGCCAAAACTGGCAAACACTACAATGCAGGGCTTTAATTGATTGACTGATCTTTGTGTGTGTATTTTAGCTGGGTTACCAGCACACCACCAAACCACAGTCATAAATATGGGCTATGCCAGTAGAATGGAAAATGCTGTCTGGGATGGCAGAATGAGGAGACTCTGGGCATGGGGTCCCTTTTTACCTCTCAGTGTGCCAAAGAACTCTGACCCCGGAGCCCCTCCAAAGAAGGTTCTACATTGGCTCTGATCCTGACTACTGTAAATATCCAAGGTATTAAAGGGACTTATTTACGGCTACCCTGCCCTGATACTTCACACTCATCCAATATTTTGTCATTTGGTTGTTTTGTTAAACATTTTGAGGAGTTGCACTGTGCTGTGATGTACTGAGATCTGGAAAAACACAAAGAAAAACTATAATTCTCAGACCTCAGAAAGTCTTAAATCAGTTAGGGGAAACATTGCCAGGTGATCTAACATACTCCTATTCCTGAGATAGGTCCTCTGATAATCAGACTTTTTGTGAAATCAGAGAGAAGAAATCATTTATGAGGTGAACGTTCTCACAGGCACATTGCTGACACATTGGAGAGATGATTTTTTTTTTTTTTTGAGAGGGAGCCTCGCTCTGTCGCCCAGGCTGGAGTGCAGTGGCACAATCTTGGCTCACTGCAAGCTCCACCTCCTGGGTTCACGCCATTCTCCTGCCTCAGCCTCCCGAGTAGCTGGGACTACAGGCGCCCGCCACCACGCCCGGCTAATTTTTTGTATTATTAGTAGAGACGGGGTTACACCGTGTTAGCCAGGATGGTCTGGATCTCCTGACCTCCTGATCCGCCCGCCTCGGCCTCCCAAAGTGCTGGGATTACAGGCGTGAGCCACCACACCCGGCCGGAGAGATGATTTTTTAAAATACCCTGAATAAGGGTAATTATCTCACAAACACAAAGAAGGGCAATGGAAGTTAATTCTCTGAGATGCTGAAGATACCTGGACCGAGACAGGAGAACATTCATGAGGCATTTGAGAAGTTGTCTAGATTAGGTTGAGTAGATAAGCAACTACTCAGGTACCCACAATTTCACCCATAGGTCAGGCTCCAGTCATTGAGCTCTTTATCCTCTCTTCTTTGCCTCCCAGAAGCAAAATCCTTTTATTCTCAAAGTACCAAATGGCCATCCTTAGCTTAGCAGGTCCTCTTCAGGCTTCTCTTTTCTATTTAAGATTTACATTGCTTCATTTGATCTTTTCTTCTGGCTGTTACTTTGTCAGCATAGTGGTGCACACTCTTGGCCTTCAACCTCCAATGGCATTTTCATATCTGTTTTGATTTATTCCACCTCCTTCAGAAGGGCGAATTTCTTCGGGGTATTGTATATTTTCATAGTGCTTGTGTGATCACAGGCTGACCTGGTGGTAGTTGCTGTCCACAGCAGGCACATCCTAAGGAGCCTCTATTGGGCTCTTGTCGCATAATTTTATTTTTGAAACAATTTCAGCCATTACTTAGAGGCTACTGCAGGAACCAAAATGGGAGTAAATCTTCCTACTCTGGAAACTGAATTTAGAGATGGGGAGAATGGAACCTGAGAGGCAGGGAAAGAATGATTATGTGTACTTCCTATGTGCTAGATTCTCAGTCAGGCACTGAATAAATACAGACATGCTACAAGTTGTTTATCTATTATACTTCATTATTTCCTGGATCCCTGAACTTCTGCACCACGCTCACCTCCTGAGAATGGAGAAGGGCATTACATAATAGTAAAGGGTTCAATTCAACCTGAAGACCTAACTATCCTAAATATATATGCACTCAACACAGGAGCACCCAGATTCATAATGCAAGTTCTTAGAAACCTACAAAGAGACTTAGAATCCCACACAAACATAGTGGGAGACTTCAACACTCCACTGACAGCATTAGATAGATCATCAAGGCAGAAAAAGAGCAAAGATATTCAGGACCTAAACTCAATATTGGACCAAGTGGATCTAATAGACCTTTTTATTATTTATTTTTGAGACACAGTCTGCCTCTGTCACCCAGGCTGGAGTGCAGTGGCATGGTCTCAACTCACTGCAAAGTCCACCTCCCAGGCTCAAGCAATTCTCATGCCTCAGCCTCCCAAGTAGCTGGGATTACTATTACAATTTTATGAGACGGCAATTAGAAAAAAGTGTCTAAAAAGGCTCCATAACTGGGGATCGATGAAACAATGGAGAAATACTGGACTAGAGTGAAGAGAAATAAGAAACACTGAGGCATCTGCTAGTAAAAATTTTGAACTCTAAGGAGAAAGAGAAAAATCTTACAAACATCCACTTAAAAAGAACATATTTCCAGCTTCATCCATGTCCCTACAAAGGACATGAACTCATCCTTTTTTATGGCTGCATAGTATTCCATGGTGTATATGTGCCACATTTTCTTCATCCAGTCTATCATTGATGGACATCTGGGTTGGTTCCAAGTCTTTGCTATTGTGAATAGCAATAAACATACGTGTGCATGTGCCTTTACAGCAGCCTGATTTATAATCCTTTGGGTATATACCCAGTAATGGGATGGCTGGGTCAAATGGTATTTCTAGTTCCATCATGCAAACTATCGCAAGAACAAAAAACCAAACACCACAGGTTCTCACTCATAGGTGGGAATTGAACAATGAGAACACTTGGACACAGGAAGGGGAAGATCACACACCGAGGCCTGTTGTGGGGCGGGCGGGGGGTGCAGAGGGAAAGCATCAGGAGATATACCTAATGTAAATGACGAGTTAACGGGTGCAGCACACCAACATGGCACATGTATACATGTGTAACAAACCTGCACGCTGTGCACATGCACCCTAGAACTCAACTATAATAAATATATATATATATTTTAAAAAAAGAGCATATTATCTACAGGAGAAGAATGATGCTGGAATTAGACTTTTTATCTCCAACGCTGGAACGGACAGTGGCATAGCAGTTAAGGACTACTGAGAGAAAGGACTACAGCCCAACAATCCTGTACCCAGCCAAGATGTGGCCCCTCTGTCAGGGTGAAGGAAAGATACACAGCAATTCAGTTTATCTCCTGTGTCCCCCACAGAGAAACCTACTTGAGAGAAGACTTTCCAAACATTATCACTTATGTGAACCTGAACAACAATTCATGGAAATGTAAAGGAAAGAACACAAATCTCTGGGCTTCACCACTAGAGGTTGTGGTTCAGTGGTTTGCGGTCTAAATTTTCATTTTTTACAAGTTCCCAATTAATGCTAATGCTGCTAGTCTGGGAACACACTTTGAGAAACTTTCAGGTGTTTACTAATTTGTTTGTTTGTTTGTTTGTTTGGAGATGGAGTTTCACTCTTCTCGCCCAGGCTGGAGTGCAATGGCATGATCTCTGCTCACTGCAACCTCCGCCTCCCGGATTCAAACAATTCTCCTGCCTCAGCCCTCCAGAGTAGCCAGAATTACAGGCACCCGCCACCACGCCCGGAACATTTTTTGTATTTCTTTAGTAGAGACAGGCTTTCACCATGTTGGCCAGACTGGTCTCGAACTCTGGACCTCAGGTGATCCACCCGCCTCAGCCTCCCAAAGTGCTGGGATTACAGGTATGAGCCACCGCGCCCAAAACGATGACTTCAAGTGAAATGCTGTATAATAAAATTAATTTTATCATAGGCTAGTTGATATGAACAAGAGTCACAAAAACATCACCAAACGTCTAAATAAAGATTCAACACACTTAGAGTATTAAACTTAGAAATAAATGTGAGCTGTACATACAATTAAGAAAGCCTAATAAAACCTAGTAAGATTATTATTCACCCAATTTTTGGTGAGTCAGTGAGTGATGGCGGTCGTAGTTGTGGTAAGTTAAATCAAGGAATAAATGCTTGCAGAGAAAAAATTGTAAGGAGCACCTCCTACTACTACACAGTTAAAAAATCAATAATGACAGACACGGCAGGCTGGCTGATCTATCTTGTACTTTCATCGTTATTGTCTTGCATTTGTATGATTACCACGTTTTATGAATTTTTATTTTTCAATAATTTGTATTCATTCCTTCATTTTCCAACCTGCTGATTCCAGTTCAGAGTGGCAGGTGGCTGGAACCTATCGGCAGCTCAAGGTGTGAGGCAGGAACCAACGCTGGACAGGACCCCATCCGGGGCTCAGGGCACACCCCCATACTGGGACCATAGAGATGTCACTTCATCTAATGTGCACATCTTTGGGATGTGGGAGGAAACAAGAGTATCCAGAGAAAAACCACAAAGACATGGGGAGAATATGCAAACCCCACGCAGACATTGGCCTGCCAGAAGTCAATTTTTTAAGTTAATATTATAATAAAATGATATTATTTGAGGCTGGACACAGTGGCTCATGCCTGTAATCCCAGCACTTTGGGAGACCAAAGCGGGTGGATCACTTGAGCCCAGGAATTTGAGACCAGCCTGGGTAACATGGTGAAACCCCACCCTCTACAAAAAAAAAAAAAAAAAAAATTAGCCAGGCGTGGTGGTACACACCTGTAGTTCCAGCTACTCAGGAGGCTGAGGTGGGAGGATTGATTGAGCCCAGGAGTTTGAGGCTGCAGTGAGCCATGATGGCACCACTGCACTCCAGCCAGGGTGACAGAGCAAAACTGTGTCTCAAAAAAGAAAAAAAAAAAAAAAGATGTTCTTTGACAACCTGCTGTATTTGCCATGTAAGAATCACCTTAAGAGGGACATAGAAAAATACAATATGTTCCTTTATAGATAGATTTTGTCCCTGCATCAAGGACAAAAGTGATGTCTCTGATCTGATTTATATTGAAATAAATGTGAGCTATACATACATTTAAGAAGGATTACTAAAAACAAGTAAAATTGGGCCGGGTGAGGTGGCTCATAGCAGTAATCTCAGCACTTTGGGAGGCCAAAGCGGGCAGATCACTTGAGGTCGGAAGTACAAAACCAGCCTGACCAACATGGTGAAACCCCATCTCTACTAAAAATACAAACATTAACCGGGTGTGGTGCCGCGTGCCTGTAGTCTTCAGCTACTTGAGAGGCTCAGACAAGAGAATCCCTCGAACCTCGGAGGTAGAGGTTGCAGTGAGTCGATATTGTGCCACTGCACTCCAGCCTAGGTGACAGAGCGAGACTCCTCAAAAAAAAAAATTATTATTTACCCAATATTTGGTAAATCAGTGAGCGACAGCAAACAGAGCGCACCTATAAATCAATCCTGACTGGGTGGGGCCACCTTTGTGGAGAGTTACTGAATTAGGAATTTAATCATTTTGATTGTTCTTGTAATTACTTAGCGGTCCATTATCATAATCTAATCAATCTAAAAGTGACATGATTATCTTATTTTTTGAAACCCCATTCATAATTTTAAAATCTCCTTTATCTTGATAAATTATACAACTATGAAAAAAATTCTAAACATTGCATTTAAGTATAGAAAAGCACAAACACAGCTGTACTTGGAGGCAGAGGATTGCATCAATCCCTGCATTCCCTGAAGAATCGTTATGATTTCAGTAATATCAAATGCAGAAAATGTTGTGTTGAATAACTCTTAAGATACCATAAGCAGATATGTTGTTGAGAATGGGATTTTTTTTGTATTGGTGAAAAATTTTGTGAATTTCTGGACAAAACTATATACAATGGTCCTGTGATTTATGCAATTGCATTTCTCGAACATTATGAAAATTAAAACAAGCAACAACACTTGTAATTTATAATTAAATATGGTGCAGCCTTGCACATCGTGAACATGTTTATCATCCAATTTCATGTCTGGAGGTCACTGGAGAGTCCTGTGACATGCTTGCAGGTAGCTTAATTGTCTTGGCCATTGTCCATAGCAGCCCCCATTCACTAGGAGAACCACCAGAGCAAACTCCAGATTTTAAATGAATCCAGACTGGGTGGTGCCACCTTTGTGGAGAGTTACTGCTTTAGGTAATTTAATCATCTTGATTGTTCTTGTGATGAGTTAGGAGATGATTATCACAACCTAATCAATCCAGAAGTCATGAAGTCTCCACCCACTCATTAAGGTGACTCAATATAAACCTGCCTCCTGTGCCTCCACATTAGCTCGTTTGGAAGACCTGGGTATAGGTGGTCGTCTCCTCGGCTCCGAGTCCCTGCAGCAGCTGAGGTGCCTGTGTCTCTCTGGTTCCCAGTGGCCGCCATCATGCTCTCCTCCACACTCAGGGTGGCTGTGGTGTGCGTGAGCAATGTCAACAGGAGCATGGAGGCCCACAGCATCCTCAGGAGAAAAGGGCTAAGTGTCCGGTCTTTTGGAACTGAATCTCATGTGAGGCTACCAGGACCAAGACCCAATCGTCCTGTAGTTTACGATTTTGCAACAACATATAAGGAGATGTACAATGACCTCCTCAGGAAAGATAGAGAACGCTACACCCGCAACGGAATCTTACACATCTTGGGAAGAAATGAGAGAATCAAGCCCGGTCCAGAAAGATTTCAGGAGTGCACTGATTTCTTTGATGTCATCTTCACCTGTGAGGAGAGTGTCTATGACACAGTGGTGGAAGATCTGTGTTCCAGAGAACAGCAGACCTTTCAGCCTGTGCACGTGATCAACATGGACATCCAAGATACCCTGGAAGATGCCACCCTGGGAGCTTTCCTCATCTGTGAGATTTGCCAGTGCCTGCAGCAGTCAGACGACATGGAAGACAATCTGGAAGAGCTGCTGTTGCAAATGGAGGAGAAGGCAGGAAAAAGCTTTCTTCACACCGTCTGCTTCTACTGAACATCTGGGCTGGCTTTGTCCCCTTCCTCAGTAAGAACTTAGGCATGGGACTTTAGTCCGGATTTATTGTGAGAAGCATCTGCAAAGACCTTCCACTGAGTACTGTTTGTGTGACTTTTGTACACATCACCTGGAAAGAGACTATTACCAAGAAAATATTTTATGGGAAATGAGAAGGACTAACATTTTTAAAAGCACTGAAAAATGGTTGGCATTGTGCTAGGTGCATTACATGGCATAACTAATTTCATGCTTATATCATTCTACAAGAAAGCTAGCCCACCATGACGCCATTTTCCAGATGAGCAAACCGAGCTGATAATGGACTGCTGGAAAAATGATTTGTTTAAGGGTATTCAGCAGATAAATAACATTGTATAGATAAGCACCTTTTAAATAAACTTCCTTTTCTCAATTTGAGTGGTTTTTTTTTAATTTTTAAATTTTTTAAGTTAGTTGAGACCAGTGAAGTGTGGTATGTTAACTTAAATGTTGTTCTTCTTTAATAAGAGTATAATATTACATGTTTGAACAGATAAATGTTTTTACATATAGATTATATCTTTTTTACTAATGCTCACTTTAATGGGTAAAATCCAAGTTGGATAATGAACTACATATGATTGTAAAATTTGGAATTATCTGCTCAAATCATAGGTCATCAAATTAAATGAAATAAAAAATGTAAATAAAAAGCATATTCTTATTTCTGTTTAGGGGATACATTTCAAGCCACTAAGTGACATGCTTTTGTTTAAACCTTATGAATTTCACTGAAAAAAAAAAAACCCAAGTTGGATAACAAACCACAGATTATCGTAAAATTTGGAATTATCTCCTCAAATAATAGGTCACCAAATCAAATAAAAAATTTTAAAAAAGTATATTCTTATTTATGTTGGGGGATGGATTTCACACCACTAAGCCACATGTTTTTATTTAAGGCTTACAGATTACAGTGAAATAAGCAATCTCTCATATTGAGAGATTCAAATTGTATTAAATTGAAAATGTTTATTGATTTGAGCATTGAGAACATCAGGTGATAAACCTAATGATGTTTTCACGGAGAAACAAGTGAAACACTTTCCATAATCCTTGGTAGTGGCACTAAAACATGTTCACTAGTAGGAGAAAAAATAGATCAGAAGTAGTTGTTCAGAGTTGAATTAATTTACATGTTATCTACTGAATTAGACTTATTATGGCAACCTAAAATAACAGCAGAGATTAGCTTTCCAAAGATAATGAGTTTATTTAAACGAAGGATTGCAAACAGGAATGCACCAGGTGTAACAAATTGTAGGTGCATCCTCAGAGGTTGAGGTAAGGGGAAACTTTTAAAGGCAAAAAGAAGTCCACAGAAACTACTTTAAAACAAAGTTTATTGGTCACAGAAGCTGACTGCAGGAGTTGGCGTTAGCTTCTTGGTGGAGACAGCCATTGCTAGGCGTGTGTTCTTGCGAGAACATTTTATGTGGAATGCTGCAGTCTTGAATATAATGCAGTTATAGAAATACGTGTGAACATGCAGAATGAGCAAAGTGTGTAAGACCTGCTGATTGTGTAAAGCATGTAGGATGTGCCATGATCTCTTGTGGGTTTTAGGGAGTCGTGATAGCTCTTATCTCAGATATACAGGCATGTGCTCCCCTGCTTCATGACCCTCCAGCTCCACTTCACCTGGATCTGACGATAGTGGACTTCATCTTGGTAGTAACAACTTTCACATTTTTGGTATCAGAAACTTTCAAAGTTGTAAGAAAATATTCTTTTTCCTCTTGCAGTGTAGGTAGCAGGAGGCAAGTGGAAGTGGGGAACCCAGCTGGTACAGTAGTTCGCAGAGGAGAGGTTGGAAGCTTGTGGGAGGGAAGTGTCTGTCAAAAGGCAGAAGAATGGACACATTGGAGAGGGATGTTAGAGCTGACATGAGAGACTTCTTGATGAGAAAAGGAGGACTTTTGAATCACTCTCAGATTTCTGATTTTAAGGGTGGCTTGGTCCAAATATATAAGTGAAAGTTTTGGTGGTAGGGCAGTGTGGTGTTTCCTCACTGACAGTTTATCTCTATTCTGTCAATGTGGCTTAAGATAAGGCCATCAGCTGGCAGTGGGCAGTCAGGATCATGATTGGGGATGGGGTGAGGATATTTGGCATAGATAATTGTTTTAAAATATGGGAATACAAACCTGAGTGTAGTTTTTTGTGAGAGCTCTTCTGAAGATAAAAGTGAGACTGTCCCATAGATACTACTTTTTCCAGCCAATCCATTTGGAAAAACATGACAAGGTGGTTGAGTTTCTCTTTTCTGTCTGTTTGGACATGGACAATGCAAATGTGACAGAAGAGCAAGGTGCAGAAATGCTTCAGGAGTTTGAAAGGGTGTAATTATAGTGATAAACGATGAAACCTGGTTTTGGACCAGAAAGGGTGAATAAGTAGGGATTGGGCTGGAATCCATGGGTTGTGGCACAATGCATGGTCAAACAGCCCTTATAGTTTAAATAAAGAAGCAAAAGTGAATGGAAAGATGTGGTCTTATAGTTGGGGCATGACTGTTTCAGATTTTGATCTAGTGGTGAGGTTCTTGATGACTATGACCATGGGTATCTCTGGTGGGGTGTAGACAAGTGCAATTGGAGAAGAAGTGAGAGTGTTGAGGGTGCTGGGTGGATAATCTGTGTGGATGCTGGAATTGCTAAGAACTGTGGCAGTAGTCGGTTGTGAGGAAGCATGAGAAGTGAGAGCTTATATAATCACTAAAAATCAAGGGTGTGGGAAGTATGGGGCACGATGATATGTTGGGCAGATATGGTAAGAAGACTTTCTAGGTTGTTGAACACCTCTAGTATTGGTTTATTGGGTAGAGGGAGGGGAGCTCTGATTGGAAGTCGTAATGGTGACCTCGCGTATCTGACTATATACTATGTAGAGTGGGAAATAAAGACTTAGATTTACTGTAATGAAAATACAATGATTTCTTGAGGAAGTAGCCAGAGAAAGAGGCAAATGGGTGTTCACATGGTTATTGAAGATGAAAAATGACATTTGGATACAAATTTCAGGAAGATTTGAGGATGAATCTGAACTATAAAAGTGAGTTGTGCCAGAAAGAAGGATATTGTGATAAGGACCAGTCAAATGAACATTGCTTTAGGTGTGTCTGACAAATTTCTATTTCTTGATTACATGATGTATGCCTTATAATAATTTCTTAAGCAACTCCTTTATTTTTGTTTGGTTTTCTGTATTTGTGTATGTGTGTTTTTTCTTCCGTTTTAAAATTACCATAAGAAGACTAACAAAACACTCAAAAAATGAGGGAAATACTTTGTTTCATAAAAAAACTTAACATTATAAGTATGTTAATAGCTTTATTTGTAATTGTTTTATTTCCTCTCTTTTACTTCCTCTCCCTCCTCACTTCCCACGTCCAATCTTCTCATTCTCCTTCTTCTTCTTCTTTTTTTTTTTTTTTTTTGTATTTATTGATCATTCTTGGGTGTTTCTCAGAGAGGGGGATTTGGCAGGGTCATAGGACAATAGTGGAGGGAAGGTCAGCAGATAAACATGTGAACAAGGGTCTCTGGTTTTCCTAGGCAGAGGACCCTGTGGCCTTCCACAGTGTTTGTGTCCCTGGGTACTTGAGATTAGGGAGTGGTGATGACTCTTAATGAGCATGCTGCCTTCAAGCATCTGTTTAACAAAGCACATCTTGCACGGCCCTTAATCCATTTAACCTTGAGTGGACACAGCACATGTTTCAGAGAGCACGGGGTTGGGGGTAAGGTTATAGATTAACATCATCCCAAGGCAGAAGAATTTTTCTTAGTACAGAACAAAATGGAGTTTCCTATGTCTACTTCTTTCTACACAGACACCGCAACAATCTGATTTGTCTTTCTTTTCCCCACATTTCCCCCCTTTCTATTCGACAAAACCGCCATCGTCATCATGGCCCATTCCCAATGAGCTGTTGAGCACACCTCCAAGACGTGGTGGTGGCCTGGCAGAGGCGCCCCCCACTTCCCAGACGGGGCAGCCGGGCAGAGGCGCCCCCCACTTCCCGGACGGCGCGGCTGCCGGGAGGGGCTGCCACCCACCTCCCTCCCAGGAGGGGCGGCTGCTGGGCGGAGGGGCTCCTTACTTCTCAGAAGGGGCGGCGGGGCAGAGACACTCCTCACCTCCCAGACGGGGTGGCGGTCGGGCAGAGACACTCCTCAGTTCCCACACGAGGTCACGGCCTGGCAGAGGCGCTCCGCATATCTCAGACGATGGGCGGCCGGGCAGAGACGCTCCTCACTTCCCAGACCGGATGGCTGCCAGGAAGAGGCGCTCCTCACTTCCCAGACTGGGCGGCCGGGCAGAGACACTCCTCAGTTTCCAGACGGGGTAGCGGCCGGGCAGAAGCGCTATTCACATCTCAGATTGGGCGGCTGTGCAGAGGGGCTCCTCACATCCCAGACGATGGGCGGCCAGGCAGAGACGCTCCTCACTTCCCAGACGGGGTGGCGGCCGGGCGGAGGCTGCAATCTCGGCACTTTGGGAGGCCAAGGCAGGCGGCTGGGAGGTGCAGGTTGTAGCGAGCCGAGATCACGCCACTGCACTCCAGCCTGGGCAACATTGAGCACTGAGTGAGCGAGACTCCATCCGCAATCCCGGCACCTTGGGAGGCCGAGGCGGGCAGATCACTCGCGGTCAGGAGCTGGAGACCAGCCCGGCCAACACGGCGAAACCCCTTCTCCACCAAAAAACACAAAAACCAGTCAGGCGTGGCGGCGCGAGCCTGCAATCCCAGGCACTGGGCAGGCTGAGGCAGGAGAATCAGGCAGGGAGGTTGCAGTGAGCCGAGATGGCGGCAGTACAGTCCAGCCTCAGCTTGGCATCAGAGGGAGACCAGGGAGAGGGAGAGGGAGACCGTGGAGAGGGAGAGGGAGAGGGAGAGCCTCCTTCTTCTTCTTCTTTTTTGAGACAGAGTCTCGCTCTGTTGCCCAGGCTGGAGTGCAGTGGTGCGATCTTGGCTCACTCACTGCAACATCCGCCTCCCATGTTCAAGCAATTCTCCTGCCTCAGCCTCCCAAGTAGCTGGGAGTACAGGTGCACAGCACCACACTTGGTTAATTTTTGTATTTTGGATTACTGGTGTGAGCCACAGCTCCCGGCCCCATGTCCGATCTACCCCAAGGTCTGACCTGGATTGTGTAATCATCATGTGGCTTGTTTGTGGTTTTACACAAGTCTAATCCATGAAGCAGAGCATGTAATACTTCAAGCTCAGTCTGTTGGTTGAAGCGAGTCGTAAGGCAATGTCCCTGGATAGAAGGGGATGGGTAATAGACTGCACATCATGATGGGGGAATGGCACGAGTGTTCAGCAGAGAGAATGGCTGGCAGCTATGTTAACAGATGCGCAACCATACCTGATAAACTATCAGATTGATAAATGTTCAAAAGCTTGACACTATACCCTGCTGGCAAGTTTGTGAGGGAAAAGGCATGTTTTCCCGTCGTAATGAAAAATGTTACAAGCTCTATGGAGGGCATCTTGAATATCTAATAAATCTAAAAACATGTTTACTCTGTCTTCCAAGTAGCCTTATAAGTAGCTAGGACTCAGGTGTGTGCCACCACACTTCGCTAATTTCTATTTTTAATTTTTTTGTAGAGATAGGGCTTCACTGTGTTGCTCAGGCTGGTCTTGAACTCCTGGCCTCAAGGCGATTCTCCTGCCTCAGCCTCTCAAGGTGCTGGGATTATAGGCATCAGCCACTGTTTCTGGCCTATACATCTCTTTGACCACAGTAATCCTACTTCTAAAAATTAACCATAAGGTCTATCAGCAGAATTATCCAACTGAAGAAGTGAGAAAAAAAGAACAAAAAAGAAAAGAAAGAGATCCTCAGGTACTTGAGGAACAATATCAAAAGGTCTACCAGATGTGTAGTTTGGGTCTCAAAATGAAATGAGAGAAAGAATGGGACTGATTTTTGTTTTTGAGGCAATAATTGTGAAATTATTCAAATTAGGGAAAAAGCTAAAATATTACAGATTGAAAAAGCTCACAGAACTTCAAGGAGGCTTAAAAACAAAGAAAGTTGTATGTAGATGCCTCACAATCAAACTGAAAATTAAGACAAAGGGAAAAAATTTAAATGTAGCCGAAGGAGGCAGGACAGAAAACACTGGTACCTTAGTAGCATCAAGCACACTTGATTTTGATTACTCTCATCATCCTCCAGTAATACAAACAGGATTATTTGGAGAAATTGTTGATTCTGAGGCTGGAAATATATAAGATGAACCTGGGGCATCTCATAATGCCAGAGTGTTTCCTTTTCCATGAAAAATGAAGTAAAACCAAACAAACACCACGATGGGGCACATGAAAGGACCCAGGAGGCAACTGAAAGTGCTTGCGATGGCCAAAACAGAAAGTTTGAGCAACAAAACAAAGCAGGATCGAATTGTAATCCCACATAGAAAAATAAATGTCCAAGATTCCATACTGCTATGAAGAAATAATTGAATAAATTCATTAATGAGGGGGAGAATAGACACATCTGTGAGGAGTAAGTCCATATAATTTAAATGGATAATCCACCCACAAGGAAGTAGGGCACAAGTCCCCACTCCTTAAATGTGGGCTGCACATAGGGACTTTTTCCAAATAGTCCAGCATGGAAAATGGGAAAAAGGGTAAATTCACAGTGGAGAAGGCTGATGAAGTGGAGCTGGAAGGTCATGAAGGAGGGGAGCCCATGCTTGTGTACTTGAGATAAGAACTATCACAAGGACTCTCTAAAACCCACAAGAGATTATGGCACATCTTACATGCTTTGCACCATCAGCAGGTCTTACACACTTTGCTCATTCTGCATGGCCACACATATTTCTATAACTGCAATATCTTCAAGACTGCAGCATTCCAGATAAAATGTTCTCGCAAGAACACATGCCTAGCAATGGCTGTCTCCACCAAGAAGCTAATGCCGACTCCTGCAATGAGCTTCTGTGACCAATAAATTTATTTCAAAGCAGCTTCTGTGGACTTCTTTTTGCCTTTAAAAGTTTCCCCTTACCCTAACCTCTCAGGATACACCTGTGACTTGTTATACCCGGTGTATTCCTGATTCCAGTCCTTCATTCAAATAAACTCATTTTGAGAGCTAATCTCTGCTGTTATTTTAGGTTGCCGTAATAAGTCTAGTTCAATAGATAACATGTCAATTAATTTAACTATGAACAACTACTTCTGATCTATTTTTCTCCTATTAGTAAACATGGTTTAGTGCCACTACCCAGGATTACGAAAAAGTGTTTCAATTGTTTCTCCTTGAAAACATGATTAGGTTTATCACGTGATGCTCTCAGTGTTCATACCAATGAATATTTTGAACCTAATAAAATTTTCACTATGAAAGATCCCTTTTTTTTCAGTGTAATTCATAAGGTTTAAACAAAAGCATGTCGCTTAGTGGCTTGAAATGCATCCCCCAAACAGAAATAAGAATATACTTTTTATTTACATTTTTTATTTCATTTAATTTGATGACCTATGATTTGAGCAGATAATTCCAAATGTTACAATCATATGTAGTTCATTACCCAACTTGGATTTTACCTATTAAAGTGAGCATTAGTAAAAAAGATATAATCTATATGTAAAAACATTGATCTGTTCAAACATGTAATATTATACTCTTATTAAAGAAGAACATTTAAGTTAACATACCACACTTCACTGGTCTCAACTAACTTAAAAAATTTAAAAATTAAAAAAAACCACTCAAATTGAGAAAAGGAAGTTTATTTAAAAGGTGCTTATCTATACAATGTTATTTATCTGCTGAATACCCTTAAACAAATCATTTTTCCAGCAGTCCATTATCAGCTCGGTTTGCTCATCTGGAAAATGGCGTCATGGTGGGCTAGCTTTCTTGTAGAATGATATAAGCATGAAATTAGTTATGCCATGTAATGCACCTAGCACAATGCCAACCATTTTTCAGTGCTTTTAAAAATGTTAGTCCTTCTCATTTCCCATAAAATATTTTCTTGGTAATAGTCTCTTTCCAGGTGATGTGTACAAAAGTCACACAAACAGTACTCAGTGGAAGGTCTTTGCAGATGCTTCTCACAATAAATCCGGACTAAAGTCCCATGCCTAAGTTCTTACTGAGGAAGGGGACAAAGCCAGCCCAGATGTTCAGTAGAAGCAGACGGTGTGAAGAAAGCTTTTTCCTGCCTTCTCCTCCATTTGCAACAGCAGCTCTTCCAGATTGTCTTCCATGTCGTCTGACTGCTGCCAGGCACTGGCAAATCTCACAGATGAGGAAAGCTCCCAGGGTGGCATCTTCCAGGGTATCTTGGATGTCCATGTTGATCACGTGCACAGGCTGAAAGGTCTGCTGTTCTCTGGAACACAGATCTTCCACCACTGTGTCATAGACACTCTCCTCACAGGTGAAGATGACATCAAAGAAATCAGTGCACTCCTGAAATCTTTCTGGACCGGGCTTGATTCTCTCATTTCTTCCCAAGATGTGTAAGATTCCGTTGCGGGTGTAGCGTTCTCTATCTTTCCTGAGGAGGTCATTGTACATCTCCTTATATGTTGTTGCAAAATCGTAAACTACAGGACGATTGGGTCTTGGTCCTGGTAGCCTCACATGAGATTCAGTTCCAAAAGACCGGACACTTAGCCCTTTTCTCCTGAGGATGCTGTGGGCCTCCATGCTCCTGTTGACATTGCTCACGCACACCACAGCCACCCTGAGTGTGGAGGAGAGCATGATGGCGGCCACTGGGAACCAGAGAGACACAGGCACCTCAGCTGCTGCAGGGACTCGGAGCCGAGGAGACGACCACCTATACCCAGGTCTTCCAAACGAGCTAATGTGGAGGCACAGGAGGCAGGTTTATATTGAGTCACCTTAATGAGTGGGTGGAGACTTCATGACTTCTGGATTGATTAGGTTGTGATAATCATCTCCTAACTCATCACAAGAACAATCAAGATGATTAAATTACCTAAAGCAGTAACTCTCCACAAAGGTGGCACCACCCAGTCTGGATTCATTTAAAATCTGGAGTTTGCTCTGGTGGTTCTCCTAGTGAATGGGGGCTGCTATGGACAACGGCCAAGACAATTAAGCTACCTGCAAGCATGTCATAGGACTCTCCAGTGACCTCCAGACATGAAATTGGATGATAAACATGTTCACGATGTGCAAGGCTGCACCCTATTTAATTATAAATTATAAGTGTTGTTGCTTGTTTTAATTTTCATAGTGTTCGAGAAATGCAATTGCATAAATCACAGGACCATTGTATATAGTTTTGTCCGGAAATCCACAAAATTTTTCACCAATACAAAAAAAATCCCATTCTCAACAACATATCTGCTTATGGTATCTTAAGAGTTATTCAACACAACATTTTCTGCATTTGATATTACTGAAATCATAATGATTCTTCAGGGAATGCAGGAATTGATGCAATCCTCTGCCTCCAAGTACAGCTATGTTTGAGCTTTTCTATACTTAAATGCAATGTTTAGAATTTTTTTCATAGTTGTATAATTTATCAAGATAAAGGAGATTTTAAAATTATGAATGGGGTTTCAAAAAATAAGATAATCATGTCACTTTTAGATTGATTAGATTATGATAATGGACTGCTAAGTAATTACAAGAACAATCAAAATGATTAAATTCCTAATTCAGTAACTCTCCACAAAGGTGGCCCCACCCAGTCAGGATTGATTTATAGGTGCGCTCTGTTTGCTGTCGCTCACTGATTTACCAAATATTGGGTAAATAATAATTTTTTTTTTTTTGAGGAGTCTCGCTCTGTCACCTAGGCTGGAGTGCAGTGGCACAATATCGACTCACTGCAACCTCTACCTCCGAGGTTCGAGGGATTCTCTTGTCTGAGCCTCTCAAGTAGCTGAAGACTACAGGCACGCGGCACCACACCCGGTTAATGTTTGTATTTTTAGTAGAGATGGGGTTTCACCATGTTGGTCAGGCTGGTTTTGTACTTCCGACCTCAAGTGATCTGCCCGCTTTGGCCTCCCAAAGTGCTGAGATTACTGGTATGAGCCACCTCACCCGGCCCAATTTTACTTGTTTTTAGTAATCCTTCTTAAATGTATGTATAGCTCACATTTATTTCAATATAAATCAGATCAGAGACATCACTTTTGTCCTTGATGCAGGGACAAAATCTATCTATAAAGGAACATATTGTATTTTTCTATGTCCCTCTTAAGGTGATTCTTACATGGCAAATACAGCAGGTTGTCAAAGAACATCTTTTTTTTTTTTTTTCTTTTTTGAGACACAGTTTTGCTCTGTCACCCTGGCTGGAGTGCAGTGGTGCCATCATGGCTCACTGCAGCCTCAAACTCCTGGGCTCAATCAATCCTCCCACCTCAGCCTCCTGAGTAGCTGGAACTACAGGTGTGTACCACCATGCCTGGCTAATTTTTTTTTTTTTTTTTTGTAGAGGGTGGGGTTTCACCATGTTACCCAGGCTGGTCTCAAATTCCTGGGCTCAAGTGATCCACCCGCTTTGGTCTCCCAAAGTGCTGGGATTACAGGCATGAGCCACTGTGTCCAGCCTCAAATAATATCATTTTATTATAATATTAACTTAAAAAATTGACTTCTGGCAGGCCAATGTCTGCGTGGGGTTTGCATATTCTCCCCATGTCTTTGTGGTTTTTCTCTGGATACTCTTGTTTCCTCCCACATCCCAAAGATGTGCACATTAGATGAACTGACACCTCTATGGTCCCAGTATGGGGGTGTGCCCTGAGCCCCGGATGGGGTCCTGTCTAGCGTTGATTCCTGCCTCACACCTTGAGCTGCCGATAGGTTCCAGCCACCTGCCACTCTGAACTGGAATCAGCAGGTTGGAAAATGAAGGAATGAATACAAATTATTGAAAAATAAAAATTCATAAAACGTGGTAATCATACAAATGCAAGACAATAACGATGAAAGTACAAGATAGATCAGCCAGCCTGCCGTGTCTGTCATTATTGATTTTTTAACTGTGTAGTAGTAGGAGGTGCTCCTTACAATTTTTTCTCTGCAAGCATTTATTCCTTGATTTAACTTACCACAACTACGACCGCCATCACTCACTGACTCACCAAAAATTGGGTGAATAATAATCTTACTAGGTTTTATTAGGCTTTCTTAATTGTATGTGCAGCTCACATTTATTTCTAAGTTTAATACTCTAAGTGTGTTGAATCTTTATTTAGACGTTTGGTGATGTTTTTGTGACTCTTGTTCATATCAATTAGCCTATGATAAAATTAATTTTATTATACAGCATTTCACTTGAAGTCATCGTTTTGGGCGCGGTGGCTCATGCCTGTAATCCCAGCACTTTGGGAGGCTGAGGCGGGTGGATCACCTGAGGTCCAGAGTTCGAGACCAGTCTGGCCAACATGGTGAAAGCCTGTCTCTACTAAAGAAATACAAAAGATGTTCCGGGCATGGTGGCGGATGCCTGTAATTCTGGCTACTCTGGAGGGCTGAGGCAGGAGAATTGTTTGAATCCGGGAGGCGGAGGTTGCAGTGAGCAGAGATCATGCCATTGCACTCCAGCCTGGGCGAGAAGAGTGAAACTCCGTTTCCAAAAAAACAAACAAACAAACAAAAAAATTAGTAAACACCTGAAAGTTTCTCAAAGTGTGTTCCCAGACTAGCAGCATTAGCATTAATTGGGAACTTGTAAAAATGAAAATTTAGACCGCAAACCACTGAATCACAAACTCTAGTGGTGAAGCCCAGAGATTTGTGTTCTTTCCTTTACATTTCCATGAATTGTTGTTCAGGTTCACATAAGTGATAATGTTTGGAAAATCTTCTCTCAAGTAGGTTTCTCTGTGGGGGACACAGGAGATAAACTGAATTGCTGTGTTTCTTTCCTTCACCCTGACAGAGGGGCCACATCTTGGCTGGGTATAGGATTGTTGGGCTGTAGTCCTTTCTCTCAGTAGTCCTTAACTGCTATGCCACTGTCCGTTCCAGCGTTGGAGATAAAAAGTCTAATTCCAGCATCATTCTTCTCCTGTAGATAATATGCTCTTTTTTTAAAATATATATATATATTTATTATAGTTGAGTTCTAGGGTGCATGTGCACAGCGTGCAGGTTTGTTACACATGTATACATGTGCCATGTTGGTGTGCTGCACCCGTTAACTCGTCATTTACATTAGGTATATCTCCTGATGCTTTCCCTCTGCACCCCCCACCCGCCCCACAACAGGCCCCGGTGTGTGATGTTCCCCTTCCTGTGTCCAAGTGTTCTCATTGTTCAATTCCCACCTATGAGTGAGAACCTGTGGTGTTTGGTTTTTTGTTCTTGCGATAGTTTGCATGATGGAACTAGAAATACCATTTGACCCAGCCATCCCATTACTGGGTATATACCCAAAGGATTATAAATCAGGCTTCTGTAAAGGCACATGCACACGTATGTTTATTGCTACTCACAATAGCAAAGACTTGGAACCAACCCAGATGTCCATCAATGATAGACTGGATGAAGAAAATGTGGCTCATATACAGCATGGAATACTATGCAGCCATAAAAAAGGATGAGTTCATGTCCTTTATAGGGACATGGATGAAGCTGGAAATATGTTCTTTTTAAGTGGATGTTTGTAAGATTTTTCTCTTTCTCCTTAGAGTTCAAAATTTTTACTAGCAGATGCCTCAGTGTTTCTTATTTCTCTTCACTCTAGTCCAGTATTTCTCCATTGTTTCATCGATCCCCAGTTATGGAGCCTTTTTAGACACTTTTTTCTAATTGCCGTCTCATAAAATTGTAATAGTAATCCCAGCTACTTGGGAGGCTGAGGCATGAGAATTGCTTGAGCCTGGGGAGGTGGACTTTGCAGTGAGTTGAGACCATGCCACTGCACTCCAGCCTGGGTGACAGAGGCAGACTGTGTCTCTAAAATAAATAATAAAAAGGTCTATTAGATCCATTTGGTTCAATATTGAGTTTAGGTCCTGAATATCTTTGCTCTTTTTCTGCCTTGATGATCTATCTAATCCTGTCAGTGGAGTGTTGAAGTCTCCCACTGTTTTTGTGTGGGATTCTAAGTCTCTTTGTAGGTTTCTAAGAACTTGCATTATGAATCTGGGTGCTCCTGTGTTGAGTGCATATATATTTAGGATAGTTAGGTCTTCAGGTTGAATTGAACCCTTTACTATTATGTAATGCCCTTCTCCATTCTCAGGAGATGAGCGTGGTGCAGAAGTTCAGGGATCCAGGAAATAATGAAGTATAATAGATAAACAACTTGTAGCATGTCTGTATTTATTCAGTGCCTGACTGAGAATCTAGCACATAGGAAGTACACATAATCATTCTTTCCCTGCCTCTCAGGTTCCATTCTCCCCATCTCTAAATTCAGTTTCCAGAGTAGGAAGATTTACTCCCATTTTGGTTCCTGCAGTAGCCTCTAAGTAATGGCTGAAATTGTTTCAAAAATAAAATTATGCGACAAGAGCCCAATAGAGGCTCCTTAGGATGTGCCTGCTGTGGACAGCAACTACCACCAGGTCAGCCTGTGATCACACAAGCACTATGAAAATATACAATACCCCGAAGAAATTCGCCCTTCTGAAGGAGGTGGAATAAATCAAAACAGATATGAAAATGCCATTGGAGGTTGAAGGCCAAGAGTGTGCACCACTATGCTGACAAAGTAACAGCCAGAAGAAAAGATCAAATGAAGCAATGTAAATCTTAAATAGAAAAGAGAAGCCTGAAGAGGACCTGCTAAGCTAAGGATGGCCATTTGGTACTTTGAGAATAAAAGGATTTTGCTTCTGGGAGGCAAAGAAGAGAGGATAAAGAGCTCAATGACTGGAGCCTGACCTATGGGTGAAATTGTGGGTACCTGAGTAGTTGCTTATCTACTCAACCTAATCTAGACAACTTCTCAAATGCCTCATGAATGTTCTCCTGTCTCGGTCCAGGTATCTTCAGCATCTCAGAGAATTAACTTCCATTGCCCTTCTTTGTGTTTGTGAGATAATTACCCTTATTCAGGGTATTTTAAAAAATCATCTCTCCGGCCGGGTGTGGTGGCTCACGCCTGTAATCCCAGCACTTTGGGAGGCCGAGGCGGGCGGATCAGGAGGTCAGGAGATCCAGACCATCCTGGCTAACACGGTGTAACCCCGTCTCTACTAATAATACAAAAAATTAGCCGGGCGTGGTGGCGGGCGCCTGTAGTCCCAGCTACTCGGGAGGCTGAGGCAGGAGAATGGCGTGAACCCAGGAGGTGGAGCTTGCAGTGAGCCAAGATTGTGCCACTGCACTCCAGCCTGGGCGACAGAGCGAGGCTCCCTCTCAAAAAAAAAAAAAAATCATCTCTCCAATGTGTCAGCAATGTGCCTGTGAGAACGTTCACCTCATAAATGATTTCTTCTCTCTGATTTCACAAAAAGTCTGATTATCAGAGGACCTATCTCAGGAATAGGAGTATGTTAGATCACCTGGCAATGTTTCCCCTAACTGATTTAAGACTTTCTGAGGTCTGAGAATTATAGTTTTTCTTTGTGTTTTTCCAGATCTCAGTACATCACAGCACAGTGCAACTCCTCAAAATGTTTAACAAAACAACCAAATGACAAAATATTGGATGAGTGTGAAGTATCAGGGCAGGGTAGCCGTAAATAAGTCCCTTTAATACCTTGGATATTTACAGTAGTCAGGATCAGAGCCAATGTAGAACCTTCTTTGGAGGGGCTCCGGGGTCAGAGTTCTTTGGCACACTGAGAGGTAAAAAGGGACCCCATGCCCAGAGTCTCCTCATTCTGCCATCCCAGACAGCATTTTCCATTCTACTGGCATAGCCCATATTTATGACTGTGGTTTGGTGGTGTGCTGGTAACCCAGCTAAAATACACACACAAAGATCAGTCAATCAATTAAAGCCCTGCATTGTAGTGTTTGCCAGTTTTGGCAGTGTATGTACTCCCACCAAGGTCATTTTCAAGGTATCAACGTGACATCACTGAATGTGAAGTTTGCAAGGAATATGCACAGATGAGCCAGTACAAGTGGCTCCACCCCACACTGCTTTAGTCTCTCCAACTCTGTCTACCCAAGTCCAGACAATAGTACTAGTGCTTTCAGCCACCTACTTTAGGTCCCATAACATCTAGTCTAGATGGGGCCTTTCCTATCTAGACTGTAATTTTACTCACAGCAATAAAAAAAATCACTTACCTGTTTTAAATGGAGTTCTCTTGGGCTAGAATGGGGTGAGTGACAACAAGGCTGTCAGAATGATGGGTGACAGGGAACTGAGATTTTATGTGTTGGCCTGAAAGCCTGAGGGGCTGCTATTATTCCAGGGAGCCCAAATATAGAACCATCTTTTCAACATCTCCTCAATTCCGTACATGTTGGCCAAGTCATTATGGCTCTCCAAGCCTGCCTAGTCCACCTTTTTCTCTAAATCTCCATCCCTTCTTATGTATGCTCATGTACTTATTCCTAACAAAAGAGTGTTAGCATTGCTACAACAATTATTCCTGTTTCCATTTTATGGGATCTGGGATTAATTTTCTTTTGAAAATTTTACATATTTTAATTTTTTTTGTAGAGATGGGGTGTCCCTATGTTGCCCAGGCTGGTCTTAATTTCCTGGCCTCAAGTGATCCTCTCATCTTGGCTTTCCAAAATGCTGGGATTACAGGCATGAGCCACCATGCCCGGCCTGAAAATCATATTAATTACTTAAGAAACACTTTTTATCAAAAGTGTTTCTTTGGAACTTGAATTAAGTTTATAACATTTTCAAAAAAGCCATTTAAACTTTTGTATTTGTAATAATAATATTTTAAATATTTACATGGGAATACCTAAATATCACTTAAAAATCAATTTTCCCTACTTCTGTAAGTCAAGGTCAACTATGAAAAACATTCTGTACCCTCTTTTTCTTTGGCCACCAAATAATCCACGTTTAATTTTCAGTTATCTTATTCACTAATCTTCTTCCTGCTGATAAACTTATCTCTTTCTTTATGTATCCTTTTCATATCTTTTTATTTAATTAGTCCAAGTAACTGTATATATACATATTTGTAAAGGAGAAACAGTTTTATGTTTAAGAAATATCTTTTTGTTTGTCACAGAATATTTCTCAGTTCCAGGGACATGTTTAGTGGTAATAATAGTAATTGGGTGCTAATGATTTGGCTGGTGGGGACTCTGACCATCTCTGGTCTTGGTTGAACTGCGAGCAGAGGCTAGAAAACTGTTTACCGTGAAGAGCTTTTAGAGGCCTTCTGCTGGATTTTGAATTTGACCCACCAAGTGAATTTAGTTGAGGGATAAATAGGAGGATGGTCTTTCTTGGAGCTGAACGGTTTTTCTAAACATTCTGCTAGTACTGCATGACCCATTGGCATGACTGTTAAAGTGCCCCACATCTGCTTAGCATCCTCCAAGATCCTTTGGGTGTGTTCCACAAGATCCTTTGGCTCTTGTAAATAATTAGCACTCCCAAGAGTGCCCTGTGGGACCCTCAGGTTTTTTGCCATTCCAGAACTGCCTTGTTTTCAACTGACCAACTTGCTCGCTGGGCCATGTCTCTTTCTCTGATCACATTCAAATGTTAAGCTCCGCTAAAATTTAGATTTTTTTTGAGACAGGGTCTTGCTCTGTCACCCAGGCTAGAGTGCACTGGCGCGATCTCAGCTCTTGGCTTACTGCAACCTCCACCACTGCCCCTGCCACCCCTCCTGCTTTCAAGTGATCCTCCCACCTCAGCCTCCAGAGTGGCTGGGACTGCAGGCGTGTACCACCATGCCCAGCCAAGTTGTTTTGTGTTTTTAGTAGAGATGGGGCTCACCATGTTGCCCAGGCTAGTCTTGAACTCCTGAGTGCAAGCAATCTGCCTGCCTTGGCCTCCTGAAGTGCTGGGATAACACACGAGAGTCATTGTGCCCAGCCATAAAATTTAGATATTTTATGCTTTGTTTTAGTGTTATGATAAATAAAATTGTTTGTAATGGTATTTTAAATTATTTGCTGGTTTTATATAAAGCATAATTTATTTTTGTATTTTAAACTTGGTGTCCCTGACCTTGCTAAATCCATTTATTTATCCCAAGTGTCGTGTAGATTCTTAGGATTTTTTTTTTTTACATACGCAGCCATGTCATCTCTTAATAAATACAGGTTTACATCCTCCTCTCTGACCTGAATATCTTTTATTTAGGTGTTATTATTTGATTTTTGCTTTTTTTTTTCTACAGTTTACTTGTGCATACACTGACCGAAGGACATCTTGATTGCCAATTTTGGCAATTATGAATAAAGCTGCTATAAATATCTGTCTGCAGGTTTTTGTGTGGACATACATTTTTAACTCATTTGGGCAAATACCCAGGAGCATGATTCCTGGATTGTATGGTAAGAGTATGCTTAGTTTTGTAAGAAACTGCCAAGCTGCCTTCTTAAGTGGCTGTACCATTTTGCATTCCCATCAGCAGTGAATGAGAGCTCCTGCTGTTCCACATCCTCCCCAGCATGTACTGTTGTCAGTGTTTTGGATTTTCACCATTCTAATAGGTATGTAGTGGTATCTCATGTTGTGTAAATTTGTAATTCTCCAATGACATGTTGTTGACTACCTTTTCATATGCTTCTTTGCCATCTGTGTATCTTCTTTGATGAGATGTCTGTCCAGATCTTTTGCCTTTTTAATTTTTTTGAGACAGTCTCTGTCACCCAGGCTGAAGTGCAGTGCCCACAGAGAGAACTGCCACAGGGGCAGAGTCACACAGAGAGGGTAATGCATAGTGGAGCCACCTCACAGTTCCACTTGGGTCATGCCCAAGAGAACTGTAGGGCTGGGCTGCTCCCAACACTCCAGACCTGTAGAATCACCAACGTGCAACTCTAGCTCGAGAGAGCCACAGGCACTGAACTCCAACCTGTGAAAGCTGCAGCATGGGCTGCATCCGGCAAAGACATGGAGGTCGGGTCCCCTGAAGCCTTGGGACCCAACCGCCACCCCAGTGTGTCTGGAAGGCAGGGCATGGAGTCAAAAATTATTCTCAAGCTTAAAGTTTTAATGTTATTTACCTTGTTTGGATTTGGGCTTACTTGGGACCCATTACCCCCCTTTTTTTTCTTGGCTATTTCTCCCTTTTGGAATGAAAGTGTCTAGTCTATGCTTGTCTCACCATTGTATTTTGGAAACACATAACTTATTTGATTTCACAGGCTCACAGCTGGAGAGAAATTTGCCTCAGGATGAATTGTACCTTGGGTCTCACTCATATGTGATTTAGATGAGACTCTAGACCTTAGAATTTTGAATTGGTACTGGAATGAGTTATAACTTTTTGGGGCTATTAAGATGGAATGAATGTATTTTGTGTGTGAGAAGGAAATGAATTTGGTGGGCTAAGGATGGAAAGTTATGGTCTGAAGATATTCCCCAAAATTCATATGTTAAAACTCAACCACCAATGTGATAATAATAAGAGGCAAGGCTTTTAGGAAGTGATTAAGTCGTGAGAGCAGAGCCTTCCTACATGGAATTAGTGAACTTATTAAAGGGCTGGAGGGAACTAGCCTAGGCCCTTTTTGCTCTTCTGTTTCTTTTGTCTTGTGAAGATACAGTGTTCAAGGTGGCATCTTGGAAGAACAGACTAGGCCCTCACCAGATGCCAAACCTGCAAGCACCTTGATTTTGCACGTTCCAGGCTCAAAAACTGTGAGGAATAAGTTTCTATTATTTATAAATTGTCCAGTCTCAGGCATTTTGTTATAACAGTAGAAATAGACTAAGAGAGTAACACTAGAGGCCATTAAACATGTGGTTTATTCAGGATCATTATAACAACAACAAAGCCTAAACCATCTCAACTCCTGACTAGATTGATCAATACCCATGCTGAATGCCTAGCAAAAGACAAGGTCTTCTTTTTCTTTTTTTATTATACTTTAAGATTCAGGGTACATGTGCACAACGTGCAGGTTTGTTACATATGTGTACATGTGCCGTGTTGGTGTGCTGCACCCAGTAACTGGTCATTTAACATTAGGTATATCTCCTAATGCTATCCCTCCCCTCTCCACCCTCCCCACACTCCAAAACAGGCCCCGGTGTGTGATGTTCCCCTTCCTGTGTCCACGTATTCTCATTGTTCAATTCCTACCTCTGAGTGAGAACATTCGGTGTTTGGTTTTTTGTCCTTGCGATAGTTTGCTGAGAATGATGGTTTCCAGCTTCATCCATGTCCCTACAAAGGACATGAACTCATCCTTTTTTATGGCTGCATAGTATTCCATGGTGTATATGTGCCACATTTTCTTCATCCAGTCTATCATTGTTGGACATTTGGGTTGGTTCCAAGTCTTTGCTATTGTGAATAGTGCCGCAATAAACATACGTGTGCATGTGTCTTTACAGCAGCCTGATTTATAATCCTTTGGGTATATACCCAGTAATGGGATGGCTGGGTCAAATGGTATTTCTAGTTCTACATCCCTGAGGAATTGCCACACTGACTTCCACAACGGTTGCACTAGTTTACATTCCCACCAACAGTGTAAAAGTGTTCCTATTTCTCCACATCCTCTCTAGCGCCTGTTGTTTCCTGACTTTCTAATGATCGCCATTCTAACTGGTGTGAGATGGTATCTCATTGTGGTTTTGATTTGCATTTCTCTGATGGCCAGTGACAACGAGCATTTTTCCATGTGTCTGTTGGCTGCATAAATGTCTTCTTTTGAGAAGTGTCTGTTCATATCCTTTGCCCACTTTTTGATGGGGTTGTTTGTTTTTTTCTTGTAAATTTGTTGGAGTTCATTGTAGATTGTGGATATTAGCCCTTTGTCAGATGAGTAGATTGCAAAAATGTTCTCCCATTCTGTAGGTTGCCTGTTCACTCTGATGGTCGTTTCTTTTGCTGTGCAGAAGCTCTTTAGTTTAATAAGATCCCATTTGTCAATTTTGGCTTTTGTTGCCATTGCTTTTGGTGTTGGCCTTGCCCATGCCTATGTCCTGAATGGTATTGCCTAGGTTTTCTTCTATGGTTTTAGGTCTAACATTTAAGTCTTTAATCCATCTTGAATTAATTTTTGTATAAGGTGTAAGGAAGGGATCTAGTTTCAGCTTTCTACATATGGCTAGCCAGTTTTCCCAGCACCATTGATTAAATAGGGAATCCTTTCCCCATTGCTTGTTTTTCTCAGGTTTGTCAAAGATCAGATGGTTGTAGATATGCAGCATTACTTCTGAGGGCTTTGTTCTGTTCCATTGGTCTAGATCTCTGTTTTGGTACCAGTACCATACTGTTTTGGTTACTGTAGCCTTGTAGTATAGTTTGAAGTCAGGTAGCGTGATGCCTCCAGCTTTGTTCTTTTGGCTTAGGTTTGACTTGGCGATGCGGGCTCTTTTTTGGTTCCATATGAACTTTAAAGTAGTTTTTTCCAATTCTGTGAAGAAAGTCATTGGTAGCTTGATGGGGATGGCATTGAATGTATAAATTACCTTGGGCAGTATGGCCATTTTCACGATATTGATTCTTCCTACCCATGATCATGGAATGTTCTTCCATTTGTTTGTGTCCTCTTTTATTTCCTTGAGCAGTGGTTTGTAGTTCTCCTTGAAGAGGTCCTTCACATCCCTTGTAAGTTGGATTCCTAGGTATTTTATTCTCTTTGAAGAAATTGTGAATGGAGTTCACTCATGATTTGGCTCTCTGTTTGTCTGTTATTGGTGTATAAGAATGCTTGTGATTTTTGCACATTGATTTTGTATCCTGAGACTTTGCTGAAGTTGCCTATCAGCTTGAGGAGATTTTGGGCTGAGACAATGGGGTTTTCTAGATATACAATCATGTCGTCTGCAAACAGGGACAATTTGACTTCCTCTTTTCCTAATTGAATACCCTTTACTTCCTTCTCCTGCCTGATTTCCCTGGCCAGAACTTCCAACACTATGTTGAATAGGAGTGGTGAGAGAGGGCATCCCTGTCTTGTGCCAGTTTTCAAAGGGAATGCTTCCAGTCTTTGCCCATTCAGTATGACATTCGCTGTGGGCTTGTCATAGATAGCTCTTATTATTTTGAGATACGTCCCATCAATACCTAATTGATTGAGAGTTTTTATCATGAAGAGTTGTTGAATTTTGTCAAAGGCCTTTTCTGCATCTATTGAGATAATCATGTGGTTTTTGTCTTTGGTTCTGTTTCTATGCTGGATTATGTTTATTGATTTGCGTATGTTGAACCAGCCTTGCATTGCAGGGATGAAGCCCACTTGATCATGGCGGCTGAGCTTTTTGATATGCTGCTTGATTCAGTTTGCCAGTATTTTATTGAGGATTTTCACGTTGATGTTCATCAGGGATGTTGGTCTAAAATTCTCTTTTTTTGTCGTGTCTCTGCCAGGCTTTGGTAGCACGATGATGCTGGCCTCATCAAATGAGTTAGGGAGGATTCCCTCTTTTTCTATTGATTGGAATAATTTCAGAAGGAATGGTACCAGCTCCTCTTTGTACCTCTCGTAGAATTCGGCTGTGAATCCATCTGGTCCTGGATTTTTTTTTTGATTGGTAAGCTATTAATTATTGCCTCAATTTCAGAGCCTGTTATTGGTCTATTCAGAGATTCAACTTCTTCCTGGTTTAGTCTTGGGCGGGTGTATGTGTCGAGGAATTTATCCATTCCTTCTAGATTTTCTAGTTTATTTGCATAGAGGTGTTTACAGCATTCTCTGATGGTAGTTTGTATTTCTGTGAGATCAGTGGTGATATGCCCTTTATCATTTTTTATTGCATCTATTTGATTCTTCTCTCTTTTCTTCTTTATTAGTCTTGCTAGCAGTCTATCAATTGTGTTGATCTTTTCAAAAAACCAGCTCCTGGATTCATTGATTTTTTGAAGGGTTTTTTTGTGTCTCTGTTTCCTTCAGTTCTGCTCTGATCTTAGTTATTTCTTGCCTTCTGCTAGCTTTTGAATGTGTTTGCTCTTGCTTCTCTAGTTCTTTTCATTGTGATGTTAGCGTGTCAATTTTAGATCGTTCCTGCTTTCTCTTGTGGACATTTAGTGCTATAAATTTCCCTCTACACACTGCTTTGAATGTGTCCCAGAGATTCTGGTATGTTGTGTCTTTGTTCTCATTGGTTTCGAAGAACATCTTTATTTCTGCCTTCGTTTCGTTATGTACCCAGTAGTCACTCAGGAGCAGGTTGTTCAGTTTCCATGTAGTTGAGCGGTTTTGAGTGAGTTTCTTAATCCTGAGTTCTAGTTTGATTGCACTGTGGTCTGAGAGACAGTTTGTTATAATTTCTGTTCTTTTACATTTGCTGAGGAGTGCTTTACTTCCAAGTATGTGGTCAATTTTGGAATAAGTGCAGTGTGGTGCTGAGAAAAATGTATATTCTGTTGATTTGGGGTGGAGAGTTCTGTAGATGTCTATTAGGTCCACTTGGTGCAGAGCTGAGTTCAATTCCTGGATATCCTTGTTAACTTTCTGTCTCATTGATCTGTCTAATGTTGACAGTGGGGTGTTAAAGTCTCCCATTATTATTGTGTGGGAGTCTAAGTCTCTTTATAGGTCTCTAAGGACTTGCTTTATGAATCTGGGTCCTCCTGTATTGGGTGCATATATATTTAGGATAGTTAGCTCTTCTTGTTGAATTGATCCCTTTACCATTATGTAATGGTCTTCTTTGTCTCTTTTGATCTTTGTTGGTTTAAAGTCTGTTTTATCAGAGACTAAGATTGCAACACCTGCATTTTTTTGTTTTCCATTTGCTTGGTAGATCTTCCTCCATCCCTTTATTTTGAGCCTATATGTGTCTCTGCATGTGAGATGGGTTTCCTGAATACAGCACACGGATGGCTCTTGACTCTTTATCCAATTTGCCAGTCTGTGTCTTTTAATTGGAGCATTTAGCCCATTTATTTTTAGGGTTAATATTGTTATGTGTGAATTTGATCCTGTCGTTATGATGTTAGCTGGTTATTTTGCTCATTAGTTGATGCAGTTTCTTCCTAATCTCAATGGTCTTTACAATTTGGCATGTTTTTGCAGTGGCTGGTACCGGTTTTTCCTTTCCATGTTTAGTGCTTCCTTCAGGAGCTCTTTTAGGGCAGGCCTGGTGGTGACAAAATCTCTCAGCGTTTGCTTGTCTGTAAAGTATTTTATTTCTCCTTCACTTATGAAGCTTAGTTTGGCTGGATATGAAATTCTGGTTTGAAAATTCTTTTCTTTAAGAATGTTGAATATTGGCCCCCACTCTCTTCTGGCTTGTAGAGTTTCTGCTGAGAGATCAGCTGTTAGTCTGATGGGCTTCCCTTCGTTGGTAACCCGACCTTTCTCTCTAGCTGCCCTTAACATTTTTTCCTTCATTTCAACTTTGGTGAATCTGACAATTATGTGTCTTGGAGTTACTCTTCTCGAGGAGTATCTTTGTGCCATTCTCTGTATTTCCTGAATTTGAATGTTGGGCTGCCTTGCTAGATTGGGGAAGTTCTTCTGGATAATATCCTGTCGAATGTTTTCCAACTTGGTTCCATTCTCCCCGTCACGTTCGGATACACCAAATAGACATACATTTGCTCTTTTCACATAGTCCCATATTTCTTGGATGCTTTGTTGATTTCTTTTTATTCCTTTTTCTCTAAACTTCTCTTCTCACTTCATTTCTTTCATTGGATCTTCCATCACTGATACACTTTCTTCCAGTTGATCGAATCAGCTACTGAGGCTTGTGCATTTGTCATGTAGTTCTCGTGCCTTGGTTTTCAGCTCCATCAGGTCCTTTACAGACTTCTCTGCATTGGTTATTCTGACCTAAAATCATAAAAACCCTAGAAGAAAACCTAGGCAATACCATTCAGGACATAGGCATGGGCAAGGACTTCATGTTTAAAACATGATTTTAAAGAATATCAGAAATTTCCAGACGTTTTTATTTCTATCAATCCTGTTAGAGTGAATTTAGTCATTTCTATGATTTTTAACAGCCTACAATTTCAATCAACAATTTCGTTGCTTCTCCTGAAGAGAGTATAGTGGTATGTGATGTATTTTATGTCATAGAGCTTTTTTATACATGGGAAATAAGAGTGCAATTTGTGGTTTTATATTGTCAATGATCATTTTTCTCTCCTCCTCTTGTTTTAACCTCTCAGGAGCATTTGAAGATACTTTACTGTTCTGTCCTTGAATTATCTTCTCAGCTTTTATAGTATCAACTTGCTCCTATACCTCCCCAACAATTTTCCAAGATTCAATCAGAAAAAAATCCATAAATCCTATCTTCAAATCTTAACATTTGCATACTTGACCCTACATGATTAGATTTCTATTCACCTCATCTACTTTATCTTCTGCTTCACCTCCACAAATACTCTGCTACAACCATTTCTATTCTTTGAACTCCTTCATCTAATTTTAGAAGTCGGCTTTTTGAAATTTCTTTTTCCTGTGCCCCAAATACTCTCACTGCCTATTTTTCTATGGCTTACTGCTTATTAGGTAAGTTTCAGTCCATATATCCTGTTCTCAGTGAAAAGTTCTCTGGCTAGCCAATTTTGAGTACATATACCTAAATAGGGAATGAAAGATTTTCAAGCCAAAATTCATAAAAGAACGACATCACAGGCCAACCTTTGATGAATGGGGGAGTTTAGCCACCCATTCTCAGATCAGGCAGCTGGGTTCTAAAATAAGATTTCAGTATTTATGTTAATCTCTTTAGAGATACCCCTGCTTTATTTTAACCTTATTAAAATGTTGATTATTTTGCCTAAAACTAATCTGTACCCTAAATCCTATAATAACTAAATCTTTTCATTTGTTTGTTGAGACACCCCATTGTTCCTCTGGTCTCCCTCTTTGCAATTAGTTAAAAAACAAAAACAAAAACCAAGACAACCCTGAATTTGTTGGATGACAAGCTTCTGTCTAAAGTCATAGATTGATTGGGCTGGGAGAGTGTCATTGATATCTAACCTACTCCATTCAGGATTCTACTCATGCTGAATTTTTTTTTGAAAGCTAAACATTGCCTTGGGTACTTTAATCATGTACTTCTAGCTCTTGGAAGAAGGGTATCATTTTTGCAGAAATAACACCTCATTAAGAAAATTCTGCATTAAGAAATTATAATTTTCATTATACAAAAATTTATGATTTAAATTATAACTCGCACTGGCATCTTTAATTTGACAATTTTTTATTTAATTATTTTTAGTATAGTTGACAAGCAAAAATGATCCTAGTTTTCATAACATGTATTTACAATTTGTATATATTCTACCTGGCCAAGAGCATGTCAAATGTAAATAAGAAAACTTTAAGAATCTATCCCATATAAAAAAGTAACATAGAGCACATACAAAAATTTATGAATAATCATGTTTATGACAAGTTTATTGATACTGGCAAATCATCTCAAATAAATATTCAATAAGAATCTATAGGTTGGCTAAAATGATATATTTTGTAATATATTGTTTATGTGAAAATCTGTTAGGCAGTATTAAATAAAGTTAAATAAATATGTGAAGTTCATTTTGTACCAAAGGAAATTCTTGTCATGTAACATTAAGTAAAAATATACTAATCATTATACAACATAGAAATACATGAAAATATGATTAAATAATGAAATGTTTTCAATATTAACAATTATTTTTATGAGTGTAATTGTTGGTAATTATAATATTATTACATTATATTTTTAAATAACATATTGTTGAAATATTACATATATCAATTTAAAATCTAAAATAAATGGAATAAAGACAGAGTAAGTAATAGACTTATATTAGAATCAGAACAATTCCTGAAGTTAAAAAGAGAAGGGAAACACCCAGAGAAAATGTTTGGTGACTTGACTACATAAAATGTAGGTCCTCCTATATAACTAGAATTAAGGAACAGATAAAATAAGGAAATTCTTGTAAAAAAGATTACTTTTTGGACAATCTGTAAAATGTGAAATACAGTAGATGTTAAATATGAAAAAGTTACACTGGTAACTAAATTGTTGTAATTTGCAGCTAGTTAAAATATGTTTCAAGTATGATAAATACTTGTTAGAAATATGGGTAAAATAATAGGGTATAAATTATTGAAATAAAAATGTTTGATTTCCAAATGCATTTAAAAGTTCAAGTAAGAGATAAACAGAATGTACCATAAACACAAGAGTAAAAAAGGAAATTCTTTGTACATTTAAATATTTTCCAAATAGTCTACAATGAAAATTTCATACTTTTGCTTCTTAAAATGAAAAATTATTTTCTTGATTTAGTAACTATTATGTTAGTAATGATAGTAGATGCAATAGATACTAGGGAAACAACAAACATTCACACACACAAATGCTCATACACATGAAAAACATATAACAGTATACATTAAAATTTATCAACAATGGATATCTAAGAACATCAAGAATTGGTAACCTTTATAATCATTTTATTTCCATTATTCTGTATTGGCTATTCTTAAAGAGTCACCATGATTTATTCAAGTAAATAAATTTTTTCTTATTTTATTATACAAAGTTTCAAATATACAGAAAATTAAAAAAAATTATGATGACCAATTATATAGTCAACCACCAAGATTCTTTCATTAAATTTTAACTCTACTTGCTTTATCATATGATCGTTCCTTGATGTCTGATGAGGTTACGTCCCAATAAAGTAATCATAAGTTGAAGATATTTAAAGTAAAAATGTATTTAATATACATAATCTATGTCATATTAAATCCAAGCAAGATTACCCCAATATGAATTATAATCACACTGTCAAAGTTCAAAAATAAAGATTCTGAAAGTGGCAGGGGAAGGAAACAAATAACTGATGAAAGAAATTGAAGAGGATACCCAAAAAAATGGAAAGATATTCCACGTTCATGGATTGGAAGAGCCAATATTGTTAAAATGTCCATACTACCCGAAGCAACCTACAGATTCAATGCAATCACTATCAAAATATCAATGGCATTCTTCACACAAATAAAAAAAATCCTAAAATGTATACGGAACCACAAAAGACCCAGAATAGCCAAAGCCATCCTAAGCAAAATGAACGAAACTGGGAGAGCCACATTACCTGACTTCAAATCATACTACAGAGCTATAGTAACCCAAACAGCATGGTATTGTCATGAAAACAGACACATAGACCAATGGAACAGAATGAAGAACACAGAAACAAATCCACACACCTACAGTAAACTCATTTTTGACAAAGGTGCCAGGAACATACACTGGGGAAAAGGCAGTCTCTTTAACAGATGGTGCTAGGGAAACTAGATATCCACATGCAAAAAAAAAGAAAGAAAAAAGAAACTAGGCTGTATCACTGAATCTCTCACCATATACAAAAATCAAATCAAAATGGACTAAAGCGTTAAGTCTAATACTTCAAGCTAAGAAAGTACTACAAGAAAACATTGGGGAAACTCTCCCAGGCAATGGTCTGGGCAAAAATTTCTTGAGCAATACCCCATAAGCACAGGCAACCACAGCCAAAATGGACAAATAGGATCACATCAAGTTAAAAAACTTCTGCACAGCAAAAGAAACATTCAACTAAGTGAAGAGACAACCCACAGAATGGTAGCAAATATTTACAAAGTACCTATCTGAAAAGGGGTTCATAGCCAGAGTATACAAGGAGTTCAGACAATGCTATAGGAAAAAAGTCTAAAAATCCGATTAAAAATTAGGCAAAAGATTTGAATAGACATTTCTCAAAAGAAGACATACAAATGGCAAATGGGCTTATGAAAAGGTGCCTCCTATGAAAGCAATAGCGTTGCTCATCTGAGAAATGCAAATTAAAACTACAATGAGATACCACCTCACCCCAGTTAAAATGGCTTTTATCCAAGAGACAGGCAATAACAAATGCTGGTGAGGATGTGAAGAGAAGCAATCTCTTGTACACTGTTGGTGGGAATGCAAACTAGTATAACCACTGTGGAGAACAGTTTGGAGGTTCCTCAAAATACTGAAAAGAGAGCTACCATGGGATCCAGCAATCCTACTGCTGGGTATACACCCAAAAGAAAGGAAACCAGCATATGGAAGAGATATCTGCACTCCTATGTTTATTGCAGCACTATTCACAATAGCCAAGATTTGGAAGCAACCTAAGTGTCCATCAACAGATGAATGAATAAAGAAAATCTGGTAATGTACACAATGGATTACTATTATTCTAATATTCAGTAGTAATATTCAGCCATGCAAAGAATGAGATCCTGTTGTTTGTGACAACATGAATATAACTGGAGATCACTATGTTAACTGAAATAAAGCTTGCAAAGAAAGACAAACATTGCATGTTCTCATTTATGCTGGATCTAAAAATCAAAACAACTGAGCTCATGGACATAGAGAGTAGAAGGATGGTTACCAGAGGCTGGGAAGTGTATTGGGGGTTGGGGAGAAGGTGGGGTTGGTTAATGGATACAAAAAGTAGAATGAATAAGACCTACTCTTTGATAGCACAAAAGGATGATTACAGTTGACAATAATTTGATTGTACATTTGAAACAACTAAAAGAGTAAAAGTGAATTGTTGGTAACAAAAAAAGATAAACGCTTGAGATGTATACCTCATTCTCCATGATGTGATTATTATGCATTACATGCCTGTATCAAAACATATAATGCACCCCATAAATATATACACCGATTATTTATCCACAAAAATTAAAAATAAAAACAAAAGAAGAAACAGCACCAATATACAACCTACCATTTTACCTCAAGAAAATAGAAAAGCAAGAGCAAACGCAAAATTAGTACTCCTTTTTTTACCTATAAAACTAGACTACTTTACATTGTTTAAAGACAAACAATAGAAGAGAGACATGAAAAGAAGAGTTGATTTGTTGAAAAGATAAACAAAATTGACAAACCGGTAATTAGACTAAGAAAAAAAGAGAAAACTCAAATAAATAAAATGAGAGATGAAAAAGGAGACGTTACAACTGATATCGCAGAAATCATAGAGGATCTGAAGTCTATTATGAACAATTATACACCAAATAATTGGAAAATCGAGAAGAAATAGATAAATTCCTGGAAACATAGGACCTACCAAAATTGCATTATGAATAAATGGAAACCTGAACAGACCAATAATGTGCAAGGAGATTGAATCAATAATAAAAGGAAGCCATCAAAAAAAGCTCAGTACCGCACAGCTTAATTTTGTCAAATATTTACAGAAGATTTACTACCAATTCTTCACAAAATATTCCAAAAAACTAAAGAGGAGGGAATTATTCCCAACTAATTCTACAAGGTCGGCTGTACCCAGGCACCAAAACCAGACAAGGTCCCCAAAAAAAAGAAGAAAAACTACAGACCAATATCCCTGAGGAACATAGATACAGTCATCCTCAATAAAATGCTATCAAACTGATTTCAACAGTCTGTGGAAAAGATTGTTCACCATGATCAAGTGAGATACATCCTAGGAATGCAAGGATGGTTCAAAATATGAATATCAATAAATGTGATACATTAAATTAACAGAATGAAGGAAAAATATAATCATTTTAATAGATGCTGAAAAAGTGTTTGACAAAATTCAACACTCTTCATGATAAAAACTCTGAACAAAGTAGGTGTAGAAGGAATGCATCTCAACACAATAAAGGTCATATATGACAAACCCTCAGCTAACATTATACTCAGTGGGGAAAAGTTGAAAGCTTTTTCACTGAAATCGGCAACAAGACAAGGATGCCTAATTTCACTACTTGTATTCAACATAGTATGGAAGTCCTAGCCAGAGCAATTAGGCAAGAGAAAGAAATAGAAGGCATCCACACTGGAAAGGAAGGAGTTAATTTTTCCCTGTTTGCGAATAACATTATCTTATACGTAGAAAACTCTAAAGGCTCCACCAATAACTATTAGAACTAATATGCAAATTCAGTAAAGTTGAAGGATAAAAAATCAACAAAAAATATTAGTAGTCTTTTTATATGTTAATAGCAAACTATCTGAAAAAGAAATCAAGAAAACTATCCCATTTACAATAGCTGCAAAAATAAAATAAAATACCCAGACATAAATTTAACCAAGAAGGTGAAATATCTCTATGATGACAAAAAAACTGATTAAAGAAATTGAAGAAGACACAAAGAAATGAATATTACATATGAATAAATTGGAAAAATAAATATTGCTAAAACATTCATACTACTCAAAACTATATACAGATTCAATGCAATCACTATCAAAATACTAATGACACTTTTTTACAGAAATAGGAAAAACAATCCTAAAAGACCTATAAAACCACACAAACCCCCAAATAACCAAAGTAATTTTCACCACAAAGAACAAAGTTGAAGGCATCATATTACGGGGCTGCCAAATATGCAATAAAGCTATAGTAACCAAAACATCATGGCACTAGCATAAAAACAGATACATTGACCAATGAAACAGAAATAGAGAGCCTAGAAATAATTCCAAGCACTTAGAGACAATAGATTTTCGATCAAGTAAGTCACCAAGAACACATATTGGGAAAAGGAGTCTCTTCAGTAAGTAGGATAGGAAGAAGTAGATAGTCACATGCACAATGAAATTAGACCCTTATCTCACCTTATGTATAAAAAAGGTCAAAGAAGATTAAAGACCTAAACATAAGACCAGAAACCATGAAACTACTAGAAGAAAATATAGGGGAAAGGCTTCAGAGATTGGTGTGGGTAAGGATTTTTTTTTGGATATGACCTCAAAATCAAAGATGACAAAAAGCAAAATAGACAAATGAGATTACATTCAAAGAAAAAGATTCTGCACAGCAGAGAAAACAATCCACAAAGTGCAAACACAACCTGTAAAGTGGGAGAAAATCTTTGCAGTCTATACAACTGATATGGCATTAATATCTAAAATTTATAGGGAATCCAAACAACTTAATGACAAGAAAACAAACAACACTATTTTAAAAAGGGCAAAACACCTGAGTAAACATTTCTCAAAAGAAGACATACAAATGGCCAATAGGTCAATAGGTGTATTAAAAAATGTTAAACATCACTGATGATCAGGGAAATATAAATCAAAACCACAATGAGATATCACTTTGCACCTATCTTAAGGGCTATTATCAAAAAGACAAAAGAACAAATAGTAAGGATGTGGAGAAAAATGAACTCTTACACACTGTTGGTGGGAATGTTAATTAGTACAGACATTATGGAAAACACTCTGTAGGGTCCTTAAAATATTAAAAATAGAATTATCATATGATTCAGTAACACCACTACTGAGTATATATCCAAAGGAAATAAAATCAGTATATCAAAGAGATATCTGTGCTTCCAGGTTTATTGCAGCACTATTCACAAAGGCCAAGATATGGAATCACCCTAAGTGTCCCATCGACAGACAAAAATGGATAAAGAAAATGTGGTATGTATACACAATGGAATACTATTCAGCCAACAAAAAGAACACAATCCTGTTAGTTGCAACATGTTTGAACCTGGAGAACATTAAGTTAAATAGATAAGGCATAAAATGACAAATGTTGGATGATCTCACTCATATGTGAGTGAG
This sequence comes from Homo sapiens, assembly GCF_000001405.40. NCBI lineage: Eukaryota > Metazoa > Chordata > Mammalia > Primates > Hominidae > Homo > Homo sapiens. Next base: position 4,255,857 of record NC_000011.10, on the reverse strand, counting down.
AAAAAACTTGATCTCACAGAAGTAGGGAGTAGAATGTTGGTTACCAGAGGTGTGGATGGTTAAGGGAGAGGTAGGGATAGGGAGATGGTGGTCAAAGGATATGTAATTACAGTTATATAGGAGAAATGTATATAATATATTAAACATGTGTCCAGAATAGGCAATTATATAGAGTTAGAAAGTAGATAAGTAATTGCCTGGGGCTAGGGGAAGAGGGGAAGAGAATAGGTGGGAGTGGGGAGGAAGAGGAAGAATGACTGCTAATGGTTATGAAGTTTTTTATGTGATGAAAATGTTCTAAAATTGATTGTGGTGATGGTTGTGTAACTCTGTGAACATACTAAGACCATCGGATTATAGACTTTATTGATTTTTGTTATTTCTATTTTGTATTACATTTCAATAGTTTTTGGGGAACAGATGGTTTTTGGTTACATAGATAAGTTCTGCAGTGGTGATTTCTGAGATTTTGGGGCACTGGTTACCAGAGCTGCGTATACTATACCCAATGTGTAGTCTTTTATCCCTCACCTCCTCCCACCCTTCCTCCCACATCCCCAAAGTCCATTATATAATTTTCATACCTTTGCATCCTCCTAGCTTAGCTCCCACTTGTAAGTGAGAACATACAATATTTGATTTTCCACTCTTGAGTTACTTCACTTAGAACAATGGTCTCCAACTCCATCCAGGTTGCTGCAAATGCCATTATTTCATTTCTTTTTATAGCTGAGTAGTATTCCATGGTGTATATACTACATTTTCTTTTTCCACTTGTTGGTTGATGGGCATTTAGGCTGGATGATACACTTTAAATGGATGAATTGTATGATATGTAAATTATATCTTTAAAGCTGTTTAAAAGAAAAGAAAAGCCCAGGACTTGATGGTTTCACTCATGAATTCTACAAAACACTTAAAGAAGAAAGAAAACCAGTCCTTCTCAAACACTTTCAAAAAACTGAAGAGGGCAAAATTCCAAACTCATTTCATGAGGCTAGGACTATCTGATGCGAAAGACAGACAAGGACCATACAATAAAAGAAAATAACTCTGAGAGCAGTGGCTCACACCTATAATCCTGATACATTGAGAGGCTGAGGCAGGAGGACCACTTGAGCCCCGAAGTTTGAGACCAACCTAGGCAACATAGCGAGACCATGTTTCTACAAAAAATAGAAAAAGATAGCTAGACAAGGTGGTGCATGCCTGTAATCCCAGCTACTTGGGAGGCTGAGGTAAGAGGATTGCTGGAGCCCAGGAGTTGAGGCTGAAGTGAGCCATGATCACACCACTGCATTCCAGCCTGGGCAGCAGAGTGAGATACTGTCTCAAAAAAATTACACGCAAACATCCTCAACAAATATAAACATAGATGCAAAAATCCTCAACAATACTAGTAAACTGAATTCAACAGCATATAAAAATGATCATTCATCAAGATCAAGTGAGATTTATCCATAGGGTAAAGATGGTTCCACATACACGTGATATACCATATTAACAGAATGACGAACAGAAATCATATGGTCATCTCAATAGATGGAGAAAGTATTTAACAAAATTCAACATTTTTTTCCATGAAAAATGTTCTCAACAAATTACATATAGAAGGAATGCACCTCAACACAATAAAGGCCATATAAGACATACCCTCAGCTAACATCATACTCAGTGAGGAAAAGTTTAAAGCTTTTCCTCAAAGGTCAGGAACATAATAAAAATGCGCACTCTGACCACTTCTAGTCAGCATAGTACTGGAAGTCCTAGCCAGGGCAATTCAGCAGGAGAAAGAAATAAAAGGTTTCTAGATCGAAAAGGAAGCAGTTAAATTGTCCCTGGTTTGCAGATGACATGATTGTATATGAAGAAAACTTTATAGACTCCACCAAAAAACTGTTAGCACTGATAAAAATTCAGTAAATTAGCAAGATATAAAATTAACACATAAAATTAGTAGCTTTTCTATACACTAACAAGAAACTATCTAAAAAAGAAATCAAGAACACAATTTCATTTATGATAGCATTAATAAGAATAAGTTACTTAGGAATATATTTAGCCAAGGAAGTGAAAAACCTGTACACTGAAAACTAGAAAACACTGATGAAGGAAACTGAAGAAGACACAAATAAATGGGAAGATAGCCTCTGTTCATGGATTGGAAGAATTAATATTGTTAAAACATCCACACTACCCAAAGCAATCTACAGATTCAGTGTAGTCCCTATCAAAATACCAATGACATTCTCCACAGAGGTAGAAAACACAACCTTAAAATTATTATGGAACCATATAAGACCTTGAATAGCCAAAGCACTCTCAAGTAAAACATGAAAAATAAAATACAAAAACCAAAACTGGACGTATAATAATACCTGACTTCAAAATATACTACAAAATATATTATAAAGCTATAGTAATTAAAACAGCAAGGTACTAACATTAACAAAAGGACACAAAGACCAATGGAGCAGACTAAAGAACCTAGGTATAATTCCACACATTTACTGTCAATTGACTTTTGCCAAAGGTGGCAAGAACAGACAAGGGGGACAATCAGTCTCTTTAATAAATGGTATTGGGATAACTCAATATCCACAAACAAAAGAATAAAATTAGATCCTTATCTCACTCTACATACAAAAATTACGTCAAAATGGATTAAACGCTTAACTGTAAGACTAGAAACTCTAAAACAGCTAGTAGAAAACGGGGGAAAAGCTTCATGACATTGGTCTGGACAACAATTTTTTGAATAAGAATCCAAAATCATAGGCAACAATAATGAAAATTGGCAGAATTATTTAAAACTAGAAAAACTTCTGCATAGGCAGGAAATAACAGAAGAAAAAGGCAATCTATGGAATGGGAGAAAATATTTGCAAACCTTTATCTGATAAGGGGTTAATAGCCAAAATAGATAAATAATTCCAACAACCCAATAGTAGGGAATAAACTTCTTAAAAAATGGGCAAAGTACCTAAATAGGCAATTCTCAAATAAGACATACAAATGGCCCATAGGTAAATGAAGAAAAGAAAAAGGTCAACAAAATTAATCATCAGGGAAATGCAAATTAAAACCACAATGAGATATCACCTCATACATGTTAGAATGACTATTAACGAAAAGACAAAAAATAAAAAGTGTTGGAGAGAATGGGGAGAAGGGGAACCCTTGCACATTGTTGGTGGGAATGTTAGATAGTATAACTATTATGGAAAACAGTATGGACAGTCATAAAAAAATTAAAAATAGAACTATCTATGATCCAGCAATCTCACTACTGTGTATATATCCAAATATATGAAATCAGTATGTTGAAGACTCTAACTTCTAGTTCAAGTCCAAGGAACCCCTCTCATCACTCCATTTGCAGAGGAAAAACAATTCAAATATGAGCTGTCCAAGGATGCACAGCAATCGGCTTGTAGTTATAGGGGTAGGGCTTATTGAAAGAGGCTAAGCAAAAATATACTGAGAATAAATGCTGTTTTTTTTTTCCTTTGTCCACTTTTGTATGGGGTAATCATTTCTTTCTTTTTAGAATGGTAAGCTCTAGAGGATAAATATTTGGATGAAGGCCATAGGAAAAGGGGCCACAGAGGCCTGTTTAATAGAGACTTCAGGTCTGAGATACAAATGAGTCCTCCCAGCTCACAGTTGGTAGCTCAGTTCATGACATTACCTAGAGTTTGCACCAACATTCAGCTAGTATTAAAAACTTTGCTCACAACTATTGCAAGGACAGAAAACCAAACACCACATGTTCTTACTCATAGGTGGGAATTGAAAAATGAGAACACTTAGACACAGGGTGGGGAACATCACACACTGGGGCCTGTCGTGGGGTGGGGGGATGGGGGAGGGATAGCATTAGGAGAAATACCCAGTGTAAATGATGAGTTAATGGGTGCAGTAAACAAACACGGCACAGGTATACATATGTAACAAACCTGCACGTTGTGCGCATGTGCCCTAGAACTTAATGTAAGAAAAAAAAATAATTCTGCTCAGGAGGAACATCTCTGTGTATCTTCTTGCTGAGCCTGTGGTGGTAATAGGTAACAGGCAGCTACTTGAGCTCCTGGAGTTCTTAGATGCGGGCATCTCTTTTTCAGAAGATGCAACCAATATTTTCTAACAGGACCTGGAGAATCATTTTATTTTAAAATCCCTCATAGTTCCAATGTTTAGATCACCTGTGGTTCTGTCGCTATTTTTTTCCACTTTTTTTTTTTTTACTTATTTGGTAGTTTCTTGGCATGCTTGGTGTGTGAGTGTGAATGGATAGTGATTTTATATGAAAAAACTAGAGACTCTGTTCTCTGAAACTGTTACGTTTCTCTAGAAAGAATTCAGGCAGATAAGGGTACTGGCAGATCTTGATCCATCTGAGAGGACGCTTAACTTTTGCTAGTGCTAGCGTTGATCTTTTTCTGGGTTGTCCTTACTCCTAGAGTACAGCCCTTCTAGTGTTTCAAAGCTTCCTAGTGTTTCAGTGTTTATTTACAAGGGTTGCTCTACCTCCTCAGGCCCTGACCTCCAGCCTCTGACTCCCCAGCACCATCAGACTGCTAGTCTTTGCATAACTGTTTAGCTTCACAGCTGCTGCTTTCCATTCAGGTGCTGAGAATCTTGCCCTGAACATGCACAGCTAAGGAATTGGCAAACTCCTCAAGGGGAATCAGCACGCTGAATTTTGGCCCAATTTTCTCTAAGGCTGCCTCTTCTATCTCAGATCTCAGACTCCATGGTATCCCTGAACTGCAACTTCTTTATTCCTAGCCTGCTGAGTTTCACTCGCGTCCATGTGAAGAGACCACCAAACAGGCTTTGCGTGAGCAACAAGGCTGGTTATTTCACCTGGGTGCAGGCAGGCTGAGTCCGAAAAGAGTGTCAGCAAAGGGAGATAGGGGTCTGGCCGTTTTATAAGATTTGGGTAGGTAAAGGAAAAAGGGGGTTCTTCTCTGGTGGGCAGGAGTGGGGGGTCACAAGTTGCTCAGTGGGGGAGTTTTTGAGCCAGGATGAGCCAGGAGAAGGAATTTCACAAAGTAATGTCATCAGTTAAGGCAAGGACAGGCCATTTTCTTTTCTTTTGTGGTGGAATGTCATCAGTTAAGGCAGGAACAGGCCATTTAAATATCACTTCTTTTGTGATTCTTCAGTTGCTTCAGGCCCTCTGGATGTATTCATGCAGGTCACAGGGGATATGATGGCTTAGCTTGGGCTCAGAGGCCTGACACTGAGAATGCTACAAGCTCCCACTACCTTTCAACTTGGTCTTTGTTGCACATGCCAGGACTAAGCAAATGCTCTGAGGACAAAAGCAGAGGCAAATGTGGGGCTTGCATAGCTGCACTAGTGTACATTCTTTCCAGCAATCTTCCCTTCAAGTCCCACTTGGATTGTTTTTTTCTTTAACAACTTTGGTTGCTTTAAGTATTTTACCTAGCTTCTATGCTTACTATTGATTGGAAGGTTAGTACAAGCTCCTCCATTGTGCTCAGATGTTGGATGTAGCTTCTGCTTATCCACAAGTGTCCCAAAGCCCCAAGGGACTGGTTTAGGATTTATCCTCTGTCACCTGGATGATCACACCAGACTTCTAACTGGTCTCTGCTTATAGGCTTACCCTTTCCAATCCATGCTAACTCAGGAAAATGATACATCTGTTGTATTTTTCCAAAATTTCTTATAGTATACATTTCTCAGATAATAAACTATGGCTTCTGGTTTCCCCTCTCTACCTACAGTGCTGCAGACTTGGTTCAAAAATTAGGAACTGGCAAGCCATGCTTTGGGAGGCCCAAGTGGGAGGATTGCCTGAGGTTAGGAGCTCGAGACCTGCCTGGCCAACACAGTGAGACCCCATCTCTAGAAAAAAAAATGAGCTTGGCACGGTGGTGCACTCATATAGTTCTAGCTACTTAGGAGGCTGAAGATCACTGGATTCCAGGAGTTCAAGGCTGCAGTGAGCTTTGATTGTGCCACTGTACTCCAGCATAGGTGACAGAGCAAGACCTTGTCTCTAAAAAACAAACAAAACACAATTAAGTACTGAATTCCTAAAGTATCCAGGTACTGTATGAGCAGTGAGCCAAGATGAATATGCACAGTTCTGGTCATTGAGTCTAGTATAATGAGGATGATAGAACTATGAAAGATAACGTCAAAGTTGTAATTTTTATGACGTAATCATGCCCCTGACACTACAGGAGCCTAGATAATGGCATGGGCCTAGTTAGTACAATCCCCTTGCTGGGCTAGAGTCAGCAATGAGCTGTAATAGGGAGTCATTGTCTGTCAATACTGACACAAGGAAATTTACCAAGCATTTACTATGTTCTAGGAACTTTTCTGGCTGATCTGGAAGGGCAGATAAAGAAGTCTACCATTTGCCCTCAAGGGGTTTGCAGCCTATTAGGAGACAACCCTGCCAAACAGTAATATACCAGGTTGTTTGAAACACATCAACAACAAAACAACACCACCAAACAAAACAGAAACAGGAGCAAATCTATTTTTTTAAAGAGTTGAGAAGAATAGCACAAATACATAAAATGAAAAATAAGAACAATCTTGAAAATAGAAAATAAATTTTATTAATAATTATTATAAATAAGACTTCACAAAACAAGGTGTACAAATGGACCATAAACACATGAGATGATGCTCAGCATCTTTAGTCATCAGGGAAATGCAAACTAAAATCCCAAAATTCCACTCAGAAACACTAAATGGCTAAAATAGAAAAGGTGAGAAAGAATGAATGTTGGTGAAGTTGTGGAACAATGGGGACGCTGATGCTGGGAATGTAAACTGATTCAACCACTTTGGAAAAAAATATTTGGCAATTCTTAGGAAGTTCAACATATATTTATCCTATAGCCCAGACATTTCAGTCTTAGGTACTCACCCAAGAGAAATTGGTTGCTTGAGGGCCTGAAGGGAGAACTGGTAGGGGGTGCTTTATGAGTGTTGTCAGTTAGGCCCTGGGCTTGCGATCCGAGGAGGGAAGAGGAGAGAGGCTGATTTTGGTATCCTGAGATTCTTCATGGACCCAAGAAGCCAAAGGGAAACCCTGAAGTGGGTTGAAGGGGACCAGGAAACTCAAAGGCTTTCTTTAGGTGCATCTGAAGAGATCTGCTGCTTGCTTTGTTCTTTACTACCAGACTTGGGCCAACAGAGACCCCTGTGTCTTCTAGCATCTCTGGGACTGCTCCTGTTAGGGGAAGAAGGTATCTGAGTTGCCTAAGGTGAATCCGTACGGGTCTGCAGCAACCTCAGTTCTTACCTCTTCAGAGCAGCAAGAATTCGACTAAGAGGCATAAGGCAAAAAAAGACCGAGGCAAGTCTCAGAGCAGGAGTGGAAGCTTATTAAACAGCTTTAGAGCAGAAAGTAAAGTACACTTGGAAGAGACTCCAGTGGGTGACTTGAAGGACAAGTGCCCTGCTTAACCTTGATCCTGGGACTTTATATTGTGGCCCATTTTTGGCATATTGCACCCCTTTCCCATGATTCTTCCCTTAGGGTAGGCTGCCCACCTGCTAACACCCTCCTTATGCTTGGGAAGTGAGCATGCGCAGTGTGTTTAGGAAATTGTACTCATGTCCATCTGAGGCTTTCTTCCCTTTTCTGGTGGAATGCCTCCGGAAGGTCATACTCTGCCATTTTCTCTTAAGGCACATGCCTGGATTCACTTGCCCAAATCCTGAGATTTTATTGGAAGCTGATACCCAATCTCAAGTGTTTTCATCTGTTTGGGAAGTTGCCTCTCCCTGGTGCCTGAGTTCAATGAACACTTTAGTGTGGCAGCTATGGACCATCAGGAGATTGTCTTTCTTCACTGCTGCCAAGTTCTCATTTTTAGAGAGGCAGTGTGGTAACTGCCCAACCATCACTTGCTGGTCACCTGACCTTCCTGGTGGGTTGGGGGTAGAGCCCTCTCCTGCCTGGTTCATCTCTGTCTAACTACCTGTAACACTCCCATTTGGAGTCCAGGAGCAACTTAAGCGTCAGTGATAAAGATTCTGTGTTAGCAGGCCCAGCAGTCAGCAATGATCAGTCAGAAGAAACTGAACACTTACCAGTGACATGCAGAGGGGAGGGGAGAAAGATGACAACTTGGACAAAAAGTAAATTCTATTAAAAAAAATGTGAGGGGCCAACACTTTCTGAGACCAAAACACGATTTCTCTTATCAACAATTTAGTGAGTGAATTGAGATCCAAATTTGATTTGACTAATACTTCAAAACAAAAAGCAGAAATATAAGAAACCACGAGGAAAAAGAAGGGACGTGGCAGATAAATCAAGAATAACAAAATGTAAATTACTAGAATTTCACAAGGAGTAAAAGGTATTCGTGGAAGTAAGACAATAATTAAAGAATAGTAGATTATTTCTTGAATGTAATAAAGGCTCACTGTTTCAGGTTAAACCATGCTTTCTCAACAGGAGTGACAATGTCCATAATGGGGCAGAAACTGGTTCTCGGGGGAGTGAACAGAAATCTCACTCCCTTTATGTACAGAGCACAGATGCCGTACATAAACAAATACACACTATATCTATGCTATTAAAATTTTATGGGGAAGTGATTAGGGAAAAATGTCTAAGAAGGCTCCTTAAGTGGGGGTTGATTAAAACAATGGGGAAATACTGGACTAGAGTGATGAGAAAAAAGAAACACTGAGGCATCTGTCAGTACAAATGTTGAACTCTAAAGAGAAAGAGAAAAATCTGACAAACATACAGTTAAAAAGAACATATTATCTACAGAAGGAGAAGGATGCTGGAATTAGACTTTATATCTCCAACGCTGGAACGGACAGTGGCATAGCAGTTAAGGACTACTGAGAGAAAGGACTACAGCCCAACAATCCTGTACCCAGCTGAGATGTGGCCCCTCTGTTAGGTTGAAGGAAAGATACACAGTAATTCAGACAGTTTATCTCCTGTGTCCCCCAACAGAGAAACCTATTTGAGAGAAGACTTTCCAAACATTGTCACTGATGTGAACCTGAACAACAATTGGTGGGAATGTGAAGAAAAGAAAGGAAATGGAGGCATGTACTGAGGCTGGGACTAAATATTTCAATAATTTCTTATGTGCATAACAGAAAAAGAAGTTTAGACTTCAGGTAAAGTTCATTCTCAGTTGTAAATAAGGACTCAGAAATTGAAGGAACTATCTGTGAGATACATTTGACTAAGGCTATTGAACTAAAATTAACAAAATATCCTGGCAAAACCTGGAAGTTAGGAATAGGGGATCAGTCAAAAGTGAAAAAGAATTAAGAGCATTGCAAAACTCTTGTTTTCAAATAAGTACTAGAGAAACGTGTTCTAATCAGGAAGGCAGAGAAAGCGCAGGTAACCATTTAATGGGGTGGGTAATCCAAGTAGAATTTCAAGTTAGGTACAAAATGGAGTATATAACAACTTGACAAAAACCAAGGGCAGAAATAACAATATAAAATAAAGAAGATGTGAGGAATGTACAGTAAAAAAGTCATTACACCAAATGTGTATAGACTAAATTCTAGCATTAAATAAATTTTGAAATGTGGGTGGGTGAAGGGATCACAGGAATAAGAAATAAAATCAGGATGAACATAATCCATGCCCAGAGATTTTGATTCATTTGATCTGGGGTAGGTCCCAGACATTGGCATCTTATAAAAGTTTGGTAGAAAGGTCTTGAAATATCCAGCCACAGTTAACAATCACTGAACTGGAAAATCACTCTTAGCAGATTCCAGAACTGGAACTGTTATTGATGCCTGTGTTTCGAGGTGCCTAGAAGCCAGAATACCTTTGCCATGTTCTCCCTCAGAATCTTGAGATTTATTCATTTCTCTTCAGGTCCTGTATAACTTGTGATATCGCAATAGCAGCGGAAACATTTTTCTCTGTCTCATCACGTTGTTTTTCTAATACACTTCTCCAGGTTTTGTCTTGTGTGTGTTCCCCTATACTTGGACTTATGTAATCAAGAAGTCTGGTGCTTTGAAAAGCAATTAGTGTTTAAATAAATTATGTCTACTTTTATGTCTCTGAGTTGGTACTCTACCATCAGCTCAACATCTAATCCAATTAACCACATACTGTTTCCCTGGATTTTTTTGTTTGTCTCACTTTGTGCCTTCACTTGGAGGCAGAACATAGTAAATGCCCTTGTCATTTCCCCTGAGGACATAGGCAGTACCCGTAGTACTACCTCTAAGAAGTGTTTCAAGTAGAAATTCACTTATATGATACATTTAGTATTTCATACTGATCCTCCCGGTATTATCCTTTTATTTCTGTTGAAATTATATGCAACCACTTTGTGTATCAGTCTTCAAGGTTTGGTTTAACACTGTTTCTCAATTCTTTCAAAACACACAAAACATCTTCCTTTTCAGTAACACTTATAGCTGGTCTCTGAGATTTTTCTTCTTTTCATTTGTTAGATTTCTTTAGGTCTCAGTCATTGAGTCTGATAAGAAATTTCACAACATATTTAAGATCTGACTAGCTTTTCATTTATGTTGAATGTTTCCTCTCATTTGGTTTTTCAAGAAAATCCTGTTCATTCTCTATGCCCGAAGCAGTGCATTTAACAATTCTTCAGATGCTTCTAATGTATAGTCAAGTTTCAAAAATCTCTAGGGAAGTTCTTCTAAAACTTTGGCTTTTGGAATTATTAGGAAGACTTTGAAAAACACAGATCTCTGGGCTTCACCACTCGAGTTTCTGATTCAGTGGTTTGAGGTCCAAATTTGCATTTTTTTTTAATAGCTCCCAATTGAGGCTAATGCTGAGCACACACTTTGAGAAACTTGAAGGTGTTTACTGATTTAAAAAATACAGTAAGCACTCACTAACTGTGGTCAATAGGTTCTTCAAAACAATGACTTCAAGCGAAATGATGTATAATAAAATCAATTTTATCATAGGTTAATTGATATGAACAAGAGTCACAAAAGCATCACCAAATTTCTAAATAAAGATTCAACACACTTTGAATATTAAACCTTGAAATAAATGTGAGTTATACACACATTTAAGAAAGCTTAATAAAACCAAGTAAGATTATTATTTACCCAATTTTTGGTGAATCAGTGAGTGACAGTGGCCGTAGTTGTGGTAAGTTAAATCAAGGAATAAATGTTTGCAAAGAAAAAATTATAAGGAGCTCTTCCTACTACTACACAGTTAAAAACCAACAATGACAGACACGGCAGGCTGATCTATTTTGTACTCTGATCATTATTGTCTTGCATTTGTATGATTACCACATATTTTATGAATTTTTATTTGTCAATAATTTGTATTCATTCATTCATTTTCCAATCCGCTGATTCCTCTTTGGAGTGGCAGGTGGCTGGAGCCTATCTCGGCAGCTCAAGGTGTGAGGAAGGAATCAACGCTGGACAGGACCCCATCTGGGATTCAGGGCACACCCTCACACTAGGACCATAGAGATGTCAGTTCACCTAATGTGCACATCTTTCGGATGTGGGAGGAAACAAGAGTATCCAGAGACAACCCACACAGACATAGGGAGAATACGTAAACTCCACACAGACAGTGGCCCCGCCAGAAGTCAAACTTTTTTCTCATTAATGTTACAATAAAATGATGTTAGGTGAGGCTGGGCACAGTGGCTCATGCCTGTAATCCCAGCACTTTGGGAGGCTGAAGCGGGTGGATCACTTGAGCCCCTGGGCTTTTGAGACCAGCCTGGGTAACATGGTAAAATTCCATCCTCTACAAAAAATACAGAAGTTATTCAGGCATGGTGGTACACACCTGTAGTCCAAGCTACTCAGGAGATCAATATGAGAGGAATGATTGAGCCCAGGAGTCTGAGGTTGCAGTGAGCCATGATGGCACCACTGCATTACAACCGGGGTGACAGAGTGAGACCCTTTGTCAAAATGAAAAAAGAAAAAAAAGGATGTTATTTGAGAACCTGCTGTATTTGCAATGTAAGAATCACCTTAAGAAGGACATACAAAAATACAATATATTGCTTTATAGATACATTTTGTCACTGCACCAGGGACAAAAGTGATGTCCCTGATCTGATTTACATTGATATAAATGTGAGCCATACATACATTTAAGAAAAATTAATAAAAACAAGCAAGGTTATTATTTACTCAATTTTTGGTGAATCAGTGAGTGACAGCAAACAGAGCTCACCTATAAATGAATCCCGACTGGGTGGGGCCCCCTTTGTGGAGAGTTGCAGCTTTAGGAATTTAATCATCTTGATGATTATTTCAATTAGTTAGGAGCCCATTATCATAATCTAATCAACCATAAGGTGATTGATTATAAAGTGACATGATTATCCTTATTGTTTGGAACCCCTTTCATAATTTTAAAATCTCTTCATTTTCTTAATAAATTTTACAAACTTTTAAAGAAAAATAATTCTAAACATTGTATTTCAGTACCGAAAACTAAGACACAACTGTACCTGAAGGCATATTAAAGTAGGCAGAGGCTTGCAGCAGTTGCTGCCTTCTCTGGAGAATCATTATGATTTCAGTAATATCAAAGGCAGAAAATGTTGTGTAGAATAACTCTTAAAATACCATAAGCAGATATGTTGTTGAGAATGGGTTTTTTTTGGATTGGTGAAAAATTTTGTGAATTTCTGGACAAAACTATGTACAATGGTCCTGTGATTTATGCAATTGCATTTCTCGAACACTATGAAAATTAAAACAAGCAACATCACTTGTAATTTATAATTAAATAGGGTGCAGCCTTGGACATTGTCAATATGTTTATCATCCAATTTAATGTCTGAAGGTCACTGGAGAGTCCTATGACATGCTTGCAGGTAGCTTAATTGTCTTGGCCATTGTCCATAGCAGCCCCCATTCACTAGGAGAACCACCAGAGCAAACTCCAGATTTTAAGTGAATCCAGACTGGGTGGTGCCACCTTTGCTGAGAGTTACTGCTTTAGGTAATTTAATCATCTGGATTGTTCTTGTGATGAGTTAGGAGACGATTATCACAACCTAATCAATCCAGAAGTCATGAAGTCTCCACCCACTAATTAAGGTGACTCAATATAAACCTGCCTCCTGTGCCTCCATATTAGCTCATTTGGAAGACCTGGGTATAGGTGGTCGTCTCCTCGGCTCCGAGACCCTGCAGCAGCTGAGGTGCCTGTGTCTCTCTGGTTCCCAGTGGCCGCCATCATGCTCTCCTCCACACTCAGGGTGGCTGTGGTGTGCGTGAGCAATGTCAACAGGAGCATGGAGGCCCACAGCATCCTCAGGAAAAAAGGGCTAAGTGTCCGGTCTTTTGGAACTGAATCTCATGTGAGGCTACCAGGACCAAGACCCAATCGTCCTGTAGTTTATGATTTTGCAACAACATATAAGGAGATGTACAATGACCTCCTCAGGAAAGATAGAGAATGCTACACCCGCAACGGAATCTTACACATCTTGGGAAGAAATGAGAGAATCAAGCCCGGTCCAGAAAGATTTCAGGAGTGCACTGATTTCTTTGATGTCATCTTCACCTGTGAGGAGAGTGTCTATGACACAGTGGTGGAAGATCTGTGTTCCAGAGAACAGCAGACCTTTCAGCCTGTGCACGTGATCAACATGGAAATCCAAGATACCCTGGAAGATGCCACCCTGGGAGCTTTCCTCATCTGTGAGATTTGCCAGTGCCTGCAGCAGTCAGACGACATGGAAGACAATCTGGAGGAGCTGCTCTTGCAAATGGAGGAGAAGGCAGGAAAAAGCTTTCTTCACACCGTCTGCTTCTACTGAACATCTGGGCTGGCTTTGTCCCCTTCCTCAGTAAGAACTTAGACATGGGACTTTAGTCCGGATTTATTGTGAGAAGCATCTACAAAGACCTTCCACTGAGTACTGTTTGTGTTACTTTTGTACACATCACCTGGAAAGAGACTATTACCAAGAAAATATTTTATGGGAAATGAGAAGGACTAACATTTTTAAAAGCACTGAAAAATGGTTGGCATTGTGCTAGGTGCATTACATGGGATAACTAATTTCATGCTTATATCATTCTACAAGGAAGCTAGCCCACCATGACGCCATTTTCCAGATGAGCAAACCGAGCTGATAATGGACTGCTTGAAAAATGATTTGTTTAAGGGTATTCAGCAGATAAATAACATTGTATAGATAAGCACCTTTTAAATAAACTTCCTTTTCTCAATTTGAGTGGTTTCTTTTTAATTTTTTAAGTAAGTTGAGACCAATGGAGTGTGGTATGTTAACTTAAATGTTGTTCTTCTTTAATAAGAGTACAATATTACATGTTTGAACAGATAACTGTTTTTACATATAAATTATATCTTTTTTACTAATGCTCACTTTAATGGGTAAAATCCAAGTTGGATAATGAACTACATATGATTGTAAAATTTGGAATTATCTGCTCAAATCATAGGTCATCAAATTAAATGAAATAAAAAATGTAAATAAAAAGTATATTCTTATTTCTGTTTGGAGGATGCATTTCAAGCCACTAAGCGACATGCTTTTATTTAAACCTTATGAATTACACTGAAAAAAAAAAACCCAAGTTGGATAACAAACCACAGATTATCATAAAATTTGGAATTATCTCCTCAAATAATAGGTCACCAAATAAAATCAAATAAAAAATTTTAAAAAAAAACTATATTCTTATTTATGTTGGGGGATGGATTTCACACCACTAAGCCACATGTTTTTATTTAAGGCTTACAGATTACAGTGAAATAAGCAATCTCTCATATTGAGAGATTCAAATTGTATTAAATTTAAAATGTTTATTGACTTGAGCATTGAGAACATCAGGTGATAAACCTAATGATGTTTTCATGGAGAAACAAGTGAAACACTTTCCATAATCCTTGGTAGTGGCACTAAAACATGTTCACTAATAGGAGAAAAAATAGATCAGAAGTAGTTGTTCAGAGTTGAATTAATTTACATGTTATCTACTGAATTAGACTTATTATGGCAACCTAAAATAACAGCAGAGATTAGCTTTCCAAAGATAATGAGTTTATTTAAACGAAGGATTGCAAACAGGAATGCACCAGGTATAACAAGTTGTAGGTGCATCCTGACAGGTTGGGGTAAGGGGAAACTTTTAAAGGCAAAAAGAAGTCCACAGAAACTACTTTAAAACAAAGTTTATTGGTCACAGAAGCTGACTGCAGGAGTTGGCGTTAGCTTCTTGGTAGAGACAGCCATTGCTAGGCATGTGTTCCTGCGAGAACATTTTATCTATAATGCTGCAGTCTTGAATATAATGCAGTTACAGAAATATGTGTGAACATGCAGAATGAGCAAAGTGTGTAAGACCTGCTTGTGGTGTAAAGCATGTAGGATGTGCCATGATCTCTTGTGGGTTTTAGGGAGTCGTGATAGCTCTTATCTCAGATATACAGGCATGGGCTCCCCTCCTTCATGACCCTCCAGCTCCACTTCACCTGGATCTGACGATACTGGACTTCATCTTGGTAGTAACAACTTTCACATTTTTGGTATCAGAAACTTTCAAAGTTGTAAGAAAATATTCTTTTTCCTCTTGCAGTGTGGGTAGCAGGAGGCAAGTGGAAGTGGGGAACCCACTGGTACAGTAGTTCACAGAGGAGAGGTTGGAAGCTTGGGGGAGGGAAGTGTCTGTCAAAAGGCAGAAGAATGGACACATTGCAGAGGGATGTTAGAGCTGACATGAGAGACTTCTTGATGAGAAAAGGAGGACTTTTGAATCACTCTCAGATTTCTGATTTTAAGGGTGGCTTGGTCCAAATATATAAGTGAAAGTTTTGGTGGTAGGGCAGTGAGGTGTTTCCTCACTGATAGTTTCTCTCTATTCTGTCAATGTGGCTTAAGATAAGGCCATCAGCTGGCAGTGGGCAGTCAGGATCATGATTGGGGATGGGGTGAGGATATTTGGCATAGATAATTGTTTTAAAATATGGGAATACAAACCTGAGTGTAGTTTTTTGTGAGAGCTCTTCTGAAGATAAAAGTGAGACTGTCCCATAGATACTAATTTTTCCAGTCAATCAATTTGGAAAAACATGACAAGGTGGTTGAGTTTCTCTTTTCTGTCTGTTTGGACATGGACAATGCAAATGTGACAGAAGAGCAAGGTGCAGAAAAGCTTCGGGAGTTTGAAAGGGTGTAATTATAGTGATAAACCATGAAACCTGGTTTTGGACCAGAAAGGGTAAATACATAGGGATTGGGCTGGAATCCATGGGTTGTGGCACAATGCATGGTCAAACAGCCCTTATAGTTTAAATAAAGAAGCAAAAGTGAATGGAAAGATGTGGTCTTATAGTTGGGGCATGACTGTTTCAGATTTTGATCTAGTGGTGAGGTTCTTGGTGACTCTGACCATGGGTATCTCTGGTGGGGAGTAGACAAGTGCAATTGGAGAAGAAGTGAGAGTCTTGAGGGTGCTGGGTGGATAATCTGTGTGGATGCTGGAATTCCTAAGAACTGTGGCAGTAGTTGGTTGTGAGGAAGCATGAGAAGTGAGAGCTTATATAATCACTAAAAATCCAGGGTGTGGGAAGTATGGGGCACGATGATATGTTGGGCAGATATGGTAAGAAGACTTTCTAGGTTGTTGAACACCTCTAGTATTGGTTTATTGGGTAGAGGGAGGGGAGCTCTGATTGGAAGTCGTAATGGTGACCTCGCGTATCTGACTATATACTATGTAGAGTGGGAAATAAAGACTTAGATTTACTGTAATGGAAATACAATGATTTCTTGAGGAAGTAGCCAGAGAAAGAGGCAAATGGGTGTTCACATGGTTATTGAAGATGAAAAATGACATTTGGATACAAATTTCAGGAAGATTTGAAGATGAATCTGAACTATAAAAGTGAGTTGTGCCAGAAAGAAGGATATTGTGATAAGGACCAGTCAAATGAACATTGCTTTAGGTGTGTCTGACAAATTTCTATTTCTTGATTACATGATGTATGCCTTATAATAATTTCTTAAGCAACTCCTTTATTTTTGTTTGGTTTTCTGTATTTGTGTATGTGTGTTTTTTCTTCCGTTTTAAAATTACCATAAGAAGACTAACAAAACACTCAAAAAATGAGGGAAATACTTTGTTTCATAAAAAAACTTAATATTATAAGTATGTTAATAGCTTTATTTGTAATTGTTTTATTTCCTCTCTTTTACTTCCTCTCCCTCCTCACTTCCCACATCCAATCTTCTCATTCTCCTTCTTCTTCTTTTTTTTTTTTTTTTTGTATTTATTGATCATTCTTGGGTGTTTCTCAGAGAGGGGGATTTGGCAGGGTCATAGGACAATAGTGGAGGGAAGGTCAGCAGATAAACATGTGAACAAGGGTCTCTGGTTTTCCTAGGCAGAGGACCCTGTGGCCTTCCACAGTGTTTGTGTCCCTGGGTACTTGAGATTAGGGAGTGGTGATGACTCTTAACGACCATGCTGACTTCAAGCATCTGTTTAACAAAGCACATCTTGCACCGCCCTTAATCCATTTAACCCTGAGTGGACACAGCACATGTTTCAGAGAGCACGGGGTTGGGGGTAAGGTTATAGATTAACATCATCCCAAGGGAGAAGAATTTTTCTTAGTACAGAACAAAATGGAGTTTCCTATGTCTACTTCTTTCTACACAGACACCGCAACAATCTGATTTGTCTTTCTTTTCCTCACATTTCCCCCCTTTCTATTCGACAAAACCGCCATCGTCATCATGGCCCATTCCCAATGAGCTGTTGAGCACACCTCCCAGACGTGGTGGTGGCCTGGCAGAGGGGCTCCTCACTTCCCAGACGGGGCAGCCGGGCAGAGGCGCCCCCAACTTCCCGGACAGGGAGGCTGCCGGGCGGGGGCTGCCCCCCACCTCCCTCCCAGGCAGGGCGGCTGCTGGGTGGAGGGGCTCCTTACTTCTCAGATGGGGCGGGGGGGCAGAGACACTCCTCAGTTCCCACACGAGGTCACGGCCTGGCAGAGGGGCTCCGCGTATCTCAGACGATGGGCGGCCGGGCAGAGACGCTCCTCACTTCCCAGACCGGATGGCTGCCAGGAAGAGGCGCTCCTCACTTCCCAGACTCGGCGGCCGGGCAGAGACACTCCTCAGTTTCCAGACGGGGTAGCGGCCGGGCAGAAGCGCTATTCACATCTCAGATTGGGCGGCTGTGCAGAGGGGCTCCTCACATCCCAGACGATGGGCGGCCAGGCAGAGACGCTCCTCACTTCCCAGACGGGGTGGTGGCCGGGCGGAGGCTGCAATCTCGGCACTTTGGGAGGCCAAGGCAGGCGGCTGGGAGGTGCAGGTTGTAGCGAGCCGAGATCACGCTACTGCACTCCAGCCTGGGCAACATTGAGCACTGAGTGAGCGAGACTCCATCCGCAATCCCGGCACCTTGGGAGGCCGAGGCGGGCAGATCACTCGCGGTCAGGAGCTGGAGACCAGCCCGGCCAACACGGCGAAACCCCTTCTCCACCAAAAAATACAAAAACCAGTCAGGCGTGGCGGCGCGAGCCTGCAATCCCAGGCACTCAGCAGGCTGAGGCAGGAGAATCAGGCAGGGAGTTTGCAGTGAGCCGAGATGGCGGCAGTACAGTCCAGCCTCAGCTTGGCAGCAGAGGGAGACCAGGGAGAGGGAGAGGGAGACCGTGGAGAGGGAGAGGGAGAGGGATAGGGAGAGGGAGAGGGAGAGGGAGAGCCTCCTTCTTCTTCTTCTTTTTTGAGACAGAGTCTCGCTCTGTTGCCCAGGCTGGAGTGCAGTGGTGCGATCTTGGCTCACTCACTGCAACATCCGCCTCCCATGTTCAAGCAATTCTCCTGCCTCAGCCTCCCAAGTAGCTGGGAGTACAGGTGCACAGCACCACACTTGGTTAATTTTTGTATTTTGGATTACTGGTGTGAGCCACAGCTCCCGGCGCCATATCCGATCTACCCCAAGGTCTGACCTGGATTGTGTAATCACCATGTGGCTTGTTTGTGGTTTTACACAAGTCTAATCCATGAAGCAGAGAATGTAATACTTCAAGCTCAGTCTGTTGGTTGAAGCGAGTCGTAAGGCAATGTCCCTGGATAGAAGGGGATGGGTAATAGACTGCACATCATTATGGAATGGCACGCGTGTTCAGCAGAGAGAATGGCTGGCAGCTATGTTAACAGATGTGCAACCACACCTGATAAACTATCAGATTGACAAATCTTCAAAAGCTTGACACTATACCCTGCTGGCAAGTTTGTGAGGGAAAAGGCATGTTTGCCCGTCGTAATGAAAATTGTTACAAGCTCTATGGAGGGCATCTTGAATATCTAATAAATTTAAAAACATGTTTACTCTGTCTTCCAAGTAGCCTTATAAGTAGCTAGGACTCAGGTGTGTGCCACCACACTTCGCTAATTTCTATTTTTTATTGTTTTGTAGAGATAGGGCTTCACTATGTTGCTCAGGCTGGTCTTGAACTCCTGGCCTCAAGGCGATTCTCCTGCCTCAGCCTCTCAAGGTGCTGGGATTATAGGCATGAGCTGCTGCTTCTGGCCTATACGTCTCTTTGACCACAGTAATCCTACTTCTAAAAATTAACCATAAGGTCTATCAGCAGAATTATCCAACTGAAGAAGTGAGAAAAAAAGAACAAAAAGAAAAGAAAGAGATCCTCAGGTACTGGAGGAACAATATCAAAAGGTCTAACAGATGTGTAGTTTGGGTCTCAAAATGAAATGAGAGAAAGAATGGGACTGATTTTTGTTTTTGAGGCAATAATTGTGAAATTATTCAAATTAGGGAAAAAGCTAAAATATTACAGATTGAAAAAGCTCACAGAACTTCAAGGAGGCTTAAAAACAAAGAAAGTTGTATGTAGATGCCTCACAATCAAACTGAAAATTAAGACAAAGGGAAAAAATTTAAATGTAGCTGAAGGAGGCAGGACAGAAAACACTGGTACCTTAGTAGCATCAAGCACACTTGAGTTTGATTACTCTCATCGTCCTCCAGTAATACAAACAGGATTATTTGGAGAAATTGTTGATTCTGAGGCTGGAAATATATAAGATGAACCTGGGGCATCTCATAATGCCAGAGTGTTTCCTTTTCCACGAAAAATGAAGTAAAACCAAACAAACACCACGATGGGGCACATGAAAGGGCCCAGGAGGCAACTGAAAGTGCTTGCGATGGCCAAAACAGAAAGTTTGAGCAACAAAACAAAGCAGGATCGAATTGTAATCCCACATAGAAAAATAAATGTCCAAGATTCCATACTGCTATGAAGAAATAATTGAATAAATTCATTAATGAGGGGGAGAATAGACACATCTGTGAGGAGTAAGTCCATATAATTTACATGGATAATCCACCCACAAGGAAGTAGGGCACAAGTCCCCACTCCTTAAATGTGGGCTGCACATAGGGACTTTTTCTAAACAGTCCAGCATGGAAAATGGGAAAAAGGATAAATTCACAGTGGAGAAGGCTGATGAAGTGGAGCTGGAAGGTCATGAAGGAGGGGAGCCCATGCTTGTGTATTTGAGATAAAAACAATCACAAGGACTCTCTAAAACCCACGAGAGATTATGGCACATCCTACATGCCTTACACCATCAGCAGGTCTTACACACTTTGCTCATTCTGCATGGCCACACATATTTCTATAACTGCATTATCTTCAAGACTGCAGCATTCCACATAAAATGTTCTCACAAGAACACATGCCTAGCAATGGCTGTCTCCACCAAGAAGCTAATGCCGACTCCTGCAATGAGATTCTGTGACCAATAAATTTATTTCAAAGCAGCTTCTGTGGACTTCTTTTTGCCTTAAAAGTTTCCCCTTACCCTAACCTCTCAGGATACACCTGTCACTTGTTATACCCGGTGTATTCCTGATTCCAGACCTTCATTCAAATAAACTCATTTTGAGAGCTAATCTCTGCTGTTATTTTAAGTTGCCGTAATAAGTCTAGTTCAATAGATAACATGTCAATTAATATAACTATGAACAACTACTTCTGATCTATTTTTCTCCTATTAGTAAACATGGTTTAGTGCCACTACCAAGGATTATGAAAAAGAGTTTCAATTGTTTCTCCTTGAAAACATCATTAGGTTTATCACCTGATGTTCTCAATGTTCATACCAATGAACATTTTAAACCTAATAAAATTTTCACTATGAAAGATCCCTTTTTTTCAGTGTAATTCATAAGGTTTAAACAAAAGCATGTCGCTTAGTGGCTTGAAATGCATCCCCCAAACAGAAATAAGAATATAGTTTTTATTTACATTTTTTATTTCATTTAATTTGATGACATGATTTCAGCAGATAATTCCAAATTTTACAATCATATGTAGTTCATTATCCAACTTGGATTTTACCTATTAAAGTGAGCATTAGTAAAAAAGATATAATCTATATGTAAAAACATTTATCTGTTCAAACATGTAATATTGTACTCTTATTAAAGAAGAACAACATTTAAGTTAACATACCACACTCCATTGGTCTCAACTAACTTAAAAAATTAAAAAATTTAAAAAAAAAACCACTCAAATTGAGAAAAGGAATTTTATTTAAAAGGTGCTTATCTATACAATGTTATTTATCTGCTGAATACCCTTAAACAAATCATTTTTCCAGCAGTCCATTATCAGCTCGGTTTGCTCATCTGGAAAATGGCGTCATGGTGGGCTAGCTTCCTTGTAGAATGATATAAGCATGAAATTAGTTATGCCATGTAATGCACCTAGCACAATGCCAAGCATTTTTCAGTGCTTTTAAAAATGTTAGTCCTTCTCATTTCCCATAAAATATTTTCTTGGTAATAGTCTCTTTTCAGGTGATGTGTACAAAAGTAACACAAACAGTACTCAGTGGAAGGTCTTTGTAGATGCTTCTCACAATAAATCCGGACTAAAGTCCCATGCCTAAGTTCTTACTGAGGAAGGGGACAAAGCCAGCCCAGATGTTCAGTAGAAGCAGACGGTGTGAAGAAAGCTTTTTCCTGCCTTCTCCTCCATTTGCAAGAGCAGCTCCTCCAGATTGTCTTCCATGTCGTCTGACTGCTGCAGGCACTGGCAAATCTCACAGATGAGGAAAGCTCCCAGGGTGGCATCTTCCAGGGTATCTTGGATTTCCATGTTGATCACGTGCACAGGCTGAAAGGTCTGCTGTTCTCTGGAACACAGATCTTCCACCACTGTGTCATAGACACTCTCCTCACAGGTGAAGATGACATCAAAGGAATCAGTGCACTCCTGAAATCTTTCTGGACCGGGCTTGATTCTCTCATTTCTTCCCAAGATGTGTAAGATTCCGTTGCGGGTGTAGCGTTCTCTATCTTTCCTGAGGAGGTCATTGTACATCTCCTTATATGTTGTTGCAAAATCATAAACTACAGGACGATTGGGTCTTGGTCCTGGTAGCCTCACATGAGATTCAGTTCCAAAAGACCGGACACTTAGCCCTTTTCTCCTGAGGATGCTGTGGGCCTCCATGCTCCTGTTGACATTGCTCACGCACACCACAGCCACCCTGAGTGTGGAGGAGAGCATGATGGCGGCCACTGGGAACCAGAGAGACACAGGCACCTCAGCTGCTGCAGGGTCTCGGAGCCGAGGAGACGACCACCTATACCCAGGTCTTCCAAACGAGCTAATGTGGAGGCACAGGAGGCAGGTTTATATTGAGTCACCTTAATTAGTGGGTGGAGACTTCATGACTTCTGGATTGATTAGGTTGTGATAATCGTCTCCTAACTCATCACAAGAACAATCAAGATGATTAAACTACCTAAAGCAGTAACTCTCTACAAAGGTGGCACCACCCTATCTGGATTCATTTAAAATCTGGAGTTTGCTCTGGTGGTTCTCCTAGTGAATGGGGGCTGCTATTGACAATGGCCAAGACAATTAAGCTACCTGCAAGCATGTCATAGGACTCTCCAGTGACCTTCAGACATTAAATTGGATGATAAACATATTGACAATGTCCAAGGCTGCACCCCATTTAATTATAAATTACAAGTGATGTTGCTTGTTTTAATTTTCATAGTGTTCGAGAAATGCAATTGCATAAATCACAGGACCATTGTATATAGTTTTGTCCAGAAATTCACAAAATTTTTCACCAATACAAAAAAAATCCCATTCTCAACAACATATCTGCTTATGGTATTTTAAGAGTTATTCAACACAACATTTTCTGCATTTGATATTACTGAAATCATAATGATTCTCCAGAGAAGGCAGCAATTGCTGCAAGCCTCTGCCTACTTTATTATGTCTTCAGGTACAGTTGTGTCTTAGTTTTCGGTACTGAAATACAATGTTTAGAATTATTTTTCTTTAAAAGTTTGTAAAATTTATTAAGAAAATGAAGAGATTTTTAAATTATGAAAGGGGTTCCAAACAATAAGGATAATCATGTCACTTTATAATCAATCACCTTATGGTTGATTACATTATGATAATGGGCTCCTAACTAATCGCAATAATCATCAAGATGATTAAATTCCTAAAGCTGCAACTCTCCACAAAGGGGGCCCCACCCAGTTGGGATTCATTTATAGGTGACCTCTGTTTGCTGTCACTCACTGATTCACGAAAAATTGAGTAAATATTAACCTTGCTTGTTTTTATTAATTTTTCTTAATTGTATGTATGGCTCACATTTATTTCAATGTAAATCAGATCAGCGACATCACTTTTGTCCCTGGCGCAGTGACAAAATGTATCTATAAAGCAATATATTGTATTTTTCTATGTCCTTCTTAAGGTGATTCTTACATTGCAAATACAGCAGGTTCTCAAATAACATCCTTTTTTTTCTTTTTTCATTTTGAGACAGGGTCTCACTCTGTCACCCCGGTTGTAATGCAGTGGTGCCATCATGGCTCACTGCAACCTCAAACTCCTGGGCTCAATCATTCCTCTCATCTCAACCTCCTGAGTAGCTTGGACTACAGGTGTGTACCACCATGCCTGAATAACTTCTGTATTTTTTGTAGAGGATGGAATTTTACCATGTTACCCAGGCTGGTCTCAAAAGCCCAGGGGCTCAAGTGATCCACCCGCTTCAGCCTCCCAAAGTGCTGGGATTACAGGCATGAGCCACAGTGCCCAGCCTCACCTAACATCATTTTATTATAACATTAATGAGAAAAGAATTTGACTTCTGCCGGGGCCACTGTCTGTGTGGAGTTTGCGTATTCTCCCTATGTCTGTGTGGGTTGTCTCTGGATATTCTTGTTTCCTCCCACATCCCAAAGGTGGGCACATTAGGTGAAGTGACATCTCTATGGTCCTAGTGTGAGGGTGTGCCCTGAACCCCAGATGGGGTCCTGTCCAGCGTTGGTTCCTTCCTCACACCTTGAGCTGCCGAGATAGGCTCCAGCCACCTGCCACTCCAAAGAGGAATCAGCGGATTGGAAAATGAATGAATGAATACAAATTATTGACAAATAAAAATTCATAAAATATGTGGTAATCATACAAATGCAAGACAATAATGATCAGAGTACAAAATAGATCAGCCTGCCGTGTCTGTCATTGTTGGTTTTTAACTGTGTAGTAGTAGGAAGAGCTCCTTATAATTTTTTCTTTGCAAACATTTATTCCTTGATTTAACTTACGACAACTACAACCGCTGTCACTCACTGATTCACCGAAAATTGGGTAAATAATAATCTTACTTGGTTTTATTAAGCTTTCTTAAATGTGTGTATAACTCACATTTATTTCAAGGTTTAATACTCAAAGTGTGTTGAATCTTTATTTAGAAATTTAGTGATGTTTTTGTGACTCTTGTTCATATCAATTAACCTATGATAAAATTGATTTTATTATACCTCATTTCGCTTGAAGTCATTGTTTTGAAGAACCTATTGACCACAGTTAGTGAGTGCTTACTGTATTTTTCAAATCAGTAAACACCTTCAAGTTTCTCAAAGTGTGTGCTCAGCATTAGCCTCAATTGGGAACTTGTAAAAAAATGCAAATTTGGACCTCAAACCACTGAATCAGAAACTCTAGTGGTGAAGCCCAGAGATCTGTGTTTTTCAAAGTCTTCCTAATAATTCCAAAACCCAAAGTTTTAGAAGAACTTCCCTAGAGATTTTTGAAACTTGACTATACATTAGAAGCACCTGAAGAATTGTTAAATGCACTGCTTCGGGCATAGAGAATGAACAGGATTTTCTTGAAAAACCAAATGAGAGGAAACATTCAACATAAATGAAAAGCTAGTCAGATCTTAAATATGTTGTGAAATGTCTTATCAGACTCAATGACTGAGACCTAAAGAAATCTAACAAATGAAAAGAAGAAAAATCTCAGAGACCAGCTATAAGTGTTACTGAAAAGGAAGATGTTTTGTGTGTTTTGAAAGAATTGAGAAACAGTGTTAAACCAAACCTTGAAGACTGATACACAAAGTGGTTGCATATAATTTCAACAGAAATAAAAGGATAATACCGGGAGGATCAGTATGAAATACTAAATGTATCATATAAGTGAATTTCTACTTGAAACACTTCTTAGAGGTAGTACTACGGGTACTGCCTATGTCCTCAGGGGAAATGACAAGGGCATTCACTATGTTCTGCCTCCAAGTGAAGGCACAAAGTGAGACAAAGAAAAAAATCCAGGGAAACAGTATGTGGTTAATTGGATTAGATGTTGAGCTGATGGTAGAGTACCAACTCAGAGACATAAAAGTAGACATAATTTATTTAAACACTAATTGCTTTTCAAAGCACCAGACTTCTTGATTACATAAGTCCAAGTATAGGGGAACACACACAAGACAAAACCTGGAGAAGTGTATTAGAAAAACAACGTGATGAGACAGAGAAAAATGTTTCCGCTGCTATTGCGATATCACAAGTTATACAGGACCTGAAGAGAAATGAATAAATCTCAAGATTCTGAGGGAGAACATGGCAAAGGTATTCTGGCTTCTAGGCACCTCGAGACACAGGCATCAATAACAGTTCCAGTTCTGGAATCTGCTAAGAGTGATTTTCCAGTTCAGTGATTGTTAACTGTGGCTGGATATTTCAAGACCTTTCTACCAAACTTTTATAAGATGCCAATGTCTGGGACCTACCCCAGATCAAATGAATCAAAATCTCTGGGCATGGATTATGTTCATCCTGATTTTATTTCTTATTCCTGTGATCCCTTCACCCACCCACATTTCAAAATTTATTTAATGCTAGAATTTAGTCTATACACATTTGGTGTAATGACTTTTTTACTGTACATTCCTCGCATCTTCTTTATTTTATATTGTTATTTCTGCCCTTGGTTTTTATCAAGTTGTTATATACTCCATTTTGTACCTAACTTGAAATTCTACTTGGATTACCCACCCCATTAAATGGTTACCTGCGCTTTCTCTGCCTTCCTGATCAGAACACGTTTCTCTAGTACTTATTTGAAAACAAGAGTTTTGCAATGCTCTTAATTCTTTTTCACTTTTGACTGATCCCCTATTCCTAACTTCCAAGTTTTGCCAGGATATTTTGTTAATTTTAGTTCAATAGTCTTAGTCAAATGTATCTCACAGATAGTTCCTTCAATTTCTGAGTCCTTATTTACAACTGAACTTTACCTGAAGTCTAAACTTCTTTTTCTGTTATACACATAAGAAATTATTGAAATATTTAGTCCCAGCCTCAGTACATGCCTCCATTTCCTTTCTTTTCTTCACATTCCCACCAATTGTTGTTCAGGTTCACATAAGTGATAATGTTTGGAAAGTCTTCTCTCAAATAGGTTTCTCTGTTGGGGAACACAGGAGATAAACTGTCTGAATTGCTGTGTATCTTTCCTTCAACCTAACAGAGGGGCCACATCTCAGCTGGGTCCAGGATTGTTGGGCTGTAGTCCTTTCTCTCAGTAGTCCTTAACTGCTATGCCACTGTCCGTTCCAGCGTTGGAGATAAAAAGTCTAATTCCAGCATCATTCTTCTTCTGTAGATAATATGTTCTTTTTAACGGTATGTTTGTTTGTCAGATTTTTCTCTTTCTCTTTAGAGTTCAACATTTGTACTGACAGATGCCTCGGTGTTTCTTTTTCCTCATCACTCTAGTCCAGTATTTCTCCATTGTTTTAATCAACCCCCACTTAAGGAGACTTCTCAGACATTTTTCCCTAATCGCTTCCCCATAAAATTTTAATAGCATAGATATAGTGTGTATTTGTTTATGTACGGCATCTGTGCTCTGTACATAAAGGGAGTGAGATTTCTGTTCACTCCCCCGAGAACCAGATTCTGCCCCATTAGGGACATTATCACTCCTGTTGAGAAAGCATGGTTTAACCTGAAACAGTGAGCCTTTTATTACATTCAAGAAATAATCTACTATTCTTTAATTATTGTCTTACTTCCACGAATACCTTTTACTCCTTGTGAAATTCTAGTAATTTACATTTTGTTATTCTTGATTTATCTGCCACGTCCCTTCTTTTTCCTCGTGGTTTCTTATATTTCTGCTTTTTGTTTTGAAGTATTAGTCAAATCAAATTTGGATCTCAATTCACTCACTAAATTGTTGATAAGAGAAATCGTGTTTTGGTCTCAGAAAGTGTTGGCCCCTCACATTTTTTTTAATAGAATTTACTTTTCGTCCAAGTTGTCATCTTTCTCCCCTCCCCTCTGCATGTCACTGGTAAGTGTTCAGTTTCTTCTGACTGATCATTGCTGACTGCTGGGCCTGCTAACACAGAATCTTTATCACTGACGCTCAAGTTGCTCCTGGACTCCAAATGGGAGTGTTACAGGTAGTTAGACAGACATGAACCAGGCAGGAGAGGGCTCTACCCCCAATCCCCCAGGAAGGTCAGGCGACCAGCAAGTGATGGTTGGGCAGTTACCACACTGCCTCTCTAAAAATGAGAACTTGGCAGCCAGTGAGGAAAGACAATCTCCTGAGGGTCCATAGCTGCCACACTAAAGTGTTCATTGAACTCGGGCACCAGGGAGAGGCAACTTCCCAAACAGATAAAAACACTGGAGATTGGTAATCAGCTTCCCGTACAATCTCAGGATTTGGGCAAGTGAGTCCAGGCATGTGCCTTAAGAGAAAATGGCAGAGTATGACCTTCCGGAGGCATTCCACCAGAAAAGGGAAGAAAGCCTCAGATGGACATGAGTACAATTTCCTAAACACACTGCGCATGCTCACTTCCCAAGCATAAGGAGGGTGTTAGCAGGTGGGCAGCCTACCCTAAGGGAAGAATCATGGGAAAGGGGTGCAATATGCCAAAAATGGGCCACAATATAAAGTCCCAGGATCAAGGTTAAGCAGGGCACTTGTCCTTCAAGTCACCCACTGGAGTCTCTTCCAAGTGTACTTTACTTTCTGCTCTAAAGCTGTTTAATAAGCTTCCACTCCTGCTCTGAGACTTACCTCGGACTTTTTTTGCCTTATGCCTCTTAGTCGAATTCTTGCTGCTCTGAAGAGATAAGAACTGAGGTTGCTGCAGACCCGTACGGATTCACCTTAGGTAACTCAGATACCTTCTTCCCCTAACAGGAGCAGTCCCAGAGATGCTAGAAGACAAAGTGGTCTCTGTTGGCCCAAGTCTGGTAGTAAAGAACAAAGCAAGCAGCAGATCTCTTCAGATGCACCTAAAGAAAGCCTTCGAGTTTCCTGGTCCCCTTCAACCCACTTCAGGATTTCACTTTGGCTTCTTGGGTCCATGAAGAATCTCAGGATACCAAAATCAGCCTCTCTCCTCTTCCCTCCTCGGATCGCAAGCCCAGGGCCTAACTGACAACACTCATAAAGCACCCCCTACCAGTTCTCCCTTCAGGCCCTCAAGCAACCAATTTCTCTTGGGTGAGTACCTAAGACTGAAATGTCTGGGCTATAGGATAAATATATGTTGAACTTCCTAAGAATTGCCAAATATTTTTTTCCAAAGTGGTTGAATCAGTTTACATTCCCAGCATCAGCGTCCCCATTGTTCCACAACTTCACCAACATTCATTCTTTCTCACCTTTTCTATTTTAGCCATTTAGTGTTTCTGAGTGGAATTTTGGGATTTTAGTTTGCACTTCCCTGATGACTAAAGATGCTGAGCATCACCTCATGTGTTTATGGTCCATTTGTACACCTTGTTTTGTGAAGTTTATTTATAAAAATTCATAATAAAATCCATTTTCTATTTTGAAGATTGTTCTTCTTTTTCATTTTATGTATTTGTGCTATTCTTCTCAACTCTTTAAAAAAATAGATTTGCTCCTGTTTCTGTTTTGTTTGGCGTTGTTGTTTTGTTGTTGATGTGTTTCAAACAACCTGGTATGTTACTGTTTGGCAGGGTTGTCTCCTAATAGACTGCAAACCCCTTGAGGGCAAAGGGTAGACTTCTTTATCTGCCCTTCCAGATCAGCCAGAACAGTTCCTAGAACATAGTAAATGCTCGGTAAATGTTCCTTGTGTCAGTATTGACAGACAATGACTTCCTATTACAGCTCATTGCTGACTCTAGCCCAGCAAGGGGATTGTACTAACTAGGCCCATGCCATTATCTAGGCTCCTGTAGTGTCAGGGGCATGATTACATCATAAAAATTACAACTTTGACGTTATCTTTCATAGTTCTATCATCCTCATTATACTAGACTCAATGACCAGAACTGTGCATATTCATCTTGGCTCACTGCTCATACAGTACCTGGATACTTTAGAAATTCAGTTCTTAATTGTGTTTTGTTTGTTTTTTAGACACAAGGTCTTGCTCTGTCACCTACGCTGGAGTACAGTGGCACAATCAAAGCTCACTGCAGCCTTGAACTCCTGGAATCCAGTGATCCTCAGCCTCCTAAGTAGCTAGAACTATATGAGTGCACCACCATGCCAAGCTCATTTTTTTTTCTAGAGATGGGGTCTCACTATGTTGGCCAGGCAGGTCTCGAGCTCCTAACCTCAGACAATCCTCCCACTTGGGCCTCCCAAAGCATGGCTTGCCAATTCCTAATTTTTGAACCAAGTCTGCAGCACTGTAGGTAGAGAGGGGAAGCCAGAAGCCATAGTTTATTATCTGAGAAATGTATACTATAAGAAATTTTGGAAAAATACAACAGATGTATCATTTTCCTGAGTTAGCATGGATTGGAAAGGGTAAGCCTATAAGCAGAGACCAGTTAGAAGTCTGGTGTGATCATCCAGGTGACAGAGGATAAATCCTAAACCAGTCCCTTGGGGCTTTGGGACACTTGTGGATAAGCAGAAGCTACATCTCCAACATCTGAGCACAATGGAGGAGCTTGTACTAACCTTCCAATCAATAGTAAACATAGAAGCTAGGTAAAATACTTAAAGCAACCAAAGTTGTTAAAGAAAAAAACAATCCAAGTGGGACTTGAAGGGAAGATTGCTGGAAAGAATGTACACTAGTGCAGCTATGCAAGCCCCACATTTGCCTCTGCTTTTGCCCTCAGAGCATTTGCTTAGTCCTGGCATGTGCAACAAAGACCAAGTTGAAAGGTAGTGGGAGCTTGTAGCATTCTCAGTGTCAGGCCTCTGAGCCCAAGCTAAGCCATCATATCCCCTGTGACCTGCATGTATACATCCAGAGGGCCTGAAGCAACTGAAGAATCACAAAAGAAGTGATATTTAAATGGCCTGTTCCTGCCTTAACTGAGGACATTCCACCACAAAAGAAAACAAAATGGCCTGTCCTTGCCTTAACTGATGACATTACTTTGTGAAATTCCTTCTCCTGGCTCATCCTGGCTCAAAAACTCCCCCACTGAGCACCTTGTGAGCCCCCACTCCTGCCCACCAGAGAACAACCCCCTTTTTCCTTTACCTACCCAAATCTTATAAAACGGCCCCACCCCTATCTCCCTTCGCTGACACTCTTTTCGGACTCAGCCTGCCTGCACCCAGGTGAAATAACCAGCCTTGTTGCTCACGCAAAGCCTGTTTGGTGGTCTCTTCACATGGACGTGAATGAAATTTTGGTGCCATGACTCGGATCAGGGGACCTCCCTTGGGAGATCAATCCCCTATCCTCCTGCTCTTCGCTCTGTGAGAAAGATCCACCTACCACCTCAAGTCCTCAGACCAACTAGCCCAAGGAACATCACACCAATTTTCAATCAGGTAAGTGGCCTCTTTTTATTCTCTTCTCCAACCTCTCTCACTATCCCTCAACCTCTTGCTCCTTTCAATCTTGGCACCACACTTCAATCTCTCCCTTCTCTTAATTTCAGTTTCTTTACTTTTCTCGTAGAGACAGGAGACGAGTTTTATCCGTGGACCCAAAACTTCAGCACCGGTCACGGACTCGGGAAGACAGTCTTCCCTTGGTGTTTAATCACATGGGGACACCTGATTATTCATCCACGTTTCAGAGGTGTCTGACCACACAGGGATGCCTGCCTTGGTCTTTCACCCTTAGTGGCAAGTACCACTTTTCTGGGGGGCAAGAACCCCCCACCCCTTCTTTCCGTGTCTCTACCCTTTCTCCGCTTTTCTGTAGGGCAAGAAGCCCCCACCCCTTCTCTCCGTGTCTCTACCCCTTCTCCGCTTTTCTGGAGGGCAAGAACCCCCCACCCCTTCTCTCTGTGTCTCTACCCCTTCTCTGCTTTTCTGGGGGGCAAGAACCCCCCAACACCTTCTCTCCGTGTCTCTACCCCTTCTCCACTTTCCTGGGTGCAAGCACCCCCCACCCCTTCTCTCCATGTCTCTACTCTCTCTTTTCTCTGGGCTTGCCTCCTTCACTATGGGCAGCCTTTCACCCTCCATTCCTCCTTCTTCTCCCTTAGCCTGTGTTCTCAAAAACTTAAAGCCCCTTCAACTCACACCTGACCTAAACCTAAATGCCTTATTTTATTCTACAATGCCGCCTGACCCCTGTACAAACTCAACAGTGTTTCCAAATAGCCAGAAAACAGCACTTTCGATTTTTCCATCCTACAAGATCTAGATAATTCTTACTGTAAAATAGGCAAATGATCTGAGGTGCCTGACGTCCAGGCATTCTTTTACACATTGTTCCCTCCCTAGTCTCTGTTCCCAGTGTGACTCATCCCAAATCCTCCTTCTTTCCCTCCCTCCTGTCCTCTCAGTCCCAATCCCAAGCATAGTTGAGTCTTTCTAATCTTCCTTTTCTACAGACCCATCTGACTTCTCCCCTCCTCCCCAGGCTGCTCCTCGCCAGGCCAAGCCAGGTCCCCATTCTTCCTCAGCCTCCACTCCTCCACCCTGTAATCCTTCTATCACCTCCCCTCTTCACACCCAGTCCAGCTTACAGTTTAGTTCCGTGACTAGCTCTTCCCCACCTGCCCAACAATTTCCTCTTAGAGAAGTGGCTGCAGCTGAAGGCATAGTCAGGGTACATGTACCTTTTTCTCTATCAGACCTCTCTCAGATCAGTCAGCGTTTAGGCTCTTTCTCATCAGACCCCACTAAATACATACAGGAATTCCAATATCTTACTCTGTCCTACAATTTAACCTGGAGTGACTTAAATGTCATCCTGACTTCTACCCTCTCCCCAGGTGAACGAGAATGAGTTTTTTCTCTAGCCCAATCTCATGCTGATAACCACCGGCTTCATGAGCCAGACCTCCAGGAAGGCATTAGAGCAGTTCCTCGAGAGGATCCCCAATGGAACTATCAGGCAGATTCCCCAGGTATAGCTAGGCGAGATTACATGATTTCCCGCCTAATTGAAGGGCTTTAAAAGGCAGCTTACAAAGCTGTTAATTATGACAAGCTGAAAGAAACTACCCAAGGTAAAGATGAAAACCCAGCCCAGTACATGGCCCGCTTAGCAGTGACCCTTAGACGCTTTACTGCCCTAGACCCAGAAGGGCCAGAGGGCTGCCTTATTCTTAATATGCATTTTATCACCCAGTCCACTCCCAACATTAGGAAAAAACTTCAAAAATTAAATTCCGGCCCTCAAACCCCACAACAGGATCTAATTAACCTCGCCTTCCAGGTGTACAATAATAGAGTAGAGGCAGCCAAGTAGCAACATATTTCTGAGTCCAATTCCTTGCCTCCACTGTGAGAGAAACCCCAGCCACATCTCCAGCACACAAGAACTCCAAATGCCTGAACTGCTGCTGCCAGGGGTTCCTCCAGAACCTCCTCCCCCAGGAGCTTGCTACAAGTGCTGGAAATCTGGCCACTAGGCCGAGGAATGCCCACAGCCCAGGATTCCTCCTAAGCCGTGTCCCATCTGTGCGAGACCCCACTGAAAACCAGACTGTTCAACTCACCTGGCAGCCACTTCCAGAACCCCTGGAACTCTGGCCCAAGACTCTCTGACTCCTTCCCAGATCTTCTCGGCTTAGCAGCTGAAGACTGACATTGCCCGATCACCTCGGAAGCCTACAGGACCATCACAGATGCTCTGGGTAACTCTCACAATGGAAGGTAAGTCCATCCCCTTCTTAATCAATAAGGAGGCTACCCACTCCACATTACCTTCTTTTCAAGAGCCTGTCTCCCTTGCCTCCATAACTGTTGCAGGTATTGACGGCCAGGCCTCTAAACCTCTTAAAACTCCCCAACTCTGGTGCCAACTTAGACAATAGTCTTTTAAGCACTCCTTTTTCACTATCCCCACCTGCCCAGCTCCCTTATTAGGCCGAGACATTTTAATTAAATTATCTGCTTCCCTGTCTATTCCTGGGCTACATCTCATTGCCGCCCTTCTTCCCAACCCAAAGCCTCCTTTGCATCTTCCTCTCGTATCCCCCCACCTTAACCCACAAGTATAAGACATCTCTACTCCCTTCCTGGCAACCGATCACATGACCATTACCATCCTATTAAAACCTAATCACCCTTACCCCCCTCAATGCCAATATTCTATCCCACAGCACGCTTTAAAAGGATTAAAGCCTGTTATCACTCACCTGCTACAGCATGGACTTTTAAAGCCTATAAACTCCCCTTAAAGTTCCCCCATTTCACCTGTCCTAGAACCAGACAAGTCTTTCTTACAGGTTAGTTCAGGATCTGTGCCTTATCAACCAAATTGTTTTGCCTCTCCACCCCATGGTGCCAAACCCATATACTCTCCTAACCTCAATACCTCCCTCCACAACCCATTATTCTGTCTGATCTCAAACATGCTTTCTTTACTATCCCTTTGCACCCTTCATCACTTAGACTTACCCTGACACCAATCAGGCTCAGCAAATTACCTAGGCTGTACTGCCACAAGCCTTCACAGACAGCTCCCATTGCTTCAGTCAAGCCCAAATTTCATCCTCATCTGTTACCTATCTCGGCATAATTCTCATAAAAACACACGTGCTCTCCCTGCTGATCATGTCCAACTAATCTCCCAAACCTCAATCCCTTCTACAAAACAACAACTCCTTTCCTTCCTGGGCATGGTTAGTGCAGTCAGAATTCTTACACAAGAGCCAGGACCGCACCCTGTAGCCTTTCTGTCCAAACAACTTGACCTTACTGTTTTGCCTAGCCCTCATGTCTGCGTGCAGTGGCTGCCACTGCTTTAATAATTTTAGAGGCCCTCAAAATCACAAACTATGCTCAACTCACTCTCTATAGTTCTTAAAACTTCCAAAACCTATTTTCTTCCTCACACCTGATGCATATACTTTCTGCTTCCCGGCTCCTTCAGCTATACTCACTCTTTGTTGAGTCTCCCACAATTACCGTTGTTCCTGGCCCAGACTTCAATCCGGCCTCCCGCATTATTCCGGATACCACACCTGACCTTCATGACTGTATCTCTCTGATCCACCTGACATTCACCCCATTTCCCCATATTTCCTTCTTTCCTGTTCCTCACCCTGATCACGCTTGATTTATTGATGGCAGTTCCACCAGGCCTAATCGCCACACACCAGCAAAGGCAAGCTATGCTATACAACAAGCCACCAGCCCGCCTCTTAGAACCTCTCATTTCCTTTCCATCGTGGAAATCTATCATCAAGGAAATCACTTCTCAGGGTTCCATCTGCTATTCTACTACTCCTCAGGGATCATTCAGGCCCCCTCCCTTCCCTACACATCAAGCTCGGGGATTTGCCCCCGCCCAGGACTGGCAAATTGGCTTTACTCAACATGCCCCGAGTCAGGAAACTCAAATACCTCTTGGTCTAGGTAGATACTTTCACTGGATAGGTAGAGGCCTTTCTCACAGGGTCTAAGAAGGCCACCACAGTCATTTCTTCCCTTCTGTCAGACATAATTCCTCAGTTTGGGCTTCCCACCTCTATACAGTCCGATAACGGACCGGCCTTTGTTAGTCAAATCACCCAAGCAGTTTCTCAGGCTCTTAGTATTCAGTGAACTAATGGTCTTTTAAAAACTCACCTCACCAAGCTCAGTCACCAACTTAAAAAGGAATGGGCAATACTTTTACCACTTGCCCTTCTCAGAATTCAGGCCTGTCCTCGGAATGCTACAGGGTACAGCCCATTTGAACTCCTCTATAGACGCTCCTTTTTATTAGGCCCCAGTCTCATTCCAGACACCAGACCAACTTGGACTGCGACCCCCTCCGAAAAAAAAAAAAAAAAAAACTTGTCATCCCTACTATCTTCTGTCTAGTCATACTCCTATTCACCATTCTCAACTACTCATAAATGCCCTGCTCTTGTTTACACTGCCGGTTTACACTGTCTCTCCAAGCCATCACAGCTGATATCTCATGGTGCTATCCCCAAACTGCCACTCTTAACTCCCTCCTAAAGTAAATAATCTTTGCTGGCAGGGCTATGCTGAACCTCCTTAGGCACTCTCTAGTTAAATGTCCTGGGTCCTCCCAATTCTTAGTCCTTTAATACCTGTTGTTCTCCTTGTCTTATTCTGCTCTTTTTTCAATTCATACAAAGCCATATCCAGGCCATCACCAATAATTCTATACGACAAATGTTTCTTCTAACAACCCCACAATATCACCCCTTACCACAAAATCTTCCTTCAGCTTCATCTCTCCCACTCGAGGTTCCCACGCTGCCCCTAATCAAAGCAGCCCTGAGAAACATCGCCCATTATCTATCCATACCACCCCCCAAAATTTTCACTGCTCAAACACTTCAACACTATTATGTTTTATTTTTCTTATTAATATAAGAAGACAGGAATGTCAGGCCTCCGAGCCCAGGCTAAGCCATCATATCCCCTGTGACCTGCATGTATACATCCAGATGGCCTGAAGCAACTGAAGAATCACAAAAGAAGTGATATTTAAATGGCCTGTTCCTGCCTTAACTGATGACATTCCACCATAACAGAAGTGAAAATGGCTGGTCCTCACCTTAACTGATGACATTACTTTGTGAAATTCCTTCTCCTGCTTCATCCTGGCTCAAAAACTCCCCCACTGAGAGTCTTGTGACCCCCCACTCCTGCCCACCAGAGAACAACCCCCTTTTTCCTTTACCTACCCAAATCTTACAAAACAGCCCCACCCCTATCTCCCTTCGCTGACTCTCTTTCGGACTCAGCCCGCCTGCACCCAGGTGAAATAAACAGCCTTGCTGCTCACGCAAAGCCTGTTTGGTGGTCTCTTCACATGGACGCGAGTGAAACCCAGCAGGCTAGGAATAAAGAAGTTGCAGTTCAGGGATACCATGGAG
Organism: Homo sapiens; assembly: GCF_000001405.40. NCBI lineage: Eukaryota > Metazoa > Chordata > Mammalia > Primates > Hominidae > Homo > Homo sapiens. The sequence continues at coordinate 4,219,248 of NC_000011.10, read as the reverse complement.
TCTGAGACCTGAGATAGAAGAGGCAGCCTTAGAGAAAACTGGGCCAAAGTTCAGCGTCCCGATTCCCCTTGAGGAGTTTGCCAATTCCTAAGCTGTGCATGTTCAGGGCAAGATTCTCAGCACCTGAATTGAAAGCAGCAGCTGTGAAGCTAAACAGTTATGCAAAGACTAGCAGTCTGATGGTGCTGGGGAGTCAGAGGCTGGAGGTCAGGGCCTGAGGAGGTAGAGCAACCCTTGTAAATAAACACTGAAACACTAGGAAGCTTTGAAACACTAGAAGGGCTGTACTCTAGGAGTAAGGACAACCCAGAAAAAGATCAACGCTAGCACTAGCAAAAGTTAAGCGTCCTCTTAGATGGATCAAGATCTGCCAGTACACTTATCTGCCTGAATTCTTTCTAGAGAAACGTAACAGTTTCAGAGAACAGTCTCTAATTTTTTCATATAAAATCACTATCCATTCACACTCACACACCAAGCATGCCAAGAAACTACCAAATAACTAAAAAAAAATGTGGAAAAAAATAGCGACAGAACCACAGGTGATCTAAACATTGGAACTATGAGGGATTTTAAAATAAAATGATTCTCCAGGTCCTGTTAGAAAATATTGGTTGCATCTTCTGAAAAAGAGATGCCCGCATCTAAGAACTCCAGGAGCTCAAGTAGCTGCCTGTTACCTATTACCACCACAGGCTCAGCAAGAAGATACACAGAGATGTTCCTCCTGAGCAGAATTATTTTTTTTTCTTACATTAAGTTCCAGGGCACATGCGCACAACGTGCAGGTTTGTTACATATGTATACCTGTGCCGTGTTTGTTTGCTGCACCCATTAACTCATCATTTACATTAGGTATTTCTCCTAATGCTATCCCTCCCCCATCTCCCCACCCCAAGACAGGCCCCGGTGTGTGATGTTCCCCACCCTGTGTCCAAGTGTTCTCATTGTTCAATTCCCACCTATGAGTGAGAACATGTGGTGTTTGGTTTTCTGTCCTTGCAATAGTTGTGAGCAAAGTTTTTAATACTAGCTGAATGTTGGTGCAAACTCTAGGTAATGTCATGAACTGAGCTACCAACTGTGAGCTGGGAGGACTCATTTGTATCTCAGACCTGAAGTCTCTATTAAACAGGCCTCTGTGGCCCCTTTTCCTATGGCCTTCATCCAAATATTTATCCTCTAGAGCTTACCATTCTAAAAAGAAAGAAATGATTACCCCATACAAAAGTGGACAAAGGAAAAAAAAAACAGCATTTATTCTCAGTGTATTTTTGCTTAGCCTCTTTCAATAAGCCCTACCCCTATAACTACAAGCCGATTGCTGTGCATCCTTGGACAGCTCATATTTGAATTGTTTTTCCTCTGCAAATGGAGTGATGAGAGGGGTTCCTTGGACTTGAACTAGAAGTTAGAGTCTACCATGACCTAGTGATGGAAAAGAGAATAGGTCTCAGAAACATTTAGGAAATAATCTTGTTAAAACTTCATGATCAATTGGATGAAGGAAGGTCCAGGTCCATGATGATTCCCTGGTTTCTAAATAGGGTGATTGCACCTTAAGTCTTGCAACTAACCAAAATAGATAATTGAGGCAAAGTAGGAAGTTCTACTTTTGCCAAATTCAACTTGAGATATACAAAAGAAAAGTTTCCTAATGCTGTTTATATATTCAACTCTGAGGCTTGGAGAAGAAGCCTTGGATAGAAGTTTAGATTTCAGTGGCATCGGTACCTACAGGTGCACGATGAAGCCATCAGATGAGTGGGAGAAAAAGCTTGCATCTACTCCTTATATGTTTATAACCCACCTCATTTCAAAATCAGATTTGAGTCAGCAGGAGAACATGTAGAAAGAGAATTAAAAGTCAGAATATTTGCCTAATAGACTCTAAATTTAGGGTAAGTAATGAAGAGGGACTCTCCCATAAACAAGAGAACTCAAATGTTGGTTTCACTGAAGCAAAGGATCCAAAAAGTTTTCTTCAAGAAGCAGAGATTGATCAAAACTTGAATTCAGTAGAGAGTTCCAGCATGTGAAGAATTAGGAGTTTTGTTTACCAGAACAGTTTCTTTCTAGTGCTCAGATATAAGTGAGATAGCCCTGGGCTACAGAACAAGTAGAGATAATGCTCCTTCAGAAAATAGGCTTGTCGGGGGAGGGTAGATGAGATTTGGACTTGAGGCAGGGCCTGACACATGTAGAATGTTGTGCTGGTTGTTTTGAAGACAGGACGTATTTAGTGTGTTTTTCATCTTGAGGAGACTTAGATGATATAAATTATGAAGGATATTTTATGTAGCAAGGCCCTAGATGGGATGAAACGGTTTGAAGGGGAGTAGCGGGTGATCTTGAAAAACAGGAACACTTTATTCAGTAGCCAAGAATAAAGTAATAATTAGTTTACTGAGTTGGCACTCTTAGCTAGTATGTGTAATAAGACTTCAGGTATTTTGTCTCCTTTAGGAGCAACACCAGGAAATACGTGGAATTACCCACTAACGGACTAAGAAATGAAGATATTGCCTAAGGTCATTACCACTCAGAACCCAATCTGTCTGATTTAAAAGTCCTGAGCCTGGCCGGGCGCGGTGGCTCACACCTGTAATCCCAGCACTTTGGGAGGCCAAGGTGGGTGTATCACCTGAGGTCAGGAGTTAGAGACCAGCCTGGCCAACATGGTGAAACCCCGTCTCTACTAAAAATACAAAACTTAGCTGGGAGTGGTGGTGCACGCCTGTAATCCTAGCTACTTGGGAAGCTGAGGTGGGAGAATTGCTTGAACCCAGGAGGCAGAGGTTGCAGTGAGCCGAGATCGGGCCACTGCACTCCAGCCTGGGTGACAGAGTGAGACTCCATATCAAAAAAATGTCCTGAGCCCTTAGCCAGTAGGTCTCACTGCCTCTGTGGAGAATATAGGTGTTGATGAGTCCAAGTTGGAAGGTGGGGTGGTGGGATGTTGAGGAGGGCATACCTGATACCCTCCAATTTTGATGTCATTGGTACAATGTTGGCTACCATTTGAATAGAGGGCTTGATGAGAGAATCACCTCAGAAAGGAAGAGATGAACAATATGAATGATGAAGATGCTGCTAAGTGAGAAGCACCCGTGGGGTGGGAGGAAGGACACGACATTATCAATGTTGATCAATGTTGAAGGACATGACATTATCAGTGAAGATGGTGGTGAGAGAGAGGAAGCAGTGGGATGGAGACACCACGAGTCACTTGTCGATTAATGGTTCGTTCACGCAACATTTTTTGAGCACCTTATGTGTACTCCATAGTATTCTCAATGTTGGGCCTACTTAGGTATAAGACATTCTGTCCCCTCAAGCTGTTCACAATCTAATCAACACAGTGGTAAATACTAACATGGGGTCATCTTGGGATGGCAGAACTTACAAGGAGCAACCATCCTAATCTCTGGGGATCAGAAAAGGCTTTCTGGAGGAGGTAATGTCTAACCCTAACCTGGGGGCTGAAGTGTGAATAGGGGTTTACTAAATGAAGGAGAAAGACTTTCAGAGAAATGGAAGAACAGCTTATGGAAATTTCAGACAGGAAGAGAAAGAAGGGCCTATTCTTAGGTGCTTAAGGGAAGGTGAAACATTGAAGGGAAGTAATGGCACTGAGGTTGGATGGGTCACCTGAGGTGAAGCTATCAGAGCCTAGTAAATTTTGCTGAGAAATTGTGATTTTATCCTGAGGTGCTGAGGATTTTAAGAAGTGAAATGAAATAACTAGATGTGCATTTTAGAAAGCTTAGTATAGCCACAATATAAAGAATTCGTTACGAGGGCAAGAATGGGGATTGGGGAGACCAGTCAGGAGCCTGTTTGGTAACCCAGGTGGGGTCAGGAAAATGGCAGAGGGCATGGAGAGAAGGAAGTCACACAGCTGATTCCAGAAGCCCTTTCTCTGACTAGAGAGAGGGTGACTTCTCTACTAAATCATTCTGCTGTTTCTTCTGTTCCCTCTAGACTCTAGTGCCTATGGCCAACCTTGGAAAGGCATGGCCAAAGCACCTGTGTGAGCCACTGCTACAGAATCTGGAGGAGCTGACATAGAGAAGAAACTCAGGTTCCTCCTGAAGGACCCATCCATGGAGAGGTCCTCCCAGATACCCTGGGGCGAGGTGATGAAGACCTGGGACAAGGCCCTCAGCCACAGGAAGAAGATGACCATGAAGAGCTTGGGGAAGCAAATGCAGAGAAAGGCCTGTGTGTGTGGTAAGTGTGGGAAGGATTTGTGTTTGCGGCAACCACCCTCTGCTGTTCTCCCTTTGCATCCTGCCTTCTTTCAGTTCTAGTTTTCCCTTTAGATCCTTTTTTTCCTTTCACCTCCTCATCACCCACCCCTTCACTTCCCTCCACTGTTTGCCCACCATCCCTTTTCCTCCTGTTCCTCATTAGCCTGTGTGTGTGTGTGTGTGTGTGTGTGTGTGTGTGTGTGTGTGTGTCCTTGATTACCTCCACCTGTTCTTTCCACTTGCCATTTCAAAGGTGAAATGTCCTGCTCTCACTCAGAGATAATGTAGCTCCTCACTAGGTGGAAAGCCAGCATATTTTCACATGTTCAGTGACCTTGCCTGGAAGGAAGTAAAAGTCAGTTGACCCCAAAAAGCCCATCGCCACCACCACCACCTCAAGACCAGAGTTCAGGGGCCATGTTCTGGGTCAGTGACCTACTGGTATCACCAGAGTGAAGCTGAAAGGGGCCAAGAAGATGTATAAGCAATTCCAGGAAGGTCTGTAATAAGACTTTGAGGAGAGCCAGAAAGAACTTTCCCCTCCTTGGCCAGAAGCAATGCACGCCACAGAGTTCTGAGGGAAAGGGCCCTAGCGCTGCTTTCCTGGGGAGTGAGGCGCACACTCCACACCCACCTGAGTCCCCTGTCCACTGTTTCCTGGATCCGGTTTTAGTCTGTTGTGCAGCTTCCCTAATAAGGGGTAAGTGTTTCTTTGGCTGGCTGAAAGAGGCCTGCTCCTTTCCTGGTGCTATGAATCCAGGTGGGACTGCAGTGGCTCTTCTATGGCCATTGACTGTGTGAGCCCCACGGTAAGGCGGGGAGGAGGCAGGACAGGATGCAGGCATCCAAAGACACCACTGTGAGCTCTCTGAGGGGTCAGAAGACACAGAGAGCCATCCCTTATCACTTAGGAAATTCTGAGTTATTGACAATAAATGTGGCAGGGTACAGGAGGAGAGAGCTCTTGTAATTAAGTGATTGCTTCAAATATATCACCGCCCTCTAGAGATGGGAAATACCTAGACCAAGAATTCTTTCAGAGCCATATCTCAGATACGACAGGACTTCCTGTCGTAAGATAATAAACAGTACCATACTTTAAAAGCCAGTATTTCTAGTATCATAGTATTACTGTGTTTCTCTCTGTTTATCCCTGAGCCCCAGGGAGGTCTTGTTAGAGTGTACCAGCACTGTGACAGCTGGCAGATGGGGCACTGAGAGCCGGAGGAGGTGAGGACCGGTCACTCCACAGGCCTCCCCGACGTCTGCAGCGCTTGTAGGGACATCTAAGGGGCCAGTGTGACTTAAATACACTGCATAAGTTTGAAATGCATGTAGTTTTAGCTTTTGTTAAAATGGTTTTCCTTTATAGTCAGTTTTGAGGGTTTTTTAAATGTTATAAACATCTTTTTCATTGTTACTACTTTTTTTCCGTTTTCGTCCATCCTAGAAAAAAAAAATGTTGCCCTCAAAATTATCTTGTCTTTCTGCAATTGCCTTTGAGAAGGCTCATCTTCTCCAGACACATTATCATCTGAAATCAGTAGACAATCTTGTATTCTGTGACTGAACCCAAGTTTATTTCATCCAAACAACTTCAAACACCCAAGCAACAATATATACCTAGTATATTTTAGGACATCAGTAATGTCCTTTAAAAAGTGAACCTTTTTTTAAGCTACATTTTCTCATGTGTGTTCATTGAGGTTCTTACAGAAAGCTGCACTGCACGGTTGTCGGCCCTTTTTAAAGTCAACAGTTGACTCAGAAATAAAATATACTTAAAAATCTTATTATTTCTTATATTTTAAGTTCAGTTTTTAAAACTTTCTAAAAAATGTTACCGGTCATTTTTAAGTAGCCATTACAACCTAGTTAATAAGTCTTCATAAAAAATTCAAAGTGTTTATAAATAATTACAGTTTTGATTTCCTTAAATATAGAGATTGATTTTCATTTTAAAAATGTTTTAATAAGTTTCTAACTAGTTCTTATAATCTAATAAAATAAATTTAGAATTATAGTGGATGTGAGGTTCTCATACATGTTGTTAACATAACTTGCTGAAATATTATTACACATTTCAATTTAAAATTACTTCTTGGTAATTATTTATATGCACATTTAAAAGTTGACGTCAGGCATGGTGGCTCACTCCTATAATCCTAGCACGTTGGAAGGCCGAGGCAAGATCACTTGAGCCCAGGAGTTCTTGATTAGGCTGGGCAACAGTGAGACCCCCAACTCTATTTTTAAAAATACATAAATAAAAGTTGAAATCTGTTAAGCACTATATCTGGTAGGTACTATAATATGCCAAATTATCTAAATATTACAAGATCATAAAGTAACAAATACGTATTATTCTTATACATAATTCGAAAATATAAATACAATGGCTTTGATCTATTTAACCATCTCTCCACTAAGCTTTAAGTCTTACTAGGGATTTTTTTTGGAAGGGAGAGAAAAACACCCACTACAGAAACAGTTTTATTACTCCAGCAAGCTGGGGTTTCTGTGGTGATACACAGAATCCTCATCTACCAGAGAGAGCCCTGACTGGGATGCAGGACTGGTTACAACGTCAAGATCCTTCTCTGTGACCAACTTGATGTCTTATTTGTAAAATTCTTCCAAGGAGGAAACGCTAAATTTTTTTTAAAAACTCTTCTCACTGAAAACCTTATGTCCATCGCGGAGCTGTCTGCGGTGGCGGCGGCGCCTCTGGTCTCCCGCGGCCCGGAGCCCGCAGCACCGCCTCTCCCTCCCTGCCGCAGCCCCGCAGCCCAGCAGCGCCCCAGACACACGCCGTCGGGCAGGAGCCGCTCGCTCTCCGGAAAGTGACAACAGAATTCATCGAAGTGAAGAATTTCTTAAGAAGATAACAAAAAGAGAAAGAAAATGCCGGAACCAATCAACGTAACAGTAACTACAATGGATGCTGAGCTGGAAATTTGCCATTCAGCCCAAAACAACTGGCAAACAACTTTTTGACCATGTGGTGAAAATAGTTGGTTTGCGCGAGGTCTGGTTTTTGGGGCTGCAGTATGTAGACAGCAGAGGTTATTCTACATGGCTTCAACTAAATAAAAAGGTGACGCAGCAAGATGTTAAAAAAGAGAAGGATCCTTTACAGTTCAAGTTTAGAGCTAAATTCTTTCCTGAAGATGTTTCTGAGGAATTAATTCAAGAAATAACCCAGAGACTCTTCTTCTTGCAAGTTAAAGAAGCCATCTTAAAGGATGAGATATATTGTCCGACAGAAACTGCAGTTCTTCTGGCTTCCTATGCTGTTCAAGCCAAGTATGGAGATTATAACAAAGAAATTCATAACCCAGGCTACCTGGCTAATGATAGACTCCTACCCCAACGTATTGGAACAACACAAACTAACAAGAACAGTGGGAAGAAAGAATACAGAACTGGCATGAAAAACATAGAGGAATACAAAGGGAGGGTTCTATGATGGACTACCTGAAGATTGCACAAGATCTAGAAATGTATGGAGTCAAGTATTTTGAAATAAAAAAAAGGAAACTGAATTGTGCCTAGGTGTTGATGCTTTGGGTCTGAATATTTATGAGCATGATGACAAGTTAACACCTAAAACTGGTTTTCCGTGGAGTGAAATCAGAAATGTTTCATTTAATGACAAAAAATTTGTTATAAAGCCAATCAATAAAAAGCCACCTGATTTTGGTTTTTATGCCCCTCACCTGAGAGTCAATAAGCAGATTTTGGCCTTATGTATGGGAAACCACGAACTATACATGCGAAGAAGGAAGCCTGATACTATTGAAGTATGACAGATGAGGGCTCAGGCTAGGGAGGAGAAACATCAGAAGCAGTTGGAGAGGGCACAATTAGAGAATAAAAAGAAGAAAAGAGAAATAGCAGAAAAGGAAAGAATAGAATGTGAAAAGGAAGAGCTAATGGAACGTCTAAAACAAATAGAAGAACAGACGATTAAAGCCCAGAAATAACTAGAAGAACAGACGCAAAAAGCTCTAGAACTGGATCAAGAATGAAAACAAGCAAAAGAAGCAGCAGAGTGGCTTGAAAAGGAGCGTCGAGCTGCTGAAGAGGCGAAGTCTGCCATAGCAAAACAAGCTGCCGACCAGAAGAATCAGGAGCAGCTAGCAGCAAAACTTGCTCAATTCACTGCCAAGATTGTACTTCTAGAAGAAGCCAAGAAGAAAAAGGAAGAGGAAGCTACTGAGTGGCAACACAAAGCTTTTGCAGCCCAGAAGACTTGGAAAAGACCAAAGAAGAGTTAAAAACTGTGATGTCTGCCCCCCCCTCCACCTCCACCACCACCAACACCAGTCATTCCTTCGACAGAAAACGAACATGATGAACATGATGAGATTAATGCTAAGGCTGGTGCTGAATTATCAAATGAAGGGGTAATGAACCATAGAAGCAAAGAAGAACATGTAACAGAAACACAGAAAAATGAGCGTGTTAAGAAGCTACTTCAGGCCTTAAGTTCAGAATTAGCCCAAGCCAGAGATGAAAGCAAGGAAACACAAAAGGATGTTCTTCAGGCTAAGAATGTTAAAACAGGCCATGGTAAGTACAAGACTCTGTGACCGATTCGACAAGGCAACACAAAGCAGCGTATCAATGAGTTTGAAGCAATGTGAGAGCTGTTATTTTGCATATGTATTCTTCATAAGCTGAACTGCCAACAGAGAAAAGCAGGCCTTTGCAGATAGGATGGAATGCATCCCACCTTGCAAAAGCACTTACACCAGTTTGACTGTGCTAGCTAAAAGACATATTTAAGGGGAGCTCTTCAACATTAAGGCAGTCTGATATCATACTTGGTTTTCTTTTTCTTTTGGTCCAGGAATGGAGAATGGTGTTCCATTGCCTTTTTTCACATATTTTTCTTTTTCCTTTTTTTTTCTATTGAAGATTAACACTAATTATCATGTCTGACAAATGTGTATCTGTGGTTTCAGTTTCATGCACATTTTAAAGGATAATGGTGAACATTTTAAAGGGTTTCCCTTGCCCCTTCCATACTTAACCTGTGTATATTTCCACATTCCCTCTCACTCACATTTTCTCAGTGTGCCCTTCTCTTACCTGCCAAGCCCATAGCCATAATTCCACCATCATACAAATCAGGCAGTGTTTAAAATGATAGTAGTAGCACAGTGGACAGTCTTTGATCATTATGTTGAGTATGGCTATGAACCAGGAAAGAGATTAGAACATTTAATAATGTATGTACAGCTGATGGTTAGTTTTTTTAATCCAAATTTAATTACCTTACTGGATATTTGATATTTGATTATTTAATCACAGTCATCTTTAACAGCTACGTTGATTGGTGTTTTATCTCCTGTAATCCTTTGATGGGTTTTTTTTGCCTACCATTTCACAGAGGTTTAGACAGCAGTAGTAGTTCCCTAGGAGAGTTTATTGATGAGACAGCCTCTGCAAGATTTTAAAAGTTTTGTTCTTTTATAGACTGATTTAGAAAAACAGATAATTAATAAAAAGAATATATGCATTTGTTGGTAACTGATTTTTAAACCTGGACCTTTCTGGAAGGGCAGCATATAAAAACATCAGTCCCAAGGAGGGGACGACAATACTACCTCACTACTACACCTGCAATGACTGGTTGTTCAAACACAATGGAGTGTGTAAGCTATATGTTTTATAATTCATAATGATAGCCTCAATCATGAAGAAATACTTTTGAAGTTTTTATTTTCCCTTAGAATATCTAGAGTGCTAAATTTTTAACTGCCTTTTTGTTGAGTCAAACTGTGGGATTCTGATCTGTATTAAACTTGTAAGCTCCTCACTGGTGTACTATCATCCTGGAGGGGTGTTGTATGGCTGAGGAAGAGTGAGAGAGAGAATGAGAGAGAGAGAGACTCTGTGTGTGTGTGTCTGTGTGTGTGTGTGTGTGTGTGTGTGAGAGAGATGCTAACCTTGTAGCATATGAAGAATGTCTGTACTTTGATATGATAGTTACATAATCAGTATATTTGGTTTCTAGATCACTGTGCTTATTTTTTTAATCTCTAACTAAAAATGCTTAAAATTTGGTTTGTTAATTCTATTTTAGAAATTATAATTTTAGTTTATATTAACTTCATTTATATGTTACTGAAGAAATCTTTCCAGTTAGGAGGAGGTTCTAATAGTCACATGTTCTAATACTTTGTTTATTGTAAAACCGCTAAATTTGGAGATATGTAAAGCCTTGTTTTCTCCGTGTGGTTCAGCTACTTTCCATTTGGAATTACTCAAATTTACATTTATCTATTAAAATTGCCTTTTATTAAACATTTTCATGCACAGTAGATTCAAGTTGTGTCTGAAAATATCTCTTTTGCTTTTTTGATTTTGCTGACTTTAAAAGGATTAATCTGGGCAGACATTATGAAAAGGAAAGGTTGTGTTTAATATATTTTTTTAACTTTGTAGGACAAAACATAGCTGGTTAACCTTGAAGTGACTGTTGTACCATGGTTGTGCACATGCTTCAGAATCCTATGGAAGAGAATGTTCCTACTTGCAGTACATCAAAGGAATGGATGGTGGACCCTGCTATTCATGTTTTGAAACATAAATGTTCACTTTAAAGCAATTGCCATAACAGATAAAAACCTGAACTTTCATTGGATTTTTGTTAATTTTCCTCATTTTGAATTATGTGCACTACCATAGCTATATCAGCTTGATACAGTATTGAAAAATTATCAGTTATATTTTGCTGTTTATGATCTATTTGTAGATTAGGATTAAAATGGATTTAATTCATTTTTAAGGCTGTGTGAATTTTTCTAAACAAGAACCATTTAAAATATGGATTTTCATAGAGATTAAACCAATTATAACTCATCATTAGCAGTCACAAGCACATGTTCATATAGTCAATGTAAAAATACACTAATGAGTATTTGGTAAATCCCAGTAGGCTTTTACCATTAGCATAATTTTGTGCTGTACAATTAAGTTACAATTATATCTCTAATTTTGGATAATATTCTAATATTCATTGGTTAACAATAAAGTGACAAAAGCTAAAAAAAAAAGAAAAAAAAAAAAACCACCTTATATCCAGAACTTACAGGCTAGCTGGATTGTTTTTAACAAGATCAAATTAATCAAAGCAAAAAATATGTAAGACTGATGAGCAAGGTGTGTTTTCTAGGACAGTCTGTTTTCTCTAACATACCTTCTTAGTAAATGTAGTTTACTACTACAAACGTACATACAAGCTGTGAATCCTGAGATGAAGTGTTACGTTTCACAACAATTATTTTTAAATTTAGTGAAATATTTCAGAAAACTTCTTACAGAAAAATTAATCTAGGAATAAATTTTATGCTAACAAAAATGAGAATATGCATATATCTAATATAAATAGGGTCTTTGCCCCACCTCAGGAATGTTGTAGTCATTGTTACAATTTTTTAATTAATCTGTAACTTCCTTGTTGTCACAACAAAGGATAATGTTAGCCCAGAAGACTGCATTTCAAAGCTGCTTATGTTGACTACTCCTTTTTAAGTTTTTCATTATCTTATTTTGTATGCTGTTTTCTTTTTTGTTTGTTTGTTTTTTGTTTTGAGACAGAGTCTCGCTCTGTTGCCTAGGCTGGAGTGCAGTGTCACGATCTTGGCTCACTGCAACCTCTGCTTCCCTGGTTCAAGCGATTCTCCTGCCTCAGCCTCCCGAGTAGCTGGGATTACAGGCGCCCGCCACCATGCCCGGCTAATTTCTGTATTTTTAGTAGAGACGGGGTTTCACCATGTTGGCCAGGCTGATCTTGAACTCCTGGCCTCAGGTGATCCAACCGCCTTGGCCTCCCAAAGCCTCCCAAATCCTCCCAAAGTGCTGAGATTACAGGCGTGAGCCAGCATGCCCGGCTGCATGCTGTGTTTTCAACTAAAGTTTTAACCAAGTATGTATTAAAGTGTTTGGGGCTTATACATTTTGCAGCATCTGGTTGGTACCTTGATAGGGGGAAGCTCAAGAGGAATGAAAATGGGGGATGGTATGTGTCCATCTCCCACCGTGGCCCCTCAAATGAATGTGAGCCCCTCAGACATTGGGAAAGGCTGCACATGCAGCAGGTGCCTGTGCTTTGGTGAGGTGCTGACCGTCACAGCCATGGCCCTGGAGCAAGAGAGGCCAGCAGTAGAGTTCTACCTGACAGCCTGTTCTGAACAGCCCCTCTGCTCCTTCAAGGTGTTCTCATAAATATCCCCTTGAAGATAATGCTCTGTTACTGCCACCATTCTGATGCTGGAGGACTGCTTGAGGACAGGTCATCCCATGGGTCGTCGTGGAGGTTGCAGAGGTTATAGGCAGGGGCACAAGCAGAAGGTGAAAATGAGCACCCTATTTCTGCTCCAGTTAGCTGGAGATGGCCTATGTTTGTCCTTATCTCTCTTTGCAACCTACAAAGCCCTTTCATCTCTAAATCTGATGATCTTCACAGTCAGTTTAGAGAAAGCACTGCAATATGGAAAGAGCCCAGAGCTGAAATTTGTACTATCTGGGTGGCCTTACAAGGAATTGGGCCAGGGGCGGAGGGGGGAGGTCCTTTGACCACATGATACGGACATTGTTTCTAAGAAGTGATGTTTATTGAACCGAATAGGAACAGTGCCTTACATAGTTCTCATTTCACTCTCTCAACATTGCAATGATATCTTAGTTCTATTATCACATTTTGTAGAACTAGAGATTGAGGCTTACCAAAGTGAGTTAAATTACCCCCAAAACATGGGGGCAAAGCCAGGACTTCATCCCCAGTCTGTGTTGAAAGCTCATGTTCTTATCTCTGGTCAGATTGTCACCTTTTGAATACTCCATTCTTTCCAGCAGGAAAAGGTTCAACATCACCAGGAGTAGGTTATCTCTTATGGAGAGCAATGTAATTTTTTGTTATAACTCAAACATATCCTACTTCTGAAAGGTGTTTAAGGCAATAGCCAAAAATAATAGGATGTATAGGACAAAAAAGTAAAATACAAATCTGGTACCACACATGGGAAGGCTGGAATTGCACAAATAATTGTTCTGTAACAGAAAAGTTGTCTTCTGTGATTATACATAATATTGAACTCTGAGCTACCAGGTATCCATGACAACAGTAGGAAAATAAAATAAATCTAAAAATGTTGCTTCAGGAGAAACAGCCTTTTTTTTTTTTTTTTTTTTGGATGGAGTTTTGCTCTTTTTGCCCAGGCTGGAGTGCAATGGTGTGATCTCAGCTCACTGCAACCTCTGCCTCCCAGGATCAAGCGATTCTCCTGCCTCAGCCTCCCAAGTAGCTGGGATTACAGCACCCACCACCACACCCAGCTAATTTTTTATTTTTAGTAGAGACGGGGTTTCACCATGTTGGCCAGGCTGGTCTCAAACCCCAGGATGGGAGGCAAGAGGTTTGCAGTACAGGCTGGAGGAGAGGTGCTGAGAAGGGTGAGGCCAGGAGGATATGAATGGTGCATGTAAGTTATCTGATTCAGTCATCACAGGTATTCATTTACGCATTCATAAAATTACATTTCTTGAACAACTCAGTGGCAGGCCTTCTAATTCTTTCATATTCCATGTTCTTTATTAACTGGTCATTACAAAGGTACTGTGTAAACGCATGCTTTTTTTTTTGAGACGGAGTCTTGCTCTGTCTCCAAGGCTGGAGTGATCTCAGCTTGCTGCAAGCTCCGCCTCCCGGGTTCACGCCATTCTCCTGCCTCAGCCTCCCGAGTAGCTGGGACTACAGGCACCCGCCACCATGCTCAGCTAATTTTTTGTATTTTCAGTAGAGATGGAGTTTCATCATGTTAGCCAGGATGGTCTTGATCTCCTGACCTCAGGTGATCTGCCCGCCTCGACCTCCCAAAGCACTGGGATTACAGGTGTGCACCACCGCGTCCAGCCTGCATGCTTATTTTTTTAAACCAGAGGTACAGGGGTATACAGAATAAATCATGAAAGGCCCATTTCATCCTCTTCCATTACTCTCACTCCCCTTCGCAATGGAGTCCACTTCTACCCGTGTGGAGGGTATCCTTCCAGAATCATTTGCAAACAGTACACACACACACAGAGAGTTTTGTTTAGTTTTTATTTTAACTTAAATGTGAAGTTAGTTTCTCTCTTCTACAAAGGCAGTGATGTCCAAAAATATTTTCCACTTCATGACTCTCTTACAGTTTGAAAAATGTTGATGCCTGTTGTCAGAATCTTTACTCTTAAGAACCGTTAGTTTCTGGAAAAGTTTAATGAGGTATCATCTCCTCAGAGAGGATGGAGTGAGGCATCTGTGTGAGGCCTTTGGACACCACTCGTGTAGCCTGATAGACTGAAGTAAGATTCTGTAATTATGTCATACCTTGAAATGGGGAACCTGAGGAATCAGCCTGAGATGTTGGAGAGAAAGTGGAAACAGAGCGTCTGAGTTGGTCCCAGGGCCAGTCTCCTGCCCACATCCCTCCAGGATTCTGGGACATAAGCTTTTGTGTTTCCTCTGTGTCGTCCTGGATGCTGAGAGTGGGGCTGCTCAGATGGATGCTGGTAGTCCCCCGCCTGCCCAGCGAGGCCTCCTTGCCCTCACTGGAGCCATTCCCTGGTATTGACACATCTCTCCTTCCCCACCCCCAGGGGGACAGATATTTTTGTAGTTGAGGCAGAGGCCATGGGACAGACAGGGCCATTTTATTTGGGAGGGAAGGAGAGTTTAGAGAAAATGTGGAAAGCCTCTGCCTCCTTGAGGAGGTGGGGCTCTTCGCTCTGGCGTTCCCCTGTGCTCTGGATAGTGCAGCTCAGAGCTCACTGTCTGGGAGACACTCACTCCATTCCTCTCAGCCCTGCCGCCTCTGTGCCAGCCACTGCCTGTTCTCTGGGTTTCTCTCTCTGTCCCTCTCGTTACTGTGTAAATCGAGTCCTTGTCCATTTCTCGTAGGTCACTTCCTCAGCCTCACTTTCTAGTTAACAGTTTTCTGATTCTCTGAAATTATTTCCCATTATTCACTGTGTCTGATGATAACCTTCTCTTTTTCTCTTTCTGCAGCCAGGTTTGTATTGTGCCGTCTACAAGTGGCATAAACACAGGAACCCCTTTCCCTGTTCCTGGCCTGTGGACCTTTCTGTGAGGCATGGGGTAGCAGGAGAGAACAACAATGACAACGCCCTTTCAGGCTCCCTCTTCTCATGAACAGCTCCCTCTACAGCACAGAGAACAGTCTCTCCAGGCCTCTCTGGAAAGCAGCATTTTAAATTGCCTCACACCAGCTCCTGTCTAGAGTCCAGCCGAACAACAGAAGGAAAGTTCACCTTTACCAGTAACCCAAGAATTTCTAACTAGGGAAAAAATGGTGCCATTTTTTTCTACTGGATCACCTCCCGCTCCAGCGAAGATGAAAAGGCTAGCTAATTCCAGTGCTGGCATGGGTGTGAGCAAGCTGACAATGGGTAGGCTGTTGTTGGGATTATAGACCAATAAAACCTCACTGGATAATAGTTTAGCATTACAGATTTTTTTAAACCCTTTAACGTATATGCTTACATTTTACCCATCAATCCAAATCTGTCAGCTTATTCTCAAAAAATAACCATACAAGTTGTAAAATGTATATTAAAAGATAATGATCATGTCTGTTTTAATATGAATAAATTAAAAGAGCACATAAATACAAAATTATATTTAAAACTGGCTAACTTCGTTTTAGTACATCTATCTAATGGGCTGCATGAATACATTAGCAGCGTATGAAAGGAATATTTATTGATGTGGAAACATCTACTTCCTATATTACAGCAGGCAGTGTAAGCCTGATGTCTGCTTTGGTAGCATCTTAGTGGGGCACAGATTGTATGGAAACAGAAAGTTCATTTTAGCACAACAGCTATGGGTCAGGATTTTTTGTGGGCTGTTCTTGAGTAGAGTTAAACAGTTTTTGAGAAGCAAGCCAGAGTGTCTCTGAAGAGAACAGAGTGGTAGCTGTAGCAAGGATAGTCCTATGTCAGTGCTCACTCATGACACCCAGGTTGTGCTGAAAGGATTGTGATGACATTGTCAGAAGCATTCCATTGATGTGACATCAAGCTCCAGTTTTTACAGGACTGAAGGTTGGGATTTGTGGTGTAAGGCAAACTTAAGTACTAGAAAGGGCCTGTACTTCCTTCTGAAGTGTCTGAAGTGATACTTACTAGATTTTGTCAGTAATTAGTTAAATTCAGGGCAGTAGCTGTGGTTTGAAAAAGATGCACAAGGGAGTTTTGGTTTTTTCTTAAGTGGTAGAAGGAGATGACAGAGGTCAAAATTAATAAGACAAAGATCAAGTTGATCACATAAGCATTCTAGAAGGTGTTTTAATGTTTTAGAGGGTATCAAAGTGTGATAATGGAAAATAAAAAAGGTGCTGAAGAATACAAAAGTTAATCTTGTTCTGTCATCTTGAGCAGAAGCTACCAACTTCTGCAGTCAGCACTTTTGGAGGATTTCTAACAGCTCTCAGATTAGGAGCTCCTGGTGGGATGGATGCCCAGTGGTCAGGAAGGAGTGATGTGTGTCTCTGAAGTTGAGAAACATGAATCCAAGGATCAACACCTTGGAGTTCTACTGCTGTGTCAGTTAACAGAGGCTTAAGAGCAGTTTTTCTCTGGTGCCCTTTTCAGAAGACCAAATCCCCAGGTTACAGAGCATGCAGGGCCTGCACAGGTGGCTGTTGTAGAAATGCAGCGTTTACCTGTTGGTGATAAAGCTGGAGTTATTGTGAGTACCCTTCAGCAATGAATCATATCAGCTTGTACTCATAATGTAGAATCTAGGATTGCAAGTAGTGAGGAAGCCTGTTATGAATTCCAAAGGTGGCCACCTGTAGGTCCTGAAAATTGGTCTTACTTCCATCAACACCAATAGCACTCCTCAAGCCTTAGGAGTGTGAGGGTTTTGAGAGCTCTGATAATTATACTTTTAGAATTTTAGTTCTATCTTTTCCCTGAATTTTGTGGATGATAAAGGTCAGTAGAGATTCTGAGTAAAAAGTAAAGCATTGCAGGGTTCAGTAACAACAGTACCAGTGATATGTGTGTTCCTCTTAACTGCAAAATAAGTTGGGATTTTCCAAGTCAGAAATACAACAAAATTAAGCAAATTTGTTCCTACCACTATAGCTACCACTCTCCAGTAAGGTAAAACATCAACTAACCCTAAGAATAAACAACAATAATCAGAATGCACTCAGCACATTTGGAGACGTTCAAAGGGGCAGTGAGACTTCGGTTCCTGTCCATGACCTATCCTTAAAATCTTGCCAGGATTGTGTCATTGTCAGGTTGGACATATTTTGGAAATGTCTATGAAACCTCCTAAAATTACCCCCATCAATGTTGGTTCAATATCATGACAAATAAAAAAGAACAAGGTCATGTCCTTTGCAGGAACACGGATGGAGCTGGAGGCCATTATCCTTAGCAAACTAACACAGGAACAGAAAACCAAATACCACATGTTCTCACTTGTAAATGGGAGCTAAATTATAAGAACACATGGACACAGAGAGGGGAACAACAGACACTGAGGCCCGCCAGAAAGTGCAGGGTGGGAGGAGGGTGAGGATAAGACAAAATAACTAATGGATACCAGGCTTAATACCTGGGTGACAAAATAATCTGTACAACAACCCCTGTGGCATGAGTTGACCTATGTAGCAAACCTATACATATACCCCTGAACTTAAAATAAAAGTCAAAAAATAAAAAATAAAATAAAAATCATGGCAGATTTATCTCTTGTATTATGGGTAATATCATGAAGCACTTTTGCTAAATTCTACATTTATCATGGCCATTTCTTTAGGTAATGGAAAACTTCTCAGGGTTCCTTAATTTGCTATCCATTTTATAAGGATTCCTGTAACAGTCAGAAAATGTCCTTTTTTTTTAAAGCATTTCAAAATCATGGGCCAACCCAAAATCATACCCACCATCAGGACAAGTATTTGTTTTTTATCTTTTGTTGGCTGGCATGTCTGGACAAAGGCAATTTAGCCATCTGAACAGATTTCATTTCTTTGAGAAGCTTAAAGGTAAATTCAAGTCTGTGATAGTATAACATAATTGGCAACTTGTAGTTTTTCTTTTTAGGTATGAACCATCTACAAACAATTAAATGAGGGGTGTCCAAAAAATAAAATACTTGGGAATATACCTAACCAAGGAGGTGAAAAATCTCTAAAAGGAAAACTACAAAACACTGCTGAAAGAAATCATTGACAACACAAACAAATGGAAACACATCCCAAGATCATGGGTGGGTGGAATCAATATAGTGAAAATGACCATACTGCCAAAAGGGATCTACAGATTCAATGCAATTCCCATCAAAGTACCATCATCATTCTTCACAGAACTAGAAAAAATAATCCTAAAATTAATATGGAACAAAAAAAGACACCACATAGCCAAAGCAAGACTAAGCAAAAAGAATAAATCTGCAGGCATATTACCCAACTTCAAATTCTACTATAAAGCTATAGTTACCAAAACAGCATGGCACTGGTATAAAAATTGGCATGTAGACCAATGGAACAGAATAGAGAACGCAGAAATAAACTCAAATACTTAAAGCCAACTGATCCTTGACAAAGTAAACAAAAACATAAAGTGGGAAAAGGACACCATCTAGAAGAAAGAAACTGGATCCTCATCTCTCACCTTATACAAAAATCAACTCAAGATGGATCAGAGACTTAAATCTAAGACTTGGAACTATAAAAATTATAAAAGATAACATCAGTAAAACTCTTCTAGACATTGGCTTAGGCAAAGAGTTCATGAACAAGAACCCAAAAGCAAGTGCAATAAAAACAAAAATAGATGGGACCTAATTAAACTAAAAAGCTTCTGCACAGCAAAAGAAATAATCAGCAGAGTAAACAGACAACCCACAGGACGGGAGAAAGTATTTGCAAACTATGCATCATACAAAGGACTAATATCCAGAATCGACAAGGAATTCAAACAAATCAGCAAGAAAAAAAAAATAATCCCATCAAAAAGTGGGCAAAGGACATGAATAGACAATTCTCAAAAGAAGATGTACAAATGGCCAACAAACATATGAAAACTGCTCAACATCACTAATCATCAGGGAACTGCAAATTAAAACCACAATGAGATACCCCCTTACTCCTGCAAGAATGGCCATAATAAAAAAATCAAAAAAACCGTAGATGTTAGTGTGGATACAGTGAACAGGGAACACTTCTACACTGCTGGTGGGAATGTAAACTAGTACAACCAGTATGGAAAACAGTATGGAGATTCCTCAAAGAACTAACAGTACAACTACCATTTGATCCAGCAATCCCACTATTGAGTATCTACCCAGAGGAAAAGAGTTCATTATATGAAAAAGACACTTGCACATATGTTTATAGCAAAACAATTTGCAATTGCAAAAATATGGGGCCAGCCTAAATGCCCATCAACCAAAAAGTGGATTTTAAAAATGTAGTGTGTGTATACATATATATATCACATTTATATACACATATATATGTGATATATATGTGAGATATATATATATATATATAGTGAAATACTACTCAACCATTAAAAGGAACAAAATAATGGCATTTGCAGCAACTTGTATGGAATTGGAGACCATTATTCTAAGTGAAGAAATTCAGGAATGGAAAACCAAATATTGTAGTTCTCATTTATAAGTGAGAGCTAAGCTACAAGGACGCAAAAGTGTAAGAATGATAAAAGGGACGGTGGAGACAAGGGGGAAGTTGGGAGGGGGACGAGGGATAAAAGACTACACATTGGGTACAATGTACACTGCTCAGGTGATGGCTGCATCTCAGTAATTATCACTGAAGAACTTATCCATGTAACCAAAAATCACCTGTTCCCCAAAAACTATTGAAATTTTTAAAAGGTTAAAAAATAAAAATTTAAAAAAAGATCTGAAAGAGCATGATAGTCCCTTAACAGAGGTAAAGCCACCTCCTTTAAAAGAAGGAGGTGGCTGTGTGTAGAGTATTGCCACACTGGACAGTGATATGCGAAGGGGGAGGCAACGATATGTCACAGAGGGTAGGCAACTAGCAAAAAGTGGTGAGGATATTCTGTGAATATAAGCGTCCGCAGAGCATGGGGAACCACTAAGTTTAGCGGAGGCGTCAGAACTAAATCTACTGAAGTTGAAGTTTTCTCATATTTTTCTATCGCTATTATAACTCTTAGGGAGGTGGATAACCAAGAAGCGCTGACTGTTTTCTCTCAGTAAAACAGTGTTCACTATGGGGAACCATTCAGTTTGGTGGAAACTCTAGGACTAAGTTGGCTGAGGCTTCCACAAGCTTTGCTGCTGTTGTCATAGCTCTTGGACAGATATGTTTTGGCTACTGGCTCTAATGAAAGACTGAGATGGCCCATAGGCCTCTGCTCAGTGCTGCCCTGAGACGTACTGGAGACAGAGACAAAAGGAAAAATGTGTGCCCCTGTGTACACGTATTTCTGTATTTGCTAGTGGCTATTTTTTCCAGAACATTAAAGAAATATTTAAAATACTGAAAAATTGAAAAGTAGATTATTAAAACTCATATTAAGGTCACATATATAATTTCACTTCCCTGGATTTAATGGAAGTGAACTCATCCAAAACAATAAAAGACTGATAAATTGTATTATATAAAAATAAAATTATTTTATTATACAAAAATAAAATTATTTTATTATACAAAAATAAAATTATTTTATTCAAAAAAAAAAAGAAAAAAGAAAAGTCCTGGCCGGGTGCTGTGGCTCACGCCTGTAATCCCAGCACATTGGGAGGCCAAGGTAGGCAGATCACCTGAAGTCAGGAGTTTAAGACCAGCCTGGCCAACGTGGTGAAACCCCGTCTCTACTAAAAATTCAAAAATTAGCCGGGCGTGGTGGCGGGCACCTGTAATCCCAGCTACTCAGAAGACTGAGGCAGGAGAATCGCTTGAACCTGGGAGGGGGAGGTTGCAGTGAGCCGAGCCTGTACCACTACCCTCTAGCCTGGGCAACAGAGCAAGACTCTGTCGCAGAAAAAAAAAAAAAAATCCCAAAATAAATTAAACACTGAGAGAAAAGATCGGTAATATATAACACAGATACATATGTAATATCGCTAATATATAAATAACTTTTTCTACTCGATAGAAGTTTCAAAAACCTGATATAAAAATGGTCAAATAGTCAAAGACATAAACAGACCATTGACTGAAAAAAGAATTAAAATGTCCCGTAAACATGTGAAAAAACATTCAGCCTCAACTATAATAAGAGAAATGCAAATTAAAATAACACTGAGATATTATCTCTCACCTAGCAGATTGGCAAAAATGTAAACATACACTAACACGTTCTGTTGGCAAGGCTTGAAGAAAGTAGATGCTCAAGCATTTCTGATGGGAATGGAAATTAGTACAACCTTAATGGGGGAGAATTTGATGATATCAAACAAAATGGCACATGCTTTTCCCCCTTTTTATAATTTATCCTGGTAATACATATTCAAATATATACAAAAATACATATGTTTAAGGATTTTCATTGTAGCATTGTTTATAATTGAAAAATATTAGAAACAACCAAAATGACTTTACATAGGAAAATGGTTGAATGAACTATGGTACATCATCGAATGGAATAGTCTGCAGCTATAAAAATGAATGAGGATGACATCTATAAACTGATATAGAATGGCTCCCAAGATATGCTGTTAAATTTAAAAAGCAAAGTGTGAGAAAGTGTTTATGGTATGCCACGTTTTGTGCAAGAAAGAAAGGGGAATAAGAAAATATATATTTGTCTGCACAACTATACAAAAAGAAACTTAGGAAAGGAAACCCAGAAACTAATGAGATTGGTTCCATACAGGAGTGGGTGGAAATGGAGTGACTAAAGTTGCAGATAGCAAAATAAGTCACTTTTGTCAGACCCGAGCAAACTGGAGCCAGAACACACAAAGGAGCACAGCTCATGCTTGCACATCTGAGATAAGGACTATTTCAAGGACTTTCTAAAATAACTCCACGAGAAATTCCTTCATCTTTTATACATCTCATGCTTTTCATGATCTACATTTTACATGCATTTTACATTTTACATGCATGCACATATTTCTATGACCAGGTTTATCACTATACATTCTTTAGGACTGTAGCAATTCTGATAAGATGCTAGGCCGATGCCTAGCAGTGGCATCTCCACCAATGAACTGATGCTAATTCTAGCTTTGAGCCTCCAGAACCAATGAACTCTGTCTCCAAGCAGCTTACATAGCTTCTCCTTGCCAGTAAAAATTTCCCTTTACCTTTGGCTTGATGTACCTGTACCTATGGCTTGCTACAGCTGTGCTTCCCAGATTATAATCCTTTTGCTTACTCCCGAATAAACTCAACATATTAGGATATATTTTTCTCTGATGTCTTTTTTTAGCCTGATGGGTGAAAAGAATAAGATGGTGGGAGCAAGGTAGAGAAGATGGAGGGCAGTGACACTTCTCTGAGTTCATGTTTTTGTACAGATCTGTTCTGACTTTTACAACCATGTTAATGTTTCATGTACTCAGTTTTTCAGTAAATACAATCAACAAGGATAAAAGGAGGAAACATTAGCATTGAATACATATGGAAGCAAGTGTACCGAACTGTAGGTTAAGTGAATGACAAAACACAGTACGGGTAGGGGGTGATAACAGAAGTTTTGAAGCAGTACTTTGCCTCTGTATTCTCAGGCTAGGGCAAAAAGACAGTAGCAAATATTGAACTCTGTTTAATAGATTTGTTTCCCACACCAGCATGAGTTAACAATTCTGAAACTACATTCTGTGTATTCTAGGATTAAGCAAATAAGTAAATATACTGTGGGTAACTGAAACCAGGTTTTTCACGGTTGGAGAAGGAAATTACATATATGGAAAGAGAGAAGGTTAAAATGAACTCTAGAGTGTTGGATTGGAACTGGTCATATCAGTATGAACTCATGGTTTTTAAGAAAGATAGGTAGGTAAGTAGGTAGGTAGATAGATGAATGGATTTGCATGTGTGTGTGTGCATATTTACATAATATATATACTACACACACATGTGTGTATATGTATGACAGGGCCTAAAAATAACAACACTCTGGCAATGAACAGACCTATTCCAGGTCTTGGTTTGTTTTTATACACAATTCTCTGCTAAAAGGAATCAGGGTTTCTTAGAAAAATACCAGATTACAGAGTTTGAGCCGGGAAAGTACAAGATGAGCCTGGAATATCTTGTAGTAACAGAAAGTAAGGAAGTGCTCAAAAAGTAATAGCAGTGTGTCAAAAAGACACAAGAATCAACTTGGAGGAGCTCTCACAGGACTAATCTGGGATAATTTTGATCATCAAAATCACCAATGCTAGTAACAAAGCATAACTAATTAAATAAAATAAATATCTATGAATCCAGACTGACTGAATGGAAGATGGGTGGGTAGGTAGATGGATGGATGGGCGGGTGGATGGATGGATGGATGGATGGATGGATGGATGGATGGATGGATTGGGAGGGAGGGAGGTAAACTCTTCCTTACAGTAGAGTAACAACTAATAAATGTATGAGAAATAATGGAAGCAGAAAATTCACCATTTTACAACCATTATACCTCAAACACTAATCATCAAAGGATGCTAAAATTTAGTGGGTAAAGTCTGATGAGAAACAGAATATTTATATCATCTCAAAGTATTTCCCAAAGCTTAATTACCAAATGAAAATATTAACTTTGCAATGGCAGACAAAGCCTGGCAGACACCACCTTATCCAAGTGACCAAAGTTATTATCTCCAGCAGTGGGACAAAAACCAACATCATGTGCCTCCTGATAACAATGCACTGAGAAGGACACAATATCACTTCTGTGGCATTTCTGCCAGAAATACATAACTGGAATCTAATCATGAGGAAACATCAGACAAACCCAAATAAGGTCATTCTACAAAATAATTGTCCTGTACCCCTCAAAAAAGAAAAGTGAAAGAAAGACCAAGAGAAATCGGCTTAAAGAAGACTAGAAATGACTAAATGTAACATGATTCTAGACTAAATCCTAGACAAGAAAAATATGTATTTTTTTCCTTCTCTGGCTATAAAGACATAACTAAGACATTCGGTGAAATTTGAATAAGGTTTGTAAATTAGAGTATAGCATTGTGTCTTCTTAATTACCTGCTTTTGATAACTGTGTGATAATTTTATGAGAATATTTTTATATCTTGGGAAATACACAAGGATATATTTAGGGGTAACACAGCACATATATGTAGATCAGTATCAAATAGTTCAGAAAAAAATGATGTTGGGGAGGGAAAGAATTATAAGGTATATGTAGTTAAATATTAATATATATGGAACTTGAGAGGGGATATATGGAAATACTGTACACCAACTGTTACAAATTTTCTATAACTCTGGAATTATAAATAAAATTAAGTTTTTAAAAGAAAATCATGTAAGGCAGGAGGAAAGTAAAGTTAAAATAACCCAAGTTCCTTGAATGGCTCAGGAAAAGGAGTAAAGATTTTACTTATTTAAGTCAAAGAAAAATGTAGGAAATTGTAGGATAACCACTAAAGCGGTGGAATAAGGCAGTAAATCTTCCAAAGAACAGAGAAGAGAACTAGCTAGAGAATCTCTGGAAACCTGGGCAGGAGGGCAGCTTTGGCGCCAGCTTGATGATGGCCATCAGCTGCAGCCACAGTCTAGCTTGTGGCCAGACACACTCCAGTTGTTGCCAGCCCCTCCCTCACCCACTCACTATTCCTTGTCCTCAGGACTGACCCAGGAGTTTGTCCCTTTGAATCAGCCAAGGAGGACTGGCTCTGATGTAAGCCCTGCCCAAGGGGCCCAGAATAAAACAGAGGAGGGAGGCCTTCGAACACAGTGGGCAGCACTGCTCCATTTTTCCGACGCTGTGCTGGGCCCTGAATCAGGGAGGAGCCAGCTTCCAGGAGGTGAGCCTTTCAAGACAGCAGAGGGGCTGATGTGAGGGACGTGTCCTCAGACTGAGGAGTAAATGCTGGGTAGGTTGTTGTGGGGGTCGGAGGGGAGGTTCTTGGCCAATCAAGTGTGAAATTTTTTAAAAATTGCCTGAGGCAAGAGGAACACCTGAGCCCAGGAGCTGTGATCACACCAATGCACTCCAGCATGGGTGTGGGTGACATAATGAGAACCTGTCTCAAATAAAATAAGAATAAAAGTATATTGCCCTCCCCATCTCATTTTTCCACTATTGGTAGTAATGGTTCTGCAAGCGAGTACCTATGCAACCATTTAGAGGGAACACAAATGGGAGAGGAGCCTGCCTTCTCTGCCTTGAGGCTGGCAGTGGTGAGAAGCAGCCCCAGATTCAGACTGGGGATGTGAGCATGGAAAGCAAAAGTAAGATTATAATCCTAAGAATCAAAACAATAAGCAGGAAGTCTTTGTAATCAGAAAGTTCTGGTAAATCTGAAGGACTCCCAGCTCTGGGGCAGCTGGACACTTCGATTTCCCTCTCTAACACCTGGCAGAAGCTCACAGCAAAGAAGCATCCCCACACCTGCTGGCCCGCACCAGTCTGCCCATATGTCTTCCTGGATGCTGGTGTGGGGGTGACGAGATGGAACCAGAGTTTCTCCAAATGTCTGCATGAGCAGCAAACCGCCTCCTACACACATACCCCTAAGAGCCCTCTGAATCATGGACCTGGGAGAGGAACTTTCATTCCTTTGTTTATCGTAGTAAGGGCAGTGCACAGACTTCAAGTCCTGGAAAGCACAGAGTTTTAACTATGCTCCTCCACAGCCACAATAGGGCCTGGCACAGAGTTGGCTCCAGAAGAATCACCAGCCTCTACCCAGTCTGGATCTCACCTCCCTACAGAGGCCTTAGATCCAGAAACAGCCACGACTCCTTTGTGCCCCATCCCCCAATTCAGGTCTTAAACCTCCCTGTCATCTCACTGACCTGCCAAACAAGTCTGACTTAAAGATCTAACCTTTCGCTAGAGGGTTTTAGGGTTTCAGTGTAAATAATTCTGTGGCATGACCAGACTGAACTCAACTGCGCATGGCCCCCGCAGTTGCAGACCAAGCCTACCCCAAACCTGCATACACAGAAGTGTGCACGCACACTGATGGGGGGACAAGGAAAATGGGAGGATCTGTAGCTGAAGGATGACCCACAGCTGCTGTGGGACAGCAGTGGCTGCAGCATGAGGACAGCTCTGGAAGAAGTGACTCAGGTTAGCCAAGCCAAAAGCCAATCAGACTTCCTTACCAGGAAAGAGGCCGCTAGGAGTCAGTGGGGTGGACCTTTAGGATAATTCCAATGGAAGGGAGGATTCTACCCAGGAAGAGGAACCAAGGTCTCACTTGGACTCACCACCCCATGGAAGAGAAGTCTCTTCCAGCAAAGAACTGAGTCCTGACAATCCCATCTTCCTCCCTGAGCTGTCACCTCCACCACAGTCTGCTCCCAGTCACCTTCATGAGAGTCCTCTGGACATTGGAGTCTTCCTTGCACCCTGGACACCAGCACCTGCCAGAGCCACAGCCCTCAGCCTCTGGGCTGCTAACTTCAGGCCACATGATGGTATTCCCCTCTCTCAAATTTAGAACATCAGTTGCTTCAGAAGAAATTCTTCCCATGCCCCCTGCTTAAAGGAACACAGGGAGGCTGAGGGAGGAGCAGAGGTGACAGGAGGAAGAGAGGTTGTCTCCTGGAAGTATGCTCCAGACCCCCAAAAGGCACGTCAGCCCTCAGGTGAAGGACTCCCACACCACCAAGCCTCTGCAGCCCTGAGGCCCCCCAGACCCACTGACAGCAACAGGCAGCCGAGCTGGGAGAGCTGAGGCAATCCCAAATTACCACTGAGTCTTGATGAAATGGCCTGCGTGGAAAACGTCTTGCTCCAAACCACCAAGGAGGCATGGCTTATTCACCAGCTCTTACAAACTTCAATTTACCTCCATTTTTGGAAAACAGTTTTTCTCCAAATTTAACAACACAACTTACGGACCAGGTAGCTGATTCCAGCCCCATCCCCTGTACCCAGATTCCTCCCTAGGGGCTCCCCTTCATCACATAGCTTCCTGTGCCCACTCTAAGCCAAGATCGAATCCACGTGGCCCAGCTGGGCCCCAACCTCCCCAACCCTTTCTCACTGCCCCTACAGATTAACCCAAAAGCTGTTTCTCTTCTAAGAGACTTTTCCTATTGGTTTTTGATCAGGGGACTGGGGCCACAAGAGGCTACATAGTCTCCTGACCCCTCTCTGACACCTTCCCCAGAAGAGGAGGCCCGAGGCCACCTCCTACTGAACTGCCACCTGCCCCACCGAGAACCTGAAGATTTGGTCTCACAAAGGCCTCTCCACTGGCCCAAAGGCAGAGTCAGAGCAGATGGTTCAGGAAATCTGCCCACTCCAGGGCCCTGCAGGCTCAAGGGCACCACTTGCTGTTTGAGGGGCTGCTGAGCATCTAATGAGATATAATATGAAAGTGCTTTGTGAACTGAAAAGCATCCTGCAGACACTGGAGGAGTTCAGGGGGAATCCAGGAACGTGATCAGGTGCTGAACCAGCAAGGGAGGCACTCAGGAACCTCCTGGGAGAATTCTGCCTGGGATTGTGCCACCCAAAAAGGATTCTTGGGAAATGGGGTCCGTGCCAGTGATGGAAGCAGGCCTGCCCAGCAGAGATACCCACGTGCAACCACTGCCAGGAACAGGCCGCAGGGAGATTAGCTTTGGCAGGAACTGGCAGAGGGAAGCAGGGACCTCGGCCTGCCAAGTGCCCACAGAGGGGAGAGGGGGACTGGATCCCAGCCTTGGCAGGAACGAGCTCCCAGTAGGACTCGGCTCCCAGGAGTGAGGCAGGCAGCTGTGCCAGGTCTCGCGAAGGAAGGAGGGTAAGAAACTGTTGGTCTGCAGGGCCGCACTCATGGGCCTGCCCTCTGGCAGAGGGGGTGCCAGAGTCTCCTCTGGGATCTCCCTATGGGATGGATTTGGCACTCACAACCCTCTTCACGATAGCCGAGGAAGACTGCAGGCCTGCCAGGTCTTGCCCTCTGTCCCCGCTGCAAAGCGGCCAGGCACCCAAAACAGAATTCTTCACCCTACTGTCCCCTTCCTTTACCAGGGGTGATTGTCAGCATACATAACGACCGATACCGTTCACAGTGCAGGCAGGGTTCCCACAAGCCACCACGGGACAGTGACACTGGGGAGGCACCATCCAGCAGACACAGCCTCAGGAGCCAGAAGTGTATATGGGGATTCCAGCACTTCCCCTGGGGAAGTGAATTCCCACTGACGTCCAGGTGCATACCCTGGTCAAGAGGACACATAGGGACTGGGGTCAGAGCCCAGGGAATACACTGGGCAGACAGTGTATGGGCCAGTGAGCACCAGCAAGGTTCCAAGGACAAGGTGGCTGGGGGCCTCAGGGAGCCTGGGGCCTCAGCCATTTCCAAATGACAACTAGTGTTTCGGTATTTCAGTAACTGGCCCTGCCCTACTTGACACATAGTCTAAATATCAAGCCTACCCTTCCCACCTCTAGCTCTTCCTGACATCCACCACCTGTCTCCCACATGAGGGGCTCCCAGGGCACAAGACTGTAGAATGAGCCATCCAACAATCCTGTGACCTGCTTCCTCAACCCCCACACATTAATGACACTCCAGCCTTGGCCATGACCAAGTGCCTCTCCCTTCCTCATATTTCTACCCTACTTACACTTTCATGACCGCAAGTTCATATGATCCTTGCCCCAAGAGCTGAGTTTGTACCAACAAGTATTCCCTTTCAGCAGGGATACTGTAGCCAGCCTACCCATGGCCCTGCTCCCACCTCTGTAAAGCCTTGAGAGAACCTGAGGTTCACCAGGTCATCTTCCCACCCAAACCACACTCTGTTCTGTCCCACCCCCTGGAATATCACTCAGCCTTTCTTATCCAAGGCCTTCCTGCAGGCTGTACTGTGAGGCATACTACACACTCTGCACCCAGACTTTCTTTTCTTCCTTCCTGCCTCACCTAGGCCTGGTTGTGGAAGGTGGTGGGGGCATGGGGGCACTCAATACTTGAAAGATTCCTTAAGGAGTATTCCACCCAAGATACTAATAAGGATGGAGAACTGATCTGCCCAAGGCCACAGTGAATTAGAGACTGAGCAAGAAGGTAGAGCCCACATCTGACTCCTGTCTAGTTTGTTTTCTTCAGCAGCATAGACAAGAAGCCTATCTCTGCAAACCCAGGACAGACCCTCCTCCCCTGAGCAAAAGGAAATCCTCTCTTTTCAGCTCCTGCCAAGGTGTGGGCCCTTAGCAAACAATAGGCCAGCTGAAGGCCTTGGAAACAATGCAGGCTAAAGAGAGGGTCACCATGAGCAGACCTGCAGGTCTGTCTACCTGGAGAAGTGGTTTGTTTGCTCTACTTGTCTTGTTTTTTGTGTGTAGGGGTGGGGGAGGTGAGGAGGCGGTGTCGGAAGGGCAGTACCACCAAAGTGGCTAACATTTTCCAGACAGCAGCCTGGCCCCAGTGCCACTTCTGTACCTTCAGGAACACAGCGGCCATGACTGGTGCTCAATGTGCCCAAGTTTACTGCATTGTAATGTGTAAGAAGATGCTATGATGGTTGCAATCTTAGAGGGTAGACTAGGTGCAGAGAGGGACAGGGGACTTGGGAACTGCCTCCCACTACCCCTATAAAAATATCTGCCTGATAACAATTTGGGTTGGGTGACTTATAAAGGAAAAAAGAAAAGAAAATCTCTGCCTGACAGCCACAAAAGTGCTGCTGCTCATGCCAATACACCTCATTCCCTAATTCCAAAATGGCTAGCAAGGTCCCAACATCAGCCTTTTCCAAGAACAGTCTCCTTCAGAGTTATTATCCTAGTACACGGTTCAGAAAAGGTCCTCAAAGCAGCCAATCTTGGCTTTAGATGATGATAGTGATACTTTAAACAAAAACATGAAAGAATTCAAGTTCCTTTGTAATCTAAGCAACCCACACCTTGAGGTTGGCCTGCACATCTGAAAGGGAAATCGAAAACATTTTATAAAATACAGCATTTTAAAGAGCCAGGGAGGTAATTTTGAAAAAGGGACCAGAAACTTCCCTTTCAGTTAAGACTTCTTGCCTTTTTCTACAGAGTGGTGAAGTCTTCTCTATACCACTCCAGTCTAACGTGACCCTGACTACCAGCACTCAGGGGTGGATGGGGAGTGGTTACTACTGTCAGGAACCCATCTCTTGTGGATTAAAGTCTTCTGTGCCCCCCCAAATTCCTATGCTGAAGCCAGAACCCCCAATGAGGTATTAGGAGGTGGGGCCTTTGGGAGGTAATTAGGTTTAGACTAGGTCAAGAGGGTGGGACCCTCCTGATGGGATTAGTGCCCTTATAAGACAAGGAAGAGATCTCTTGTCAATGCAATCTGACCACACAAGCATCAGGCATCACAGTCCAGAGGGGGCACAGTATAAAGGGGTGAGGACCCGGGTATTGAGTAAAGATGAGCTATTTGCAGGCAGGTAGCATCAGAGCTTTCTGGGCCAAAGCAATAACGATACAACAAAAAGGAAAGGCAGGCAGCAGATCCTGCACAGTTTGGGCCAAAGGGACCTCACAAGCACAGCCCTGCTCTATTACGCAGTGAGCGCACGCTCCCACCAGGCCTGGTGGGCACAGCAGCTGAGGCTCCCTTTCTCAGGAAAGAGAGGCTATTCAGAGAGCTACTGCACTGCCTGAGACCCTCGGCTACTTCCACAGATGCCGCTAACAAGTGAAAGTAGACTTTAGGATGCTGCTTTCATAGTTAAGGATTAATTGGGTTTAAGGCTAGAACTGGAATTGGTCATTGAGTTTTAAAGACTGTTGCCAGATAATAAAGTTGAAAAATACGAAGCATCCAAAAATCTGAACGCCCAAGACCTTTTCCTACAGCTCTATCAGCCTCAGAGCACTCCTTCAAGATTTCATTGCTATTAAAATAGCTGAGTGAGGAAGAATCAGGACCAGCGCGGCTCCGCAGTCCCTCCCTACTGGCTCCCCGCCCACTAACTTGCAGATCAACTGTGCTTTCCTCGTTGGCACCCACCCCAGCCCCCGCTCAGGCCCCGGCAATGAGACCAGCGAGCGGCGGTCAGAGTGGCGCACCCGCGCTCGACTGCTGCTGTCGGCCCCGCCGGGCTCATTCAGTGGACTCGGGCGCCCCCGTGAGGCCGCGGGTGGGCGGCGCACCTAGCTAGTGCGCCCTGGGTCCCGGCGGCAAATCCTCGCGGCCTGGCACTCACTTGCGCGCCATCTGGACTGCCGCCCTCTTCCCCCGAGCCTCGTCAGCGCCCGGCGGATCGGCTGTTTGCTAGGTCGCCGGGGTCCCTAGGGCCGAGTCGGCGGTGGCCGGCCAAGCAGAGCTAACGAGACCCTTGGGAGGGCAGCTGCGGCAGCCGGGCCATGGCAACTTGTCGCGCTGCCGCCGCCGCCGCGGCCGCCGCAGTGTAGGCTCGGCAGTGCCCCCAGGCCCCGCACCAGCCCGCGACCTGCTCCGCCGCCGCCCTTCTCCCAGTCCCTGCCCCGCTGTCAGCGGAGGCCCCCACGAGCTCTACACTGAGCGCCTCCCCGCACTGCCCCGCGGCGAAGTCGCCGTAGAGGAAGACCGGGCTGGGGGCAAAGGGGCGTCAGCCCTGCCCACTCCCAGTGCCATCCCCGAACGCGCCCTCCCCGGCCCCTCCAAAAACCTGGGTGTGGCCGTCCCCTGCCTGGGGCCCTCATTGAACCGAGGCCTCATCCATCTTTAAAAGGGAATGGGGAGGGAAGGGAAAGAGCCAGTCGCCCTCTGGCGCCCAGCCTGGGATGTGAGGGTGCTCCACTGACACACTAAAGTGAAGGGCCCCGGAGCTACCTACTGAGCTCCCCATCTGGGTGGGGAAAATAATGGTGTTATTTCATAGGGGTGTCACGGCGATAATAATCTAACGTTTATTGTCCATTTGCCAGGAATTAGGCTGTGTACGTTACTCCAGTGACCTCATTTAGTTCTTACAACACTGATGGCCCCATCATGAGTGTACGTTTATTCCCATTTTACATATGGGAAAACTGAGGCCTAGATTCATATGACTTGACCTGAAGGCACACAGCCAGTGACAAAGCCAAAGCTCTTTACCCCAGTGTTTTCTCTTTTTTAATTATTTTTGGTACAGACAGGGTCTCTCTATGTTGCCCAGGCTGGTCTCAAAGTCCTGGTCTCAAGTGATCCTCCCACTTAGCCTCCCAAAGCACTAGAATTATAGGCATGAGCCACCACGCCCGGCCTACCCCAGTGTTTGAGAAAGTGTCTTCCAGGAGTCACAACTCCTCAGAACAAAGGATTTCATGGCCCAATAATTTGGGGAAACACTGCATGTTGTACTTCCCTCTGCTTTTGTGGGGTCTGACAACGTTTAGTGAGCTTGAGTCTCTCCAAGAAGAAAAGTGTTTAACTTGGTTTGATTCAGTGTTTTCCAAACTTATTTGAACAGAGAACACTTTTAAAAAAGACATCCCACAGGATGCTAATAAGAATGTCTTTTTAAAAAGTGTTTTCTGTGTACACTTTTAGACACACTTGTCTCCTCAGTCTCAGATGAAACAATAGCTGTGGGAGTCTTTGTATCCTAAAAAGTGCTGTAAAACTATGAGGGCATGTTTTATTGTTGCTAGTGTTATCATAATCATCTTCATTATTTTTAGGAATTCTGTCTGTAGCCTCCTGGGACTCCACTCTGTGGTGCTGAATAAGAATAACTAACATTTACTGAGCGTTGCCTATGTGCCAAGCACTGTTCTAAGTGCCTTCCGTATATTAACTAATTTATTCCTTAAAGCTACCCAGGTATTATGGCCATCTGAGGAAAAAAGACACAGAATCTGAGGATCCTATGAGTAATAGATGTAAAATCCTTAAAAGAAAGCCCTTACAAGTGCTACGCAAGTGCTTGCCATTATCATTATCCCCATTGCACAGAGGAGGAAACTGAGGCACAGAGCAGTTAAGTGACTTGCTCTAGACCACACTAATAGTAAGTGAGTTGGAACCCAGGCAGCCAGGGGCAGGGCCTGTCCTGGTACCCACTGTGGTATCCTGCCTCTGTACCAGCCACGGAAAGGAAACCCCAGGTTTGCACCCTCATCAGCAAAGCCAGAATTTCCTGTGAGTGCCTCCTGTCTGCGTAGGACCTCCTCCCCCATCTGTCCATCATAACCACCGCCACAAACACCCTCATAGAAAAAGAAAAGGGACAAAATTTGGGGTTAGACAACCCTGGATTGGACCCTGACCTAATAATTTACTGGCTGAGTGACCTTAGACAAATAACCATCAGTTTCCTCTTCAGTAAAAAGAGCGCCTCATCTACCTCACAGGTTTGTGTGAGGATAGACTAACATCCTGGATATAAAGCACTTTGCACAGGGCCCAATGCCTACTTCTGCTTCTGCCTCCTCTGAGAAGACTTCCCTGACTGTGCCTCCCTCCCCCTAGAAGGGATCAAGGCCCCTCCACTGTATTCCCCTGCTTATACCCCACCTCAGCCTGCCAAATCCTTGGTCTTGAAATTATGGCTTCATGTGTCTGTCTCCCTCACCTTCACAAAACTGAGTTCCAAAAATCAGTCTTCTTCACTGCTATATCCCCAGGTTCTAGCACTACCAAGCTCAGCACACAGTAGGAGCTCAATAAATGTTTGCTGACTGAATGACTGAATCATAACCAGAAGGATAGCTGATATTAATTATTGAGAGCCTGCACTAGGCCATGTTCTATACATTTCATATAGATTCTAACTCATTTAACACAACAATCATATGATGTAATTACTAGTGTTTTCCCATTTGAGGAAACTGAGGCACAGAGACATGCCTAGTAAATAGTGGAGACAGAATGTCCACCCAGTCAGTCTGGCTTTAGAATCTGCAAGCTTAGTAAGTGAGTGGACAGATGGGTGCCAGCCTACCTACCCTCACAGGGCTGCCGAGAAGGCCAGACGACACTAAAGTACTGCATACGCATGAAGCCTTCTTGTGACTAAGCCCCGGGAAAGGAAGGAGTTCCAGCTCAGACCCTGCTTCTCCCTGGGCTTTTGTTTCCCATCTATGCAGTAAGGACTGGACTTGATAATATCAGGGCTCTTAACACTCTCAGTGGTGCCCGTCTGCAGGCCTAGGGTGTTAACAGAGCAGGAGAAAAAAAAGATAGTTGAGCCAAGAGAGACCTATAAACAGTGTGGTTGCTAGGCCAGCCCAGCCTGGAGCAGAGGGCAGGCCAGTGGCCAGCAGAGCCAGGAGGGGCCACGCAGCTGCCTCTGAGCACCCAGGTCAGAGCTGGCTCTCATTCACCAGGAGTGAGGGTCAGAGTCAAGGTCCTGGCCAGGCTAATATGATGCAATAATTAAGGACAATAATGATCATTTGAAAGGAACCATCACTTTACAGTTTGTGTTATTTTCATCTGGGCCTCACGCCAAGCCTGTGATTATTATCGCTGAAAACTAAGACTGAGAGAGGCCTGGGGCTCAGTCCAGGGTCACACAGTGGGGCAGCGTCTAGACCCCACATAACCTGTTGATTAGCTGATCACTTAAACTGCAGCAAGTCATATTTTAGAAATTGCTGGTTCTTTAAGGAGTGAGCAGGCAGGACCCAGGTGGCATGCCTGGGCTACCAGCAAGTAAGAGAAGTAGCCATTTTCACTCATTAAAAGTTTGGCCATGCAAGCAAAGTGGTCACATGGGGCAGGCCCATATCCTTGGGGCTCAGGTCGCAGCTGGACCTGGCATCAGCTCAGGCTGCTGTAACTGGGCCCCAGGTGTCCTGTTGAGCCCAAGTACCCCTGGGAGACTCCCAGGCCACTGAGGTCCAGCTCATTATGGCCTAATTGTTGGCAAATCACTCAGCTGACCTCAGGGACAGAGAGCCATAAGCTCACAGTGAGAAAAGTTTGAGGAGCTACAACTTTTTCCCATGCGGCCCACAGCTTTCTCCACGGTGGCCGAAACTTTTCCAGCCCTTGGGGGGCACAGAGCTTTCTCCAGGTTGCCCAGGCACACCATGGATACGCTGCTGTCACCGCTGGGGCTGGTACAACCCTCAGCTGCAGCCTGGCGGTCTGAGGCACAACTGGGCTCCCCAGAGCCTCGACGATGCTCTCAACCTGGCAGGGGGTGCCCTAGCCCTATCCTCTACTCCTCCCAGCCCATCCTGGGACACTAGGTGGGACTTAGTCACAGCCAGGGCCGAGCACTGCATGCCTGAAGGTGCAGAGATGTCTGGTTGTCAATATGATGATGGGCCCCCAGTCCCACTGCAGTTCACAGAGGCCATTCACCCACCTGAGCCCGTCTTCAGGCATATAGTTTTCGGCCCCGGCTGTGACTAAGTCCCACCTAGTGTCCCAGGATGGGCTGGGAGGAGTGGAGGATACGGCTAGGGCACCCCCTGACAGGTTGAGAGCATCGTTGAGGCTCTGAGGAGCCCAGTTGTGCCTCAGCAGAAACAGAGAGCTTGCTATGGAAACTCAACTTCAAGATGCGTCCCACAACTCCCTTTCAATCAGATGGGGGCCCACATTCTCTCTGAGAGAGAAATCCTCGAATGCTCCCCCCTCTCCCCCTCACAGACCCTTAGGAAAGGCCTGAGCTCAGTGGTCCCAGCTAAGTGTGATGGACATTCGGGATGGGACCAGGGCCAGGTGGCTCTGGCCTCCATTTCCTAGCGGGTCTCAACCCCAGGTGGTAGCAGGAGGGAGCTGGGCCTGGGACCTTCTTACGGCCCTGAATCACTGTTGGCTTCTTGATGACCACTGACTTTCCCAGCCAGTCCCTGCCAGGACCAAACCTGCAGGAGTCGGGGACTCTGGGGGAGGAGGAGGCTGAGCATTCAGATGGGGAAGGCCTGAGGAAGTGACCCAAGTTGATCCAAGGTCCTCTGGAGAATATTAAAGGGAGCTCAGAGGAGCCACACACAGCCCCAGATTAAATGTGGGAACCAGCAGAGTGGGGTTTAGAGTCAGGCAGCCCAGATTCAATCCCAGCTCTGCTACTTCCTGGCTGTGTGGCCATGGGCAATACCTTTCCCTGTTTCCTCTTCCCTAAAATAGGGATAATCATAGGACTAACCACAAAAATTAGACATAAGGTTTTAGCTAATATTTATATAGAGTCCATAATGTATGTTAGTAATTGTGCTAAATAAATTATAGGTATCACTTCATCTAATCCTCTGAACACCGCTGCGAGGCTTCACTTGTTTGGAGCTGTATGTTACACCCTAGCCTAGTAAGTGCTCAATAAACATGTGCTGACTGAGTGAATCAATGAACGAAGATGTCAGTGCTATTTTTATGCCCATTTTTCAGAAGAGCACTCTGAGGCTCAAAGACAGGAAGCAACTTGCCAGGACCACACAGGGCCAGAACCAGATCCCAGGTCTCCTGCCTCAGGCCCTGACACCAGCATGGCCCCACAGACAGTCCTATGGCTGGGGCAGAGGGGTGCACCAGTGATGTCTGAGGATGAGGTACCTCAAACTACCTACCCACAGGCACAGGCTGCACCTTCCTCAGGCACAGTCCCTCCAGCAAGACATGAGCCCGGGTGGCCTTGGACACATGTGGTGCTTGGGTGCCACCTTGTGGCTCTGGGCAGTGCAGGCTGAACCTGGCCAGACCAAGCAGCCTGAAGCTGCTGGGCCAGTCCCATAACCAGGAGAGGCCAGAGAGCCACCAGTCCACAGATCCTGTGCAGGGCCCCAGCCTAGTCATGGATAGAGAAGGACAGACTTCTCCAAAAGCTTCATTCAAAGACCAAAAAGCCCCTGGAACCCAATAATTTGTGTATGGGTGGGAGAGGGGCTAGGGTTATACAGCTGGGTTGCTTCTGTGTCCACCAGGGGCCTGAGGCCTCCTGGCTTTCTGGGGCGCCGAACCCTGAGGGCCTCTCGTCTGCCCCTCCCACACAACACACACGCAGGAGCCGTATCATGCCTCTTGCCAGATTTCCCACTGCCTACAGCCTGAGGTCATTGGGTCTGCAGCCTAGTTTCTTAAGGCTAGGATGCCCAGCCTGAAGGCCCATCTAGCAAATAGTTTCCACCTCTCCTTCCTGTACATTAGACCCATAAAGAGGCAGGCCCTGACCAAGATCACACAGCAAGGCCATGGAGGGTGGGCTCCACGCCAAGGCCTTCAGACTGTCAGGCCAGTGGATTCTCAGTAAGGCCCCTTCTCTCTTAAAATTAAACAGCACAGCAAGTGCTTTAATTCAGTCACGCATTCATTCAACCTGATGATCCCTGCCCCCATGGACTCAGAATAGAGTGTCCCTTCCCATGTCACAGTCCTGCAGGGGTCAAGGGACTACCACCCACCTGTGCCCAGGCCAAGCATCTTACAGGAAAAAAAAGTGTAGGGAACAGAACCACGCTTTATTTCAAGTCCCAAACCTGCCACTTACTAGTACTGAGCCTTGACTAAGGACGACCTCTCTGAGCCTCAGTTTCTTCATCTGTAACATGGGCTTGATATTCGCTACCTTGCAAGGGGTTGCGAGGTTTAAACAAGATATGGCATATAACACCCCAAATGAGGGACCTGGCCAGGGCAGGAGCTGATTAAATGGGCTCTTCCTTCCCTGTAGCCCCTGGCCTGCCAGAGGTGGGGCCAACTGAAGGAGACTAGAGGAGGCTGAAGCCCTCCAGCCACAACTCATAACAGGGACCTGATGCCCAAACTTCCCAAAGTCAGACCCCAGGCTCAGGCAGATCAGGGCAGACTCTTCAGAATCAGGCAGTTGGTGCCCCTCTTCCTCAGGGCCCTGACTTTTCTCCTTTGGGGCTTAAAGAATGGATCCCCAGGTGAGTCTGCTAAGGAGGAGAAGGTGCCTGGTGCAGGGAGGCAACCTGGCTACAGGCAGGGGTCAGGGGCCAGCCTGGCTCCGCTCATCACCTCTCACTGAAAGACCTCTAATCAGGCCCCTTCCCCTAACTGAGGCAAGGCCAAGGCCCTGAAGCTTGTCTGGAGGAATTCGCCCCCACCCTGCATGGGAGATTTGAGAGCTACCCCACTGAGAAAAGGAAGCCTCCTCATCTGGGCCAGGGGCCTACTTGCCTGCCGCCTCATGGAAGGTATTTACTGTTTTGTGCCGCTAACAGAATACCTGAGACTGGGAAATGTATAAAGAAATTTATTTGGCTCACAGTTCTGGAGGCTGGGAAGTCCACAGGCATGGTGCCGGCATCTGCTCAGCATCTGGTGAGGGCCTTCTTGCTGTGTCATCCTGCAGCAGAAGTGGAGGGACAAGAGAGCATGAGAGAGGAAGGGAAAGGGGACCAAACTCATCATTGTATCAGGAATCCATTCCTGTGATAATGGCATTAATCCATTCATGAGGGCAGAGTAATCCATTCATTACATAATCACCTCTTAAAGGTCCCACCTCTCAACATTGTTTCATTGGAGATTAAGTTGCCAATACATGAACTTTGGGGGACACATGCAAACCAAACCAGAAATTTTCTTTGGCCCACTTTCCTAGAAGAGCAGCTAAGGTTGGAGAGGCCAGAGGATCCCCCTGAGGGGACAGAGACCCATTTTTAAGACTAGATACAGCAGGATAGGAGGTATTAGCCTGAGTGAGTAGGGTGGGCAAGAGGAGAGGAGACCTGGCTTGTCCTGGTCCCATGCCTGCCTCATTTGGAGAAAACAATCTGCCCCCAGTGCCAAAAGCTCCTCCAGCTCCCAGCAATCAGGGTGAACTCAGGAGATAGGAGTCAGGGGGCCAACTCCAGACCTGGTTCTGTTACCAACTGGCTATGAGATTGCTCACTCCAAAGCTCAGTTCCCTCATCTGTAAAGTGGGTTGGTACCACCTACCTCCCAAGTGTTCGAAAAATCAAGTCAATTGGGGAACATGAAAGAGCTTCCCAAACTACAATCATACAAAATTCACTAGAAACATCACAAGTTTGATGCAGGAAGGGAAAGGCCATGAGAAGCCACCAGTCCAACATCTACCTTCTATGGAAGAGGAAATAAGAGTCCCTGGCCCAAGGGCACTTGCCAGAACCTGTGTCAGATCTCAAGCTTCTTGACTCGCTTCTCCTCTCTGCTTCCTTTCGGTGTACCCAGGCTGAGGCCTTGTACACTCAGTTTCCCAAGGCTGGGTGGTTGGGGTTGGTGTACAAAAAGGAGTTACAGATTAGAAGCTCTTAGAAGTCCTGCCCAAAGTTAGAGTGGATTATGCAGCCTGCAAACCAATGGTTAGCAGAGGAAGGGGTTGACTGAGAGCATCAGCTTGCAACTCCACCCCCCACCCCCAACAGAGGGGTGACAGTACATTTCATATGGCCTGAGGAAAGGCTACCCAACCTACAGCCTCTGCAGCTGCTGGATGATCCCAGGGTCAAAACAGAAGCCATTGGCACGGATTCCAGTGCCCCCAGCAGCAGTTACTATGCATTTCACAAGCCCTGAGGACAGACTCCCCTGCCCCACAGCCACTGCCACTGCCAAAGCACAAGCAAAGTGCATGCTCCCCAGCTCCCTGCCTACTGCTGCCAAAGCACAAGCAAAGTGCATGCTCCCCAGCTCCCTGCCTACTGCTGCCAAAGCACAAGCAAAGTGCATGCTCCCCAGCTCCCTGCCTACTGCTGCCAAAGCACAAGCAAAGTGCATGCT
Source organism: Homo sapiens (assembly GCF_000001405.40). Classification (NCBI taxonomy): domain Eukaryota; kingdom Metazoa; phylum Chordata; class Mammalia; order Primates; family Hominidae; genus Homo; species Homo sapiens. Next base: position 4,179,231 of record NC_000011.10, on the reverse strand, counting down.
CCCCAGCTCCCTGCCTACTGCTGCTGCCACTGAAAGCAACCCTGTGCTCCCCAGTAGCAGGGTGGCAGTGACACCTCCACCCCAACATACCACCAGGAGCCTAGGGATCACCTGCCTCTGCCTAACACAGCCAGTGCCTACACACACTACTAAGGGGCCTAAGGAGCCAGGCCTGGCTCCACTCCTCCTTCCCAGTGCCTAAGCATGTCATCTTTGGGTATGGGAATCACCCAACCCAGTTCATCACCTTTGGCACCCAAACACTTTCCCAGGGCCTGAGATCAGGCCCACCCAACCTGCCTCTACCACCACAGCTGACACCCACACATACGTACGCACTATGTGCCTAGGGACTGGCCTCCCAAGCCCAATGCAGCCACCAGAAATTATTTAATAAAATCATGTATCAATAATAACCTTGAATACAAACAGATTAAACTTTCCAAATAAAAGACAAAGACTGGCTAAATGAATTAAAAAACATGACCCAACTATATGCTTCCTAAAAGAAACTCACCTTATGTATAAAGACACATATAGATTTAAACTAAAGGGATGAAAAAAGTCCATGCAAATGAAAACCAAAGGCAAGCAGGAATAGCTGTACATATAAGAGATAAGACAGACTTTAAGTCAAAAACAATAAAAAGAGATAAAGACAATCATTATATAATGATAAAGGGATCAATTTGGCAAAAGAATATAACAATTCTAAACATATATGCACCCAACATCAGAGCACCCAGATATATAAAGCAAATATTATTAGATGTAAAGAAAGAAGTAGACTCCAGTACAATAAGAGTTGTGAACTTCAACACCCCACTCTCAGCATTAAACAGATTATCTAGACCAAGCTTGTTCAACCTATGGCCTGCAGGCCACATGCAGCCCAGGATGGCTTTGAATGCAGCTCAACACAAATTCATAAACTTTCTTAAAACATAATGAGAGCTTTTGCAATTTATTTTAAGCTCATCAGCTATTCGTTAGTGTTACTGTATTTTATGTGTGGCTCAAGACAATTCTTTTTCCAATGTGCCTTAGGGAAGCCAAGAAATTGGACACCCCTGATCTAGACAGAAAATTAACAAAGAAACATTGAATTAAAACTGCACATTATACCAAATATACCTAACAAAAATTTACAGGACATTTCATCCAACAGCTACAAAACACACATTCTTCTCATCAGCATATGGAACATGCTCCAGGATAAACCATATGTTAGCACACAAAACAAGTCTCCACAAATTTTTAAATATCAAAATCATATGAAGTACCTTCTCAGACCACAATAAAATAAAACCAGAAGTTAATAACAAGAGGAATGTTGGAAACTGCACAAATATATGGAAATTAAACAACATGTCCCTGAATGGCCATTGGATCAAAAAAGAAATTTAAAAGGAAATCAAAAAATTTCTTGAAACAAATGAAAATCAAAACACAACATACCAAAATCTATGGGATACAGCAAAAGCAGTGCTAAATGGTAGTTTATAGCAATAAATGCCTACATCAAAAAAGTGGAAAGAATTCAAATAATCTAACAATGCACCTCAAGGAATGAGAAAAGCAAGAGAAAACCAAAACCAAAATTAGTGGAAGAAAAAGTCTACACTGTATGTATCAAAACATAACTTGGGATTCCATAAATATGTACTATTATTATATGCCAATTAAAAAAGAAAACAAGCTTTTAAAAATAAAATAAAATACCTAGGAATAAATTTAATCGTGAGGCAAAAAACAAGGAAAACTACAAAACACTGATGAAATAAATTAAAGAGGACACAAACAAATGGAAAGAGAGCCTATGTTCTTAAATCAAAATAATTGATGTCCTTAAGATGACTATACTGGCCGGGCACGGTGGCTCACACCTGTAATCCTAACACTTTGGGAAGCCGAGGCAGGTGGATCACCTGAGGTCAGGAGTTCAAGACCAGCCTGGCCAACATGGTGAAACCCCATCTCTATTAAAAATACAAAGTTAGCCAGGCATGGTGGCACACACCTGTAATCCCAGCTACTCAGGAGGCTGAGGAAGGAGAATCGCTTGAACCTGAGAGGTGGAGGTTGCAGTGAGCCAAGATTGTGCCACTGCACTCCAGCCTGAGCAACGGGAGTGAGACTCCATCTAAAAAAAAAAAAAAAAAAAAAAAAAAAAGATGACCACACTGCCCAAAAAAACCACAGATTCAAGGCAATCACTATCAAAATACCAATGTCAGTTTTGACAGAAATAGAAAAAACAACACTAAAACTATTCTGGAACCAAAAAGGAGCCTAAATAGCCAAAGCAATCCTGAGCAAAAACAACAAAGCCGAAAGTTTCACACTAGCTGACTTCAGAATATATCACAAAGCTATATTAACCAAAGCAGCATGCTATTGGAATAAAAACAGACACATAGAACAATAAAACAGAATAGAGAATCCAGAAATACATGCATGTGTTTACAGCCAATGATTTCCAACAAAAGTGCCAAGAATATACATTGAAGGACAGTCTCTTGAATAAACAGTGCTGGGAAAGTTGGATATCCATATGTGAAAGAATGAAACTAGACCCTATTTCTCACTATACAAAAAATCAACTCAGGATGGATTAAAGACTTAAACGTAACACCCAAAATTATAAAACCAATAGAAGAAAGCATAAAGCACAGGGAAACACTTTAGGACTTTGGTGTAGGCAAAGATTTTATGGCTAAGACATCAAAAGCATAGGCAACAAAAACAAAACTAGACAAATGGGACTATATTAAACTAAAAAGTTTCTGTGCAGCGAAGGAAACAATCAATAAAGTGAAGAGACGACCTCCTGATTGGGATAAAATATTTACAAATTATTCATCCAACAAAGAACTAATATCCCGAGAATATCCAAGGAATTCAAACAGCTCAGCAGTAAGAAAACAAATAACCTCATTTAAAAGTGGGCAAAGTGGGGAGGAGCCAAGATGGCCGAATAGGAACAGCTCCCGTCTACAGCTCCCAGCGTGAGCGACGCAGAAGACGGGTGATTTCCGCATTTCCATCTGAGGTACCGGGTTCATCTCACTAGGGAGTGCCAGACAGTGGGCGCAGGTCAGTGGGTGCGCGCACCGTGCGCGAGCCGAAGCAGGGTGAGGCATTGCCTCACTTGGGAAGCGCAAGGGGTCAGGGAGTTAGTTCCCTTTCCCAGTCAAAGAAAGGGGTGACGGACAGCACCTGGAAAATCGGGTCACTCCCACCCGAATACTCCGTTTTTCCGACGGGCTTAAAAAACGGCGCACCACCAGATTATATCCCACACCTGGCTCGGAGGGTCCTACACCCACGGAGTCTCGCTGATTGCTAGCACAGCAGTCTGAGATCAAACTGCAAGGCGGCAGCGAGGCTGGGGGCGGGGCGCCTGCCATTACCCAGGCTTGATTAGGTAAACAAAGCAGCCTGGAAGCTGGAACTGGGTGGAGCCCACCATAGCTCAAGGAGGCCTGCCTGCCTCTGTAGGCTCCACCTCTGGGGGCAGGGCACAGACAAACAAAAAGACAGCAGTTACTTCTGCAGACTTAAATGTTCCTGTCTGACAGCTTTGAAGAGAGCAGTGGTTCTCCCAGCACGCAGCTGGAGATCTGAGAACGGGCAGACTGCCTCCTCAAGTGGGTCCCTGACCCCTGACTCCCGAGCAGCCTAACTGGGAGGCACCCCCCAGCAGGGGCACACTGACACCTCACACGGCAGGGTATTCCAACAGACCTGCAGCTGAGGGTCCTGTCTGTTAGAAGGAAAACTAACAAACAGAAAGGACATCCACAGCAAAAACCCATCTGTACATCACCATCATCAAAGACCAAAAGTAGATAAAACCACAAAGATGGGGAAAAAACAGAACAGAAAAACTGGAAACTCTGAAAAGCAGAGCACCTCTCCTCCTCCAAAGGAACGCAGTTCCTCACCAGCAACGGAACAAAGCTGGATGGAGAATGACTTTGATGAGCTGAGAGAAGAAGGCTTCAGACGATCAAATTACTCTGAGCTACGGGAGGACATTCAAACCAAAGGCAAAGAAGTTGAAAACTTTGAAAAAAATTTAGAAGAATGTATAACTAGAATAACCAATACAGAGAAGTGCTTAAAGGAGCTGATGGAGCTGAAAACCAAGGCTCGAGAACTACGTGAAGACTGCAGAAGCCTCAGGAGCCGATGCAATCAACTGGAAGAAAGGGTATCAGCGATGGAAGATGAAATGAATGAAATGAAGCGAGAAGGGAAGTTTAGAGAAAAAAGAATAAAAAGAAATGAGCAAAGCCTCCAAGAAATATGGGACGATGTGAAAAGACCAAATCTACGTCTGATTGGTGTACCTGAAAGTGATGGGGAGAATGGAACCAACTTGGAAAACACTCTGCAGGATATTATCCAGGAGAACTTCCCCAATCTAGCAAGGCAGGCCAACGTTCAGATTCAGGAAATACAGAGAACGCCACAAAGATACTCCTCGAGAAGAGCAACTCCAAGACACATAATTGTCAGATTCACCAAAGTTGAAATGAAGGAAAAAATGTTAAGGGCAGCCAGAGAGAAAGGTCGGGTTACCCTCAAAGGGAAGCCCATCAGACTAACAGCGGATCTCTCGGCAGAAACCCTACAAGCCAGAAGAGAGTGGGGGCCAATATTCAACATTCTTAAAGAAAAGAATTTTCAACCCAGAATTTCATATCCAGCCAAACTAAGCTTCATAAGCGAAGGAGAAATAAAATACTTTACAGACAAGCAAATGCTGAGAGATTTTGTCACCACCAGGCCTGCCCTACAAGAGCTCCTGAAGGAAGCACTAAATATGGAAAGGAACAACCAGTACCAGCTGCTGCAAAATCATGCCAAAATGTAAAGACCATCGAGACTAGGAAGAAACTGCATCAACTAATGAGCAAAATAACCAGCTAACATCATAATGACAGGATCAAATTCACACATAACAATATTAACTTTAAATGTAAATGGACTAAATGCTCCAATTAAAAGACACAGACTGGCAAATTGGATAAAGAGTCAAGACCCATCAGTGTGCTGTATTCAGGAAACCCATCTCAAGTGCAGAGACACACATAGGCTCAAAATAAAAGGATGGAGGAAGATCTACCAAGCAAATGGAAAACAAAAAAAGGCATGGGTTGCAATCCTAGTCTCTGATAAAACAGACTTTAAACCAACAAAGATCAAAAGAGACAAAGAAGGCCATTACATAATGGTAAAGGGATCAATTCAACAAGAAGAGCTAACTATCCTAAATATATATGCACCTAATACAGGAGCACCCAGATTCATAAAGCAAGTCCTGAGTGACCTACAAAGAGACTTAGACTCCCACACATTAATAACGGGAGACTTTAACACCCCACTGTCAACATTAGACAGATCAACAAGACAGAAAGTCAACAAGGATACCCAGGAATTGAACTCAGCTCTGCACCAAGTGGACCTAATAGACATCTACAGAACTCTCCACCCCAAATCAACAGAATATACATTTTTTTCAGCACCACACCACACCTATTCCAAAATTGACCACATACTTGGAAGTAAAGCTCTCCTCAGCAAATGTAAAAGAACAGAAATTATAACAAACTGTCTCTCAGACCACAGTGCAATCAAACTAGAACTCAGGATTAAGAATCTCACTCAAAACCGCTCAACTACATGGAAACTGAACAACCTGCTCCTGAATGACTACTGGGTACATAATGAAATGAAGGCAGAAATAAAGATGTTCTTTGAAACCAACGAGAACAAAGACCCAACATACCAGAATCTCTGGGACGCATTCAAAGCAGTGTGTAAAGGGAAATTTATAGCACTAAATGCCCACAAGAGAAAGCAGGAAAGATCCAAAATTGACACCCTAACATCACAATTAAAGGAACTAGGAAAGCAAGAGCAAACACATTCAAAAGCTAGCAGAAGTCAAGAAATAACTAAAATCAGAGCAGAACTGAAGGAAATAGAGACACAAAAAACTCTTCAAAAAATTAATGAATCCAGGAGCTGGTTTTTTGAAAGGATCAACAAAATTGATAGACCGCTAGCAAGACTAATAAAGAAAAAAAGAGAAGAATCAAATAGACGCAATAAAAAATGATAAAGGGGATATCACCACCGATCCCACAGAAATACAAACTACCATCAGAGAATACTACAAACACCTCTACGCAAATCAACTAGAAAATCTAGAAGAAATGGATAAATTCCTCGACATATACACTCTCCCAAGACTAAACCAGGAAGAAGTTGAATCTCTGAATAGACCAATAACAGGAGCTGAAATTGTGGCAATAATCAATAGCTTACCAACCAAAAAGAGTCCAGGACCAGATGGATTCACAGCCGAATTCTACCACAGGTACAAGGAGGAACTGGTACCATTCCTTCTGAAACTATTCCAATCAATAGAAAAAGAGGGAATCCTCCCTAACTCATTTTATGAGGCCAGCATCATTCTGATACCAAAGCCAGGCAGAGACACAACAGAAAAAGAGAATTTCAGACCAATATCCTTGATGAACATTGATACAAAAATCCTCAATAAAATACTGGCAAAACGAATCCAGCAGCACATCAAAAAGCTTATCCACCATGATCAAGTGGGCTTCATCCCTGGGATGCAAGGCTGGTTCAATATACACAAATCAATAAATGTAATCCAGCATATAAACAGAGCCAAAGACAAAAACCACATGATTATCTCAATAGATGCAGAAAAAGCCTTTGACAAAATTCAACAACACTTCATGCTAAAAACTCTCAATAAATTAGGTATTGATGGGACGTATTTCAAAATAATAAGAGCTATCTATGACAAACGCACAGCCAATATCATACTGAATGGGCAAAAACTGGAAGCATTCCCTTTGAAAACTGGCACAAGACAGGGATGCCCTCTCTCACCACTCCTATTCAACATAGTGTTGGAAGTTCTGGCCAGGGCAATTAGGCAGGAGAAGGAAATAAAGGGTATTCAATTAGGAAAAGAGGAAGTCAAATTGTCCCTGTTTGCAGACGACATGATTGTATATCTAGAAAACCCCATTGTCTCAGCCCAAAATCTCCTTAAGCTGATAAGCAACTTCAGCAAAGTCTCAGGATACAAAATCAATGTACAAAAATCACAAGCATTCTTATACACCAACAACAGACAAACAGAGAGCCAAATCATGAGTGAACTCCCATTCACAATAGCTTCAAAGAGAATAAAATACCTAGGAATCCAACTTACAAGGGATGTGAAGGACCTCTTCAAGGAGAACTACAAACCACTGCTCAAGGAAATAAAAGAGGACACAAACAAATGGAAGAACATTCCATGCTCGTGGGTAGGAAGAATCAATATCGTGAAAATGGCCATACTGCCCAAGGTAATTTACAGATTCAATGCCATCCCCATCAAGCTACCAATGACTTTCTTCACAGAATTGGAAAAAAACTACTTTAAAGTTCATATGGAATCAAAAAAGAGCCTGCATCACCAAGTCAATCCTAAGCCAAAAGAACAAAGCTGGAGGCATCACACTACCTGACTTCAAACTATACTACAAGGCTACAGTAACCAAAACAGCATGGTACTGGTACCAAAACAGAGATATAGATCAATGGAACAGAACAGAGCCCTCAGAAATAACGCCACATATCTACAACTATCTGATCTTTGACAAACCTGAGAAAAACAAGCAATGGGGAAAGGATTCCCTATTTAATAAATGGTGCTGGGAAAACTGGCTAGCCATATGTAGAAAGCTGAAACTGGATCCCTTCCTTACACCTTATACAAAAATCAATTCAAGATGGATTAAAGACTTAAACATTAGACCTAAAACCATAAAAACCCTAGAAGAAAACCTAGGCATTATCATTCAGGACATAGGCATGGGCAAGGACTTCATGTCTAAAACACCAAAAGCAATGGCAACAAAAGCCAAAATAGACAAATGGGATCTAATTAAACTAAAGAGCTTCTGCACAGCAAAAGAAACTACCATCAGAGTGAACAGGCAACCTACAAAATGGGAGAAAATTTTCGCAACCTGCTCATCTGACAAAGGGCTAATATCCAGAATCTACAATGAACTCAAACAAATTTACAAGAAAAAAACAAACAACCCCATCAAAAAGTGGGCAAAGGACATGAACAGACACTTCTCAAAAGAAGACATTTATGCAGCCAAAAAACACATGAAAAAATGCTCATCATCACTGGCCAGCAGAGAAATGCAAATCAAAACCACAATGAGATACCATCTCACACCAGTTAGAATGGCAATCATTAAAAAGTCAGGAAACAACAGGTGCTGGAGAGGATGTGGAGAAATAGGAACACTTTTACACTGTTGGTGGGACTGTAAACTAGTTCAACCATTGTGGAAGTCAGTGTGGCGATTCCTCAGGGATCTAGAACTGGAAATACCATTTGACCCAGCCATCCCATTACTGGGTATAACCCAAAGGACTATAAATCATGCTGCTATAAAGACACATGCACACGTATGTTTATTGTGGCATTATTCACGATAGCAAAGACTTGGAACCAACCCAAATGTCCAACAATGATAGACTGGATTAAGAAAATGTGGCACATATACACCATGGAATACTATGCAGCCATAAAAAATGATGAGCTCATGTCCTTTGCAGGGACATGGATGAAATTGGAAATCATCATTCTCAGTAAACTATCACAAGAACAAAAAACCAAACACCACATATTCTCACTCATAGGTAGGAATTGAACAATGAGAGCACATGGACACAGGAAGGGGAATATCACACTCTGGGGACTGTTGTGGGGTGGGGGGAGAGGGGAGGGATAGCATTGGGAGATATACCTAATGCTAGATGACGAGTTAGTGGGTGCAGCGCACCAGCATGGCACATGTATACATATGTAACTAACCTGCACAATGTGCACATGTACCCTAAAACTTAAAGTATAATAATTTTTTTAAAAAGTGGGCAAAGAACATCAGTAAACATTTTAAAAAAAAAAAGAAATACAAATGGCCAATAGACATATGAAAAAATCCTCAACATCGCTAATCATCCAAGAAATGCAAATTAAAGCCACAAGAGATCATGTTACACCACTCAGAATGGCTATCATAAAAAAGATTTTTAAAAAAACAGATGTTGGTGAGAATGTGGAGGAAAGAGAACTCATACACTGTTGGTGAGGATGTAAGTTAGTACAACCTCTATGGAAAACAGTATGGAGATTTCTCAAAGAACTAAAAATAAGAACACCATTTAGTCTATCTGTCACACTACTGAGTATCTACCCAAAGGAAAAGAAGTCACATCAAAAAAGATACCTGCCCTTGCATGTTTATTGCAGCACTATTCACAGAAGGAAAACTATAGATTCAACCTAAGTGTCCATCAATGAATGATTGGATAAAGAAAATGTGGTGTGTATATATACACAGCAGAATAGTATTCAGCCATAAAAAAGAATGAGATCATGTCTTTTGTGGCAACATGGATGGAACTGAAGGTCATTAAGTTAAGTAAAATAAGCCAGGCATAGAAAGGCAAATATCATATGTTCTCACTCATACATGACAGCTAAAAAAGTTAATCTCATGAAAGTAGAGAGTAGAATGACAGTTACCAGAGGCTGGTAAGTGCAGGGCAGTGAGATAAAGAGAGGGTGGTTATTGGGTATAAACATACAGTTAGACAGAAGAAATTAGTTCCATAGCAAACAAGAGTGATTATAGTTGGCAACAATGTATTGTATATATCAAAATTACTAGAAAAAAGGACTTGAAATGTTTCCAACATATGAAAATTATAAATTCTCAAGATAATGGATACCCCAAATACCCTGACTTGATCGTTACACATTCTATGCATGTAACAAAATACCATGTGTACCCCATAAATATATGCAAATATTATGTATCAATTAAAAAAATTGTTTTTTGAGACGAAGACTCATTCTGTCACCCAGGCTGGAGTGCAGTGGTGCGATCTTGGCTCACTGAAACCTCTGCCTCCAAAGTTCAAGCAATTCTCCTGCCTCATCCTCCTGAGTATCTGGAATTACAGATGTGCGCCACCACATCCAGCTAATTTTTGTATTTTTAGTAGAGACGCTGTTTCGCCATGTCGGCCAGGCTGATCTTGAACTCCTGACCTTAGGTGATCTGCCCGCCTCAGCCTCCCACAGTGTTGGGATTACAGGCATGAGCCACCACACCCAGCCTTCAATTAAAAATTTTTAATTAAAAAATAAAGAATAGATGATGCACCCAAGACAGATTTCAGGGACTTCAAGAAGATAAGAAGATTCCTGTGCCCAAAAAACCTCCCCACCCACTCCATGTGCCAAAATAACCACCACTGTTCCTCCAGGAGTCAACTACAGCCATTATCAGGCTTTTGTGCATAAGTGTGAAGGAGCTTCAGATCCCACTGGAGAGCAGGTTCTGACATAAAGAAGGGACAGAGAATATGAGGCCCCTGACCATCTTGATACAGAAAGAAAAATCTGAGGAGGAGAAGTTAGGGCAGGGATGCCATGGGGGCCAGGAAGGAGAAGGGAAGGAGAGACAGTAGACAAGTGGTCTGCCCCATAGTGCTGGGCTGGGGGTAGGGACTGCTAAGGCAGTTGCAGGCCAGCTGGGCTGCCCAGAGTGTCCTCCACAGTGGGATGCAGTGTGAGTCCCAAACTCAAGATACTCCTCATGCTGCAGCTACTTGGAGCGGGCAAGAGCACTCAGGGAGGCCTTCCTGGAGTTGGTGGCATCTGAGGTCCTAGAGCAAGCACAAGCAGTATCATGTGAAGCTAAGAGAGGAAAGACAGGTCAAACAGAAGGATGGGCAGCAGAGTACAAGCAGTTTGGCCTTGCTGGAGAGGCACCCCTGGGAGGGGTGGCGGATGAGAGACTTGAATGCCCAGTGAGAGAGCCTGCACTTTATCTGGTGGGCAGTGGGGAGCTTCTGCAGGGTCTTAATAGGGTGACAAGGTCAGGTTTGCTTTCTTGAAAGATCCTTCTGGAGGCAGAGTTAGACAGGGGCTGGAGGGAGTGGTGGGTCCTGGCCCAGCATGAGGCCTGGAGATGACCTGAGACAAAGGCCTTAGGAGCTAGACAAGAGAGGAGCTTGGCAGTGGGATGGGCAGGGTTGGTGTCCAACAAGATGAGGGTGTGAGGGAGAGGGGCGAGCAGGGTCGTGTCCTGGAACCTGCCTTGGTACGTGGGGTGGACTCACTTGACAGGAGATGGAAAAGAGGAGTTGACGAGGCATGGGACAGTGGGAGCAGGGCTAGTGGCGGCCACATTGCCCTTGAGACATGTGTGCCTGCCTCATGTCTCCCTTCCCTGGCTGTCCCTGCCATGGAGTCCTGGTGAGGACCTTTGGGGCCTCCCCTCTGTGCTCCGCAGCCACAACCTTACCCTGGCCCCAGACGTTGCCTCTGTGAAAGGGTCTCCCCAGTTGAGGGGGGAGGCCCATCCCTGCCCTGAAAAGCCCTAGACCTGACAAGAGGCACAGCTGGGATCTCCTAGCATGAAAAAAGGCCTGAGTAGCATCTCTTCAGCCTGTACGCTCTCTCTGCACCCCTCAGCTGGTCTTTCCTCAGGAAAGACTTGAAGCTCATCTACCCCAGGGAGCCTTTCTGGCTTAGCCCAGCCCCACAGGCAGAGCTGAGTTCCCACCCTTCTGAGCTGAACCATTGGAGTCAAGGATGCTATGACCAGACCAGACAGGCTTCCTGATAGCAGCACCCTTGCTTCCCGCATTGTGATTGTCACACACCCACCCCTACTACGGCCCTCTGCACACCAACCTGCCAAGGCCAAGGCCACCCTCACTGCCCCTTTCCCTCTCTCTCTCATTCCTTCACAATCCACATTTGGAGGCTGTGGTAGGCAGAGGGGTGGCTCTCACAAAGATATGTCCATGTCCCATCCCTTGGAGACTGTGAACATGCCCTATCTTAGAAAAAGGTCTTTGCAGATGTAATTAAGGATCTTCAGATGAGATCACCCTAGATTACCTAGATGAACGCTAAATCCAATGGCAAATGTCCCTATGAGAGATGGAAAAGAGGCCATGGGAAGATGCAGGTGGAGACTGGATGCAATCCAAGGAATGCCAGAGGCACCAGAACCTGGGAGCAGCCAGGCGCGGATTCTCCTCTAGAGCCTCCGGAGGGAGTGTGGCCCTGAAAACACCTTAATGTTGGACTTCCAGCCACCAGAACCATGGGATAAGACATTTCTGTTGATTTAAGCACCCACTTTGTGACAATTTGTGATGGCAGCCCTAGGAAACTAATACAGAGCCTTAAGAAGAGAAGGCAAACAATTCTTGGAGGTCTGAGTTGGCCTTGGTGTGAGGTGACCAAGTGGTGTGTCCAGTGAAAGCCACCACCATTCTGGGGCAGCAGTGGGGTCCATGCCAGGGCCAAGAGGTGAGAAGCCACCTTTGCATGGGTGTCTGTGCCCTGGCCAGGCCCCTACTGACCGGAGGATCATGGGAGAACTGGAGGGGACCACAGAGCCCAGTGAGAAAGGCACAGGCCAGGCCCAGGGAAGAGGAGAGAGTGGAGTCACAGAGGGTCACCTGAGGCCTCACCCAGCATGAGGGATCCCTCCTCTTGGCAAACCTCACAGCTGGGCCCAGGGGTGAGCAGTCCCTGGGGTGCTCCACATTCTTCCGGGGCCTCCATCCCTGGTTGCCTGCTGGACCGCTCTGACCACCCTGCTGCCACCTCAGCCACAAAGCTGAAGCATACCCATCCGGTGCCCTTGGAGGATCTCCAGGGATCCAGACTTCACACTCTTATTTGGCTCCTGCCCTCCCCAACTTCCAAGACTTCAGGACAAACCTCACCAGCCCCACACCTGCCGGCATCACAGTCCGTATCCCACATGTTGAGCTCAGCCTCAGCCATCCAGGCCCTCCTCCTTTCTGCTTGGGTGTCTGCTTCCAGACCTTCCAGGCCTGGCCCAAATGTCCTCTCCTCCATGAAGCCATCATTGAATCCTATCTGTTCCTCCCCAGGGCCTAGAGCAGGGGTGAGACAGAGGTGTGAGTAGAGAAAGCCAGATTTGGATCAGATGACCATCCCAGCATTGCCACAGATATGCTGAGTGACCTTGAACAAGTCACCCAAATTCTCTAACCCTCGATGCCTACTTCTAAAATGGGATGATAACATCCTCACTTCAACAGGCTCTCTCAAAGCCTCATTCTCCTTCTTCCAGCTCCCCGCCTTCTCCCACAAACATCATAGAAGTACCACTGATCCTTCAAAAATCCTCACATAGTAAGTGCTCAGTCAAAGTTGCACTTCCTTGGAACTCTTGGCTCCTCATTTCCGATATTTAGAACCCACCTGCTGGATTGACTGAGATCCCACAGTCCACTCCCTGATCCTGCTTTGGGCAGAGCTGCCCCTGGGGTGGGCTGCAGGTTTAGGGTATGAGGTGTGAATTCTCTGTCTTTGTTGAATCTTCAGCTCCAGAGCAGATACCTTAGGCAACACAGACCAGTAGGAAGGGCCTGGCCTGGCTGTCAGGAGACCAGACTCCAGGCTGGTCCTGTTCACTTCCTAGGAGACTGAGTTAGGCAGCCAGCTCTTGCTCAAGGTCATTGCCCATTGGCTGAGGCAGAGCCTGTGCTCCCCTGGGGAAAAGTAGGGGTGCATTTAACCACACTTAGGGAGCCCCACTGGTTCTCTGTGTTCCTGCTTGATGTTGCTAGGGTGAGTATCAGCTCTGGAGGTCAGCCCAGGAGAGCAGTGAGGGCCACTAGGGTGGAGGCTCTTACTAGGCAGGTGATGGCAGGAGTAGGGGATATGCAGGGAAAGCCCAAGGAAAGAGGGTGACTCACACCGCAAGCTGGTTAGCCTCTCTCTCTGGACAATCCCACCACTACCCCCAGTCCACACCAGGGTCCCTTCCTCCCCAGCTCCTGGTCTTCTCGGGAGAAAATCTTTTCCTAAGCCTAACCTCTAGCCCTCCTTTTTGAACCCGAGTCATCCACAGTGAAAAATGAGCAGGAATGTGAGTTCATCCTCTCACTTTCACTCTCCCATCTTGTTTCTTTCTATAATTTGTTTATGGGACTTACCCAAGCCCAGATACCTCCCTTGAGGTGAGGTGACAGTGAAAGGGCACTTGGCTTTGGAGTTCTAATCCTATCCCCACCAATTCTCAGCTTGATGTCATTGAGCTCTTTGTACTGCACTTGCCCTGGCTGACTTGAATGTTGATTCTCAGATTAGAGATCCTTTCCTCTTAAAAGACTGGCTTGTCTCTGGAGGCTGAATTAGAGACCTCCTCTGGGCTCCCACAGCACTCTGGTTCTTCTCCATTGGACTCTAAGTAACTTGGGCACAGAAACCACATCTAGTGAGCCCATTAAGCCTCAGTGCCTGGCAGACTGCCTGGTACATAACAAATGTCAAAAACGATGGTGAATGAACAAATAAATGGAAGGGTAAAAGATGACCTCATGTGCCTGATGCTCAGTTCTAATGCCTGTCTAATAATAGAGGGGTTGGGGCTGCTGAATGAGGGGGAAATTGTAGCGGTGAAAGTACTTCACAGGGCCAAGAAATGGTAGGCCCTCAAAAATATGTTAATTCTCCTCTGCTCCTTCCTATTAAAACAACCCCAAGAAGCTCTTGGGGACAGACCTAGAACCAAGGAGATGACACCACACGAAGAGAGATTCAGCCCTCAGTAAGGAAAGACATCTGGGTAAAGCCACCCACTCACAAAACTGACGGCCTCAACACACAGTAGTGAGCAACTCATCTCTAGAGACATGCAAGTTGAGGGAGCTCATATCCAGGCAGGAGCCGAGCAAGGTGACCTCTACAGACCTCTGCTGTATATGGCTGTGAATATGTTGCTGTTCTTGGTTCCTGTGAATTCGTGATTCTGGATGTTCTACATTGTCCTAGAGGCCCCAAAAAGGATGGGAAGAGGAGCCCATCTGCCCTAGTGCTGAGCATGTAGGGATCGTGGCTACCACCACCTTCAGCTACCAGCAGATTTGCAGTTCCTCTCTTCCTTAAATTCCTTGTGTGCAGACAAAAATAAAATCTTCTTCCTCTGATGGCCTATGTTTCTGAGATCCTAACCCTTCATCATCTGAGTTTTTGATAAGTCAGTGAGGCAAATGACTAGCAAGAGTGGGGTCTGAGCAGTGAGGACAGAAGCAATATTTTTGTTATGGGATTCAGTCTGTGGTAGAACCACTTCTCCAGAAGATGGTGTGTTTATGGAGTGTGTGTCTCTTGAGTATTTTAGTGAGTGTGTATATGGTATTTTCATACATACTGTAAAGAAATGCCTTTTACACCACAGAGTGATTTGAGATGAGCTAGGTGGAGCATGACTCAAAATATTACCAGCATTACAGATTTATTATTTGGGTTAAGGTATTTAATTGCCTGGTTGAAATGCAAATCACCCTGTAGGAGTCTATGCTGATAAATTTATAATTCTTTATGAAATAGACAAATCTCCAGAAGGATATAATTTTTCAAATTTACTTAAGAAAAGATTAAAAACCTGAGTAGATTAATTACCAAGAAAGAAATCAAAAAGCATTAATAAATAATTATTACCTGAAAGACACCTGGACCCAGGTTTTATGAGTAAGTTCTTCCCAAACTTTCAAAAGATGAAAAATTCCTGTGCTATAAAAAACTATCCTAGAACATGATATTTAATTAGGAAATTGAGTGAATTCATTATGAAACTAGCATAACTGCTATTCCAAAACTTCATAACGATAGTTCCAAAAGAGGCCAGGCACAGTGGCTCACACCTATAATCCCAGCACTTTGGGAGGCCAAAGTGGGTGGATTGCTTGAGCCCAGGAGTTTGAGACCAGCCTGGGCAACATGGCAAAACCTCCTCTCTACAAAAAATACAAAAATTACCAGGGAGTGTGGTGTGCACCTGTAGTCCCAGCACCTCAGGAGGCTGAGGTGGGAGGCTCTATTGAGCCCAGGAGATTGAGGCTGCAATCTAGCCTGGGTGACAGACCAAGACCTTGTCTCAAAAAATAATAAAATAAAATTTAAAAAATAACAGATGCTGGCAAGCTTCTGCAGAAAAGGGAACACTTATACACTGCTGGTGGGAATGTAAATTAGTTCAGCCACTGTGGAAAGCAGTTTGGAGATTTCTCAAAGAACTTATAACTACCATTTAGTACAGCAACCCCATTATTGGGTATATACCCAAAGGAATAAAAATTTGTTCTACCATAAAGACACATACATACATATGTTCATTGCAGCACTATTCACAATAGTAAAGACATAGAATCAACCTAGATGCCCGTCAACATTATACTAGATAAAGAAAATGTGGTACATATATACCATGGAATACTATGCAGCCATAAAAAAAGAATGAAATAATGTCCTTTCCAGAAACATGGATGCAGCTACAGACCATTATCCTAACCAAAGTAACACAGGAACAGAAAACTAAATACCACATGTAATCACTTATAAGTAGGAGCTAAACATCAGGTACTCCTGTACACAAAGATGGCAACAGTAGACAGCAGGTCCTACTTGAGGGTGGAGGGTGGGAGGAGAACGAGAACTGAAAAACTACCTATCGAGTACTATGCTTATTCCCTGGGTGACAAAATACTCTGTATGCCAAACCCCCATGACACACAATTTACCTATATAACAAACCTGCACATGTAACCCTGAAACTAAAATAAGAGTTAAAAAAATAATCAATTATTGGCCCCACTTCAGACCAATTTAACCAGACTTTCTAGGAATGGAGTCCTGGCAGTACAATGGTGCTGTTTAAAAACTCCTCTAGAGTTTCTACTGGGCATCCCAAGTTGAAATCTTCAAGCTAGAAAGAAAATCATTTCCTGTAGAGGAGACAGCATTGAGTAAAGGTCTAGATCAATGGTTTCCAATTATATTAGAGTTTCCTGGGTAGCTTTTTTAAAAACACTAATGTTCAGACATTAAGGAAATCAGAATCTTTGGAGACAGGGTCCAGGTCCTGGTATTTTTTTAAGGCTTCCTAGGTGATTCTAATGTAAACCAAGATTGAGAACCACTGGCTTATATTGAGAATGGGATGAGCATTTAGGGAATATATTAGTTTCCTGTTGTTACTGTAACAAATTATTACCAGCTTGGTAGCTTAAAACAACACAAATTTATTATCATACAGTTCTGAAGGTCAAAAGTCCAAAGTAAGTTTCACTGGGCTAAAACCAAGGTGTCGGCAGGATTTGCATTCCTTTCTGGAGGACTTAGGGGAGAACCTGTTTCCTTGCCTTTAGCTGCTTCCAGAGGCTGCCCAGATTCCTTGTCTGGTGTCCTCTTCCCCCATCTTTCTTCATCTTCAGTGCCAGCAAGCACATGACTCTGACCTCCGCTTTCTTCATATTCCCAGGGAAGTAGAACATGGGCATCTTTAGGGGAAGTGGGTCATTATTCTGCCTGCTACATGAATAATAGATAAGTTTGGGTAAAACACAGTAGAACAGATGTAGAGAAAGACACAAGTATTGAAGAGATGGTCTGGCATCACATTTTGAAAGGCCTTGGAGCTAAGCTAGAGAGTTTGTGTTTTATTTAAAGTAAATGCTGGTGACTTCAGATAACAGGCTTCAAGAACTACCACAACTGAAACAGCAGAGGCCACAGGCTACCCTGGGAAGAAACAACCTCCCTCTTCCCATGAGGCTGATTGTTTACCTCTGATGTTTGCTGATAAGTAAAGACCACTATGATAAGATCAGAGAAGACCTCTGCTTCAAGGATTGGAGAAGTGTCACCAAGCACCAAGGATGGACAGAAAATAGCGACTTGAGCCAGAAAAGGTATAACCATTCATTGGGTTTAGGATATGTCCACCATCTCTGATTGTCAGGGCCCAGAAGGACAGAGACGGGACACTCAAAGAGGATAATTGGGGAGAGTATAATGAGGGACTATTTATAAACACAGATGGGATTAAGTAAGCCAATGAGGGACAGGGCAGCACCCTTGAATTTGCACAGCAAAGAGCCAGGACCACCCCATGATCTGAGGGTCAAATGGAGAGAGTAGACACAGAAACCCAAAAAGTAGTGATAGAAAAACGTCACCCAACCAGGGATGTGGTCTTCAGCAAGGAATCTGTGACCTGGCAGAGAGGGAGCCAGGGGAACCAACTCCCTGACCTCAGTGTTCTCCCAACCTCCTACTCTAGTGGGGAGTGAAATTTGGCTGAAGCCACTGAAAGCCAGCAGGCAAGGTAATGTGCTGATGCAGTCTTCCTGAAACAGGCAGACAGCAGAATGGAAAAGATAGCAAGTAGATCTGGAGGGACAAAGGAAAAATACATGGCACAGCAGGAAACATTAAAAGTTACGAAGCCTCAAATTTAATATAGAGCTACCATATCATCCAACAGTCCTACATCTGGGTATTTACCCAAAAGAATTGAAATCAAGATATTAGAGAGATATCTGCACTCTCATGTTTATTGCAGCATTATTCACAATAGCAAGAGGTGGAAAGAACCTAAATGTCCATGAATAAATGAACAGATAAAGAAAATATGATGTATGTGCAATGTGTAAACCCAAAAATAAAAATCTAAGCCCCCAACTCACTGAATGGAGCCCTCTCTTGACCAAGGGGATCCCAAAGAAACCTGAAAAGCTAGTTCAGGCCATGATGAGAAGTGGGGATCAGACATGCCTGGTTATACCCTTCTCCCTTTAGAGTTTAGGTACAACTGACCAGCATTCACATTAAAATAGAGATCATAAGACTGAAAAAATAGACTCTTTGTAGCAAATAGACTCTACTCTTTGTAGATCCAACTCCAGACTCTGGTATAGCATCACTTGACAGATGGTAGGCCCTGAAGGAAATCAAAGTATTTTACCCCAAAATATATTTCCTTTGACGTATTTTGAAGTGACCTTGCAAAGCTGTCTCTTAGTGGGGAAATCTCCGTTCTGTAGAGAGTCATCTCTTCCCTTTACTAGGTATTTTCCAGAGAGCCTGACACCTTTTAAAGGCCAATAAGAGATGTATTTTGTTTGTTTTTTTGTTTTTTGGGGTTTTTTTTGTTTTTTTTTTAGATTTTCTTTGATTTTTTTTATTTTTCTTTTTTTATTATTATTAAACTTTAAGTTTTAGGGTACATGTGCACAATGTGCAGGTTAGTTACATATGTATACATGTGCCATGCTGGTGTGCTGCACCCATTAACTCGTCATTTAGCATTAGGTATATCTCCTAATGCTATCCCTCCCCCCTCCCCCCACCCCACAACAGTCCCCAGAGTGTGATGGCCCCCTTCCTGTGTCCATGTGTTCTCATTGTTCAATTCCCTTCTACGAGTGAGAACATGTGGTGTTTGGTTTTTTGTCCTTGCGATAGTTTACTGAGAATGATGATTTCCAATTTCATCCATGTCCCTACAAAGGAGATGAACTCATCATTTTTTATGGCTGCATAGTATTCCATGGTGTATATGTGCCACATTTTCTTCATCCAGTCTATCATTATTGGACATTTGGGTTGGTTCCAAGTCTTTGCTATTGTGAATAGTGCCACAATAAACATACGTGTGCATGTGTCTTTATAGCAGCATGATTTATAGTCCTTTGGGTATATACCCAGTAATGGGATGGCTGGGTCAAATGGCATTTTTAGTTCTAGATCCCTGAGGAATCGCCACACTGACTTCCACAATGGTTGAACTAGTTTACAGTCCCACCAACAGTGTAAAAGTGTTCCTACTTCTCCACATCCTCTCCAGCACCTGTTGTTTCATGACTTTTTAATGATTGCCATTCTAACTGGTGTGAGATGGTATCTCATTGTGGTTTTGATTTGCATTTCTCTGATGGCCAGTGATGATGAGCATTTTTTCATGTGTCTTTTGGCTGCATAAATGTCTTCTTTTGAGAAGTGTCTGTTCATATCCTTTGCCCACTTTTTGATGGGGTTGTTTTTTTCTTGTAAATTTGTTTGAGTTCATTGTAGATTCTGGATATTAGCCCTTTGTCAGATGAGTAGGTTGCGAAAATTTTCTCCCATTTTGTAGATTGCCTGTTCACTCTGATGGTAGTTTCTTTTGCTGTTCAGAAGCTCCATCTATCCTCTCTGAGGCCTGTTACTTAGAAGCTTTATCTACATAACAAGAACCTTGGCTTCCACAACCCCCCTTAATTCAAGCATTTCTTTCTGCTGACTTCAACTCTTTAGGCAAAGCTTAACCTTTTCAACCAATTGCCAATCAGGAAATCTTTGAATCCACCTATGACCTGGCAACCCCCACACAACTGCTCCCCCCACCAATAACATCTGTCTCCCTAAAATGTATAAAACCAAGCTCAACCCAACCACCTTGGGCACATGTTCTCAGGATAACCCTCTTCAAATATTTTACAGAGTCTGTTTTTTTCTATCAAGAAGTAGAATATTCAGGCCAGGTACAGTAGCTCACACCTATAATCCCAACACTTTGGGAGGCCAAGGTGGGTGGATCACCTGAAGTCAAGAGTTCAAGACCAGCCAGCCCAAAATGGTAAAACCCTGTCTCTACTAAAAATACAGAAATTAGCCAGACATGGTGCACACACCTATAGTCCCAGCTACTCGGGAGGCTGAAGCAAGAGAATCTCTTGAACCTGTGAGGTGGAGGTTGCAGTAAGCCAAGATCGCACCAGTGCACTCCAGCCTGGGTGATAGAGCAAGACTCCATCCCCAAAAAAAAGAAAAAGAAATAGAAATAGAATATTCAGTCATTAAAAAAGAAAATCCTGTCATATGCTACAACATAGATGACACTTGAGGACACTATGCTGAGTGAAATAAGCCAGTCACAGAAAAATAAATGCTGCATGATTCCACTTACATGAAGTATCTTTTAGTCAGACTCATAGAAACAGATGGTAGAATGGTAGTTGCCAGGGACTAGGGAGAGGGGAAAATGGGGAGTTGCTTTTCAGTTGGGTATAAAGTTTTAGTTATGCAAGATGAAAAGGTTCTAGAGATATGCTACAAAATATTGTACTTTTAGTAAACAATACTTTACTGTACACTTAATTAAGAGGGTTAATCTCTTTTTTTTTTTTTTGGAGATGGAGTCTCGCTCTGTCACCAGGCTGGAGTGCAGTGGCATAATCTCGGCTCACTGCAACCTCTGCCACCTGAGTTCAAGTGATTCTCCTGCCTCAGCCTCCTGAGTAGCTGGGACTACAGGTGCATGCCACCATGCCCAGCTAATTTTTTTGTATTTTTAGTAGAGACGGGGTTTCACCATGTTGGCCAGGATGGTCTCTATCTCTTGACCTCGTGATCTGCCTGCCTCTACCTCCCAAAGTGCTGGGATTACAGGCGTAATCCCACCTTTGGGATAACGCGGTGGGCATGAGCCACCGCGCACGACCCAATCTCATGTTATTTTTTACCGCAATAAAAATAAATAAATAGAAGTTACAACTTCTCTGACTAGTAACATGAAGATTTAAGGAAGTGGAATATAAAGCACATTTTTGGAGATCAGAAAGGGTGGGCTCTTCTAGGGCTCCTAAAGAAAGCTGATGTGGCAGAGGGTCCTGGGACGCTGATGCAGTCAGCCTCTCTCTATACCCACTGCTTCACCTTGTCCAGCTGTGTCCACTAAGTGCAGACTGGGAAGCCCCTGGCCCACCCTGAAGCAGGTCAAGAACTGTGTCACTCCCAGTCAGGCTTGGGTTCCTGTGAGGTCCTACAAGCCGGGTTCCACATCCACTGTGCCTTGACCAAGCCCTAAGTACCATGGAAGCAGCCCTCCCCTCCACAGCCTCATGATATAGGCCCCACACACAGGACTCAGGACCCACTGAGACTCCCTTCTTCACTATGTGTGGTTACTGAATCCAAGACCCCCAAGTATTCCACCTTCCTTTCCAGGACCCGAGCCACTCTCTGAAATTAGCATGTCTGGCCCAGGCCCCCTCCCACTCCCTTTCCATCTCTATCTTGCCTGCTAATATATAGGAAATGATGCTAGAGAGCCAGGCATAAACCAGAGCTAAGAGGACTGTCTATTCTCTGCTAAGTAGTCGGCCTTTATTTTGGAATCAGCAGAATTCCAAAGAGGAGATTTAAGCCAGAATATACAATGCTGCCTTCTAATAAGTAGATAAAAGATAAGCAGTCTGCTAATTTTTAAAAAGAAAGAAAAAGGACCCACCAGACACATATGGTAACAATGGCCAACATTAATTATAACCAGTTTTAGATATGTAATAAAATACCATGTTTCATCCAACTAGTTAGCAGATACTTTGAAAAGTAATGTTCAATAGGTCTTCTCTCAGTTTGAGCTGAGTTTGGGTTGGGAATGAGGAGAGGAGAGGGAACAGATGGACTAAGAGGCACTAAGCCAGCCAGGCTAGAAAAGATGTGACCCAGAACAGGGCAGTAACAGTGAGGTTGGAGAGAAAAAGGCATCCACAGAAATATTGGCCAGACAGGACAGAAGGCATGAGAAATCAAGCATCTCATCCCTCCATCTCCAGGACCATATAAGCAAACTTTCTAGTTTAGCCTAGAAAAGACCTAGCAAAGGGAGGAGACAAATCTCTGCAGAATGCAGATTTCCCCACTAAGAGATAGTAACAGCATCCCTAAGATAAAGCATAGAAGATCACTAAGGTAAAGAATACAGGGAATGATGAGGGTACCAAAACAGCTTGATGGGGAAAGAATAGCCTGTTCAACAAACGGACGCTGGACAACTGTATATCCACACGCAGAAGAATAAAGCTGGACCCCTTCCTCACATCATATACAAAAACTAACTCAAAATAGGTTGTAGACGTAAGAGCTAAAACTATAAAACTTTTAGAAGAAAACATGGAAGTAAATTTTTGTGACCTCAAATTAGCCAATAGTTTTTTATATGTGACAGCAAAAGCACAAAAGAAAAAGAAAAAAATAGATAAACTGGACTTCATCAAAAGTAAAAATTTTAGTACTGCAAAGGACACCAGCAAGAAAATGAAAAGATAATGCACAGAATGGCATAAAACATTTGCAAATCCTATATCCAATAAGGGTCTACTATCCAGAAAATATAACAACACTTACACCTTAACAATAAAAGGACAAATAACCCAATTGAAAAATGGCCAAAGGATTTGAATAGTTTCTCTAAAGAAGCTAAATGGCCAGAAAGCATATGAAAGGATGCTCAACATCGGTAGCCATCAGAGAAATGCAAATTAAAATTATAATGAGATATCACTTCACCACGATGGCTAAAATTAAAAAGAGACAATAACAAATGTTGGTAAGGATGTGCAGAAATGAGAACTCTCATACGCTTCTGGTGGGTATATAAAATGCTGCAGCCACGTTGGAAAACAGTTTGGCAGTTTTTCAGAATGTTAAACATAGAGTTACCATGTGACCTAGAAATGTCACTCCTAGGTATATACCCAAATAATTGAAAACATATATCCATAAATATATACATCTTTTACTTCTCGATTTAAAACATAGATTTAAAAATTTTTAGAGAAAGAAAACATGTCCACATAAAAACTTGTATATGAATGTTCATGGCAGCATTATTCATAACAGTAAAAAAGTGGAAACAACCCAAATGTCCATCAAATGATGAATGGATAAATAGTATGTGGTATATCCATATGATAGAATATTATTCATCTGTGACAAGGAATAAAATACTGATACATGTTACATGAATGGACCTTGAAAACATCATGCTAAATGATTCCATTCTGTTGTACGATTCTGTTTATATGAATGTCCAGAATAAGCAAACCTGTGGAGACAGAAAGTGAATTGGTGGTTTCTGAGGTTTTGGAGAAGGGGAGGCTGAGGAATGACTGCTAATGGGTTACAGTTTCTTTTGGGGGTGATGAAAATGTTCTAAAATAAGGTAATTGTGAAGGTTGTAAAACCATGTGAGTATACTAAAAAGCACTTTAAAAGGGTAAATTTTATGGTACATGGGCTCTATCTCAATAAAGCTGTTATTTAAAAAATAAAAATAAACACTACTTCGAAAAAAAGAAAACAGGGAGAAAACATGCCATTGTGAAGACATGAATTCAGCTTGGGGCATGTATGTTTGAGGTTCCCCTGAGGCATGAGGTTCCCCTGACTGACAGGCTATTGGATACATGGCTCTGAGATGCAGGGGCAACATCTGGCCTGTAGGTAGAAACATGTGAGTCACAGGTGCCCAGGTAAAGATGGGAGCCATGAAGAGAGTGAAGTCA
This sequence comes from Homo sapiens, assembly GCF_000001405.40. Taxonomy (NCBI): domain Eukaryota; kingdom Metazoa; phylum Chordata; class Mammalia; order Primates; family Hominidae; genus Homo; species Homo sapiens. Next base: position 4,154,934 of record NC_000011.10, on the reverse strand, counting down.
CCCAGAAGAATGTAGGGTGAAGGAGCAAAGAATTACAGAGAAATGCTAGATAAAAATCTTTCTATTCCCCCAAACAGGACCCCTCATCACTGGCCCCCTAATATGCCCATCTCAAGGCCCTGCTCCTGCTCATGCTGTTCCTCCAGCCCACAAGGGCCTGAGGGGATGTGTTCACATTCTGGCTACCCCTGGGACCCTGCTGAGCTAAGCCAGAGCCTGGGAGAAAGCTCTGGCAACTTCCCACAGGGAGGAATGGGATGGATTTAACTGCATTCAAGAAACCCAGGCCTGGAGCAGACTGGTCCTACTACTCTCAGTCTGTGTAAGTCCTGGTGAGTAATGAAGTTAATGCTTGGTCAAGCAGAAGGCTTGGGGGAGGCTTTCACCTTAGTAATGTAGGGGCAAAGGTGGGCACAGGGTTTGAAGGCTCCCCAAAATGTTTTCAGTACCTGTAAATTCTCTTAGTAATCATACACAGTAAGCTACTTCACATAGCAGCTTAAAACTAGAAAAGTGCTTTGTATGGCATTATAGGTGGGGAGAAGGAATCTTTGCCTTCTCCTCTCGTTTCCTTCCCATATCCAATGCTGGCAGGTTTGCTTTGTAAAGTTTTCTTCTAAATGATTCTTAGATTCTCTCATTCTTGAGTCTCTGAGTTCTTGGTTCTCTGATCTTATGATCCCAGGTGGGGACCAGGGAAGAACAAAGGCTTTTTATCCCTGTGATTGTCCACCACCAAACATTTATTGAGATCTAGGCCGTTTCTCATTTCTTTTTGACTCTATACTTGCCTGTGAAAGCCCAAGCCCTAGACTAGGGTGTCTGCCTAAGCTTTGGGTACAGGGTCCCCACTTCATACTCTGACCTTGCACCTCCAAGACAGCCTCAGAAGGGCTGTGGGGAGGGCTGCAGTCTGAGTGGGCCAGAATGGGGTTTTCAATAAGTTATTGGAATGAAGGAAAGGGGAAAGAAAACAGAAGGGCTCTCTAGATCTTGGGCAGGTGAGTAATATTAAGAAAGAACAAAGAAATTGCTCATCTCCCACTTTATTTGTATCCCCATATCATGAGAAAATAGCTTAAAACCAGAAAAGGCATAACAAGGATGTCTGAAAGAACTAAAGCCCCTTCCCTATCATGGTAAGAGATTATAAGAGAGCATCTGGCAATGCCAGTAAAATTCAAATCTCTTGCCTAGACAAAGTACTTACACTTACTGGAAGAATTTGAACATGGGTTTGGGATTTCTCTGCAGTACATTCATAAGAAATCTTTGGAAAAATCTGAAGACTGAAAAAAGGAAAGGGAAAAAGGCTAATGTCGATTACAGATTGTTCAACTTGAAGTTGGTTCCTTTCAAATATCTCTAGATATCTACATATCAGTTCCATTTTTATGCACTTGCTAAAACTGGAAGAACCTAACATACTTGAACTCAGTAAAGCATTACTGGGCTTGATTTTCCCTAATACATCATTCTCTCATTCCTCTCCCAACCTACACCAGGCACAGTCAGATCTTCATCCACCATGCTCCTGAATCTCTTGTTCATGGCTCACTGCAGCCACAATCTCCTGGGCTCAAGCAATCCTCCCACCTCAGCTTCCTGAGAAGCTGGGACTGTAAGTGTGCACCACGACACCCAGCTAATTTTCTTTATTATTTTCTATAGAGACAGTGTCCCATTATATTGTCCAGGTTACTTTCAAACTCCTGGATCTCAAGCAATCCTACCACCTCAGATTACCAAAGTGCTAGAATTACAGACGAGAGTCACTGTGCCTGGCCCTGTAGCTCTTCTTACACCATTGCTTTGGAAAAGCGATGCTCCAAAAGGAGCACCAGAACAGCTTACTTTTTCTGCCTGTTCTCCATTCAGGTATGATCTGTGCTGCTCCTTGGACAAAATCTCAAGAAGTTTCTAATATGACTTTGTTAATTCCTTAAAAAATATTAAAAAGTCCTTGGGTCACTTTTAATTTCAAAGACCACCTCATATTAACCATTCAAATAGCCACACCCACCTAACTATAAAAGCCCCAAACATTGAAATTAGAGGTTGCCCCAACACCACCCCCACCACCTGTGCCTCCTTCAAATTGGACGCCCAGGGTGGGAAATGGGAGTTAGTCAGATTTGTCCCTTAATCTTTTCCCTATCTTTTCTTTCTCTCCCTAGTTTATAACTGATGGCTTTTCACCTCACCAAGTCACAGGAATGGAGAATAGCTCAAGAGTAGACATGACCTCAACTGACCTGGCATTGGTCCTTCCTGGACTTGGTAGATGTTAAAAGCAGATAGTATTTTGGGATGCATTTGTTGAGTATACTGTTACATGCTGTATTTTGACCATTGATTGTCATTACTAGCCTACTCAGTAGAATGCAGACTCACTCAGGGAACACAAATGTTACTTATTGTTGTATCCATGCATCCAGCATATGGCCTAGCACAAAGTAAGTGCTCAGTAAAGATGTGAAGAAAAAAATAAAGGAATGAGTAACTGTATAAAAATGAGAAAGCAAAATGGACACAAGAGCTACGTTGTGTTGTAAAAATCTCACACTATTTGTGAAAGACTTAATAGTACTTGTAGATAGACTGTGGTAAGTTAAAGATATGTACTATAAACCCTAAAGCAACCAAGAGGAAATAAGACAACAAAGAGGAACAACTAATAAACCAACAAAGGAGAGTAAATGAAATCACAAAAAGAAGATCCAAAGAAGGTATAAAAAAAGAGAAAAAGAGGAGCTTTTTTAGTCCTATTTCCAAATTCCAGAGGACAAACTGGATGCCTCCCTGGAGGAGCCAGCCCCTGCCTCTGTGGTTCCCAGTTTTTCACAGCTGAGTACACACTGCACTCTCTGCCCTAATTTCTGAACCACCCAGAAGTAAATTCCTCACCAACCGCAGCTTGCATGCACATACACACACACACACACACAGACCCTAAATCAGATCCATGTCTTGACCACTGGGCTCTCCTATTGTCACCCCAGAGCTCTTTCCTGACTTTGGGTACCCCCTAAGTGTCCATTTAACCTTCAAATTGCAAGAGCCCCTTCCCTCAGCTTAGCCCCAGGTCATCCTAGTCAGTGATATACAGATTATGCCTGTTTATGCCCCTGGGATGGGACTTGTTCTGAAACCTCACTTGCTCTTCCTGAGCCTCTAATGGCTCATCTGTAAAAGAGGGGAAATCCCTTAGCAGAAGTGATTGCTCTGTGAAAAATGCCAAGAGCCATAGAGAAAAAAATGTTAGTACAGGGCCTGGCACAGTGGCTCACACCTGTAATCCCAGCACTTTGGGAGGCTGAGGCAGGTGGATCACTTCAGGTCAGGAGTTCAAGACCAGCCTGGCCAACATGATGAAACCCTGTCTTTACTAAAAATACAAAAATTAGCTGGGCATGGTGGCAGGCACCTGTAATCCCAGCCACTCGGGAGGCTGAGGCAGGAGAATTGCTTGAACCCAAGAGGTGGAGGTTGCAGTGAGCCGAGATCAAGATTGCACCACTGCACTCCAGCCTAGGCAACAGAGTGAGACTCTGTCTCAAAAAAAAAAAAAAAAAAAAAAAAATTTGGATACTGTCACCTCCACCCAGCCCTCTCCTGGGGTCCTCTCTGAGGGACAGATGGGTTCTTCTGGGTTTCTCCTTGTTTCCTCCTTTTGAGTGCCCTTTGGAATGACTACCCTCTGGGAATCTCCTCAGGCTTCTCCCCTGGAGCCACAGGTCTAATTTTCCATCCCTCATAAATCAGCCTCATAGTGCCTTGGAGTTGGGCACTGACCTGACCTCCAGCCTTAGCTCTTCAGAGGCGAAACCAAAGACACAGCAGGCTGCAACCCAACTGGAGACTACTGCAGGCTGCCACGGTGAGGCAACAATAAATTTATGGGGGATTTGGAGAGAGGTAAACCTGAGATTGGAGCTGAACTCCACCTTTTACCATTGACATACCTAAGTCACTAAGTCATATCCCAGCCCTATCATTTAAAGGTATACCTATGATACTTTAAGAACATTAGTTAACCTCTCTAAATCTCAGTGTCTTCAGCTATAACCTGGGTTAATAAATAGTATTATGCATGCAGCCCTCTATATCCATGGGTCTGACATCTGTAGGTTCAACCAACTGCAGATCAAAAATAGTCGAAAAGAAATTTAAAAATCAAGAATACAACAATAAAAAAATACAAAATTTAAAATACAGTATAAGAGCTGGGTGCGGTGGCTCACGCCTGTAATCCCAGCACTTTGGGAGGCCGAGGTGGGCGGATCACAAGGTCAGGAGATGGAGACCATCCTGGCTAACACAGTGAAAACCCGTCTCTACTAAAAATACAAAAAATTAGCTGGGCGTGCTGGCAGGCGCCTGTAGTCCCAGCTACTCGGGAGGCTGAGGCAGGAGAATGGCAAGAACCCAGGAGGCGGAGGTTGCAGTGAGCCGAGATTGCACCACTGCACTCCAGCCTGGGCGACAGAGTGAGACTCCGTCTCAAAAAAAAAAAAAAAATGGTATAACAACTATTTACATAGCATTTACATTGTACTAGGTGTTACAAGTAATCTGGAAACAATTTAAAGTATATGGGAGGATGTGCATAGATTATATGTAAACTCTATGTAATTTTTAAACTTTTTTAGTGACACAGATAATTGTACATATTTGTGGGGTACATGGTGATGTTTTGATACATACAATGGAGAGTGATTAGATAAGAGTAATTAGAATATCCATCATCTCAAATACATCATTTCTTTGTCCTGAGAACATTTACTATCCTAGCTATTTGAAACCATGTATTGTTAACTGTAGTCATCCTACAGTGTATAGAACACTAGAACTTATTCCTACTATCTTGCTGTCATGTTGTATATTTAATAAATCCCTCCCTATCCTTCCTTTCCCCCTACCTTCCCCAGCCTCAAGTCCTCTGTGCTACTTTTACTTCTACAAGACCAAGACCAACAATTTTTTAGCTTGTGCATAGGAGTGAGAACATGCAGTATTTAACTTCCTGTTCTTGGCTTATTTTACTTAACATGTCCTCCACTTCCACTTATATTGCTGTGAATGACAAGACTGCATTCCTTTTTATGGCTGAATAATATTCCATTGTGTACATGTGCCATTCATCTGTTGTTAGACACCTAGGTTGATTCCATATTTTGGCTATTGTGAATAGTGCTGCAATAAACATGGTAAAATAGATGTCTCTTCAATATATTGATTTTGTTTCCTTTAGATAAACGCTCAGTAGTGGATTACTGGATCATATAGTAGCTCTAGTTGTAGTTTTTTGGGTTTGTTTTTTGCTTGTTTTTAGAGATAGGATCTCACTCTGTCACCCAAGGCTGGAGAGCAGTGGCATGATCATAGCTCACTGTAGCCTCGACCTCCTGGGCTCAAGCAATCTTCCTGCCTCAGCCTCCTGAGTAGTCAGGATGACAGGTGCACACCACCAGGTCCAGATAATTTTTTTACTTTTTGTAGAGATGGGGTCTTGCTATGTTGCCCAAGCTGGTCTCGAACTCCCGGATTCAAGTGATCCTCCCACCGCAGCCTCCCAAAGTGCCTGGGGTTACAGGCATAAGTCACTGCACCTAGCTATATTTGTAGTTTTCTGAGGAACTTCCATACTGTTCTCCATAGTGGCTTATTAATAGCTTATTGTATTATTAATAGTTTACAGTCCCAACAACAGTATATGTGAGTTCCCTTTTCTTTGCATCCTCTGCAGCATTTTTTTTTTTGTCTTTCTGATAATAGCCATCCTAACTGGGGTGAGAGCCTACCTCATTGTGGTTTTGATTTGTATTTCCCTAATGATTAGGGATGGTGAGCATTTTTTCATATATTTATTGCCCTTTTATCTCTTCTTTTGAGAAATTTCTGTTCAGATCATTTGCTCATTTTTAATCAATTGTTTTTTGGGGGGGTTGCTATTGAAATATTTGAGTTCCTTATATATTCTGGATATTAATCCTCTGTCAGATAAATAGCTAGCAAATATTTTCTCCCATTCTGTAGGTTGTCTTTTCACGCTGTTGATTATTTCCTTTGCTGTACAGAAGCTTTTTAATTTGATATAATCCCATTTGCTTATTTTTCTTTTGTTTCCTGTGCTTTTGAGGTTATTCATAAAGTCTTTTCCCAGACCAATGTCTAAATCATTTCCCTGATCTATATTTTTTCCAGTAGTTTTATAGTTTTGGGTCCTACATTTAGGTCTTTAATCTATCTTGACTTGATTTTTGTATAGGATGAGAGGTAGGGCATCTAGTTTCATTCTTCTGCATATGGATATCCAGTTTTCCCAGCACCATTTTATATAAGGGACTTGAGCATCTGCAGATTTTGATATCCACAGCAGGTCCTGGAACTAATCTCCCGCAGATACAAAGGGACAGCTAAAGTTGTCTCTTAGGATTTCTGCAAGTATTAAAGAGATATCACATGGAAAACACTTGGAACCATGTCTGGCAGGTAGCAAGTACTGAATAAATGCTAACTCTTCATATTGCTGCTGAGATTCAGAATGCTTGAAGTGACCAGGCGCAGTGGCTCATGCCTGGGAGGCTGAGGCAAGAGGGCTGCTTGAGTCCAGGAGTTCAAAAACAGCCTGGGCAAAATAGCAAGACCCTACCTCTTAAAAAAAAAAAAAAAAAAAGCTTGAAGACTGTTGAATGCTGCCTAGTTTGTGGAGTATCAGGTATGTAGAACAGTCCTGGCCCCTGGCCAAAGCTTTGAAACAACTGCTGTAAGATCCCAATTAAATGTTCAGCCTCCTATTGTCTTCTTCCTGTTCCTCATGCACCTACTCAACAAGCAATTCTCAAGCCTGTCCTGCGCCTCTATGGTGACTCTGTGCTTGGAGCTCCAGTGAGCCCACCAGAAGCATGCTATTATCCCTGCCCTCCTGGAACCTACATTCTGAAAGGAAAGCAAACTCATCATCCATGACACTGAGGACAAGGCCAGGCAGCAGGCACCACAGCCAATCTACGAGGACTTAGGAAGGAAGCAGTCTCTGCAGCCTGTTTCTTGTGATCCAGGAAGACCAGAATTCTTCCTCAGCAACTTCCATCTCTCCTTGCCACAGTGTGTCCCAAGCACACAAGTGATGCCATCATTCCCGGCTGGTTCTTCTCTCCCTGTTAAGCCCCACTTGGGCCTTCCCAGACTCCTTGGATCAAAGATTCTTCTAATACTTTCTCTTCCTCTGAATCAAGAGTCTTCTTTTAACCTTTCTTGTTTTGTCTCTGGCTGTCACTCTTTTTCCCCTGTGTATACTACACCTACTTCTCCTCCTAATCTTTTACTGAGCAAATATCTGGAACATTACAAGTAAACAAGTATCTTGTAAGTTTACATTTACATTTCACACACATGAGGCCAAGAGCTCCCTGAGGACAAAGATTGTTACCTACAAAGATTGTAGGTAACTGTGTAGTTCCTACAACACCCGGCTTAGTACTTATCTGTGCCCCAAAGGAATACATACATGAAGAAGTAGGCTTTTATCACAAATTCCTCAGTGTCTACAACAGAAAAAGTCTTTTTAAAATTGACCATTTTGTTCTAACAGTCTCTGATCCCCACTCTTGGTGCCGGCCCAGGGCCAAAGCTAATGGGTGAGGATGGAAATACAAGCACCTTCAACATCTCCTGCACCAAGTTCTTCCTGGTGGGTTTCCCTGGACTTCGAGAGTGGTGGCCCCTTCTGGTCCTGCCTCTTGTCTTCCTCTTTGTGACCATCATCTCTGCCAATGCCCTGGTCATCCACACAGTGGTTGCCCGGCAAAATCTGCATCAGCCTACGTGTATGCTCATCACTGTGCTCCTGGCTGTCAATATTCGTGCTGCCACAGCCGTGATGCCTAAAATGCTGGAGGGCTTTGTATATTATGCTAACCCCATATCGCTGCATGGCCGCCTGGCCTAGGTGTTCTTTATCTACTTCACCCTCCTCCTGGACTACAACTTCCTCTGGCCATGGCCCTGGACTGCTACGTAGCCATCTGCCACCCACTCTGCTATTCTGACCTGATGACCTCCCAGCTGCTGGGACTGCTGGCCATTCTTGCCTTGACACAGAGCCTGGGAGTGACAGTGCCCTTGGTAGTACTAACTGCAAAAGCCCGATTCTGCCGGACAGCAGTGATTCGACACTTCACCTGTGAGTGCATTGCACTGCTGAGCATAGCTTGTGGAGACCTGACCTTCAACAACTGGCTGGGGCTGGCTATGTGTTTGGTCACTGTAATCTCTGATATGGCCCTGCTGGGGACCTCCTACACCCACATCATCTATGCTGCCTTCCGGATCTCTTCTTGGGGAGCCCAAGCCAAGGCCTTACACACGTGTGGCTCCCACCTACTGGTCATCCTCTCCATCTACGTCTCTGGTCTTTCCACTTCCATCACCTTCTGAGTAGCCAAGACTGTGTCCCAGAATGTCCAGAATCTACTCAGTGCCATATACTTGCTGCTTCCAGGAGCCTTGAATCCTGTCATTTATGGGGTGAGGACTAGGGAGATCCAGCAACATGTAGAAAAGATGCTCTGTGAAAAGGAAACAGCCCAGAAGGCTGGGGAGAAGCCAAAGAGGCTGCAGAACATGAGACTGGAAACCGCCAGGGTGAGGGACTTTACTACCTTCGAAAGTTGGGGCTATGATCTCTGAGAAGAGATAAGCAGGCAGTACTCAGGGACAGGCTCAAATTTCCTCAGCAGATTACGGGCTCAACAGCAGGTTCCCTGTTGGTCAACTGTTGCTTGTTAAATTCTTAGAATGCTCTTTGTTTTCACCCCCAGTAATAAAATTGCATTTACCTATTTATCCTTCTTGGTTTATTTTCTCTGTCCTCCTCCCAACTCCTGAGGAAGTCCCAACTAATATCTGGATGTATGGGGCTTCACTAAGGTAGTCTTATAGAGCAAGTCATACAGACCACAACCTGCCCTGTCTGAACAACACCCAGTCTGAAACAAATAAACAGGCGGGCACTTCCCTGAAGCCCAGTCTCTCCCAAACATAGCCTAAGCTTGACATGAAGTTTATTCAGACCTAATACACAGGTCATCCTTGAGGCTTCCAGTCTAATCCAGGTAGCAGGCTGGGTTCTAGAGTCCAGTCAGTCCCAAACACAAGTGAGGTCCTTTCCTGAGATCCCCAAGCTGTACAGGCACATAGGTCAGGTTTACCCTGCGATGTCCAGTCTAGCCCACACAAACAGGTCAGCTCCTGCCCAAGGGTCCCCAGTCTGACACACACCCAGACCAGGTCTTCTTCGGGGTCCCAGTCTGACCCAAAGACCACAGTAGACCCTACCCTGGGAAACCCAAACTCAGCCAAACACACAGGTCACATTTTGAGGCCACCGTGCTGACCTCAGGCACACAGACAGGGTCCTGCACTGGAGCCCAAGTCTGACCCAAAAACCAGACTAAGCCCTGATCTGGGATCCAGATCAAAGTCGGAACCAAACCCATAGTCAGGCCATTCTTCCTATGACAGCCAATGTGATCTACCTAAAAGCTAACCCCTGCTTAAAAGACTTCCACAGCTCTGGCTGGGCAGTGGCTCACACCTGTAATCCCAGCACTTTGGGAGGCCGAGGCAGGCAGATCACTTGAGGCTAGGAGTTTGAGACCAGCCTGGCCAACATGGCGAAAGCCCGTCTCTACCAAAAATACAAAAATTAACCCGGTGTGGTGGCGTGCGCCTGTAGTCCCAGCTACTTGGAAGGTTGAGGCAGGAGAATCGCTTGAACCCAGGAGGCAGAGGCTGCAGTGAGCCAAGATCGAGCCACTGCACTCCAGCCTGGGCAACAGAGTGAAACTCTGTCTCAAAATTAAAACAAAAACAAAAACAAAAACAAACAAAACAAAAAAAACGTCCACAGCTCCTTATCATCTACAGAAGGGAAAAGTGTTCAGGTAATGTCCCAGAAAGGGGGTGCGGTGCCTGCACACTGCACAGAATTATCTACTAAACAAGCCTGAGTTTTTTCTTCCTGTCAGTTGATCATAGGGAACTCCCCATGAGGCCATAGGTGCAGGCTGGGGAAGAAAAGGCAGTGTAGCAGAACTGGAGACCTCGGGATTTTGGGTCACTTCTTCATGGTCACTTGTGCCTTCAGGGTTTGCTTGAGCCTGATTTTGTATATATCACTTCCATTTGATGATGGACTGCTACTGTGCATGCTCAATTTTATGGCAAGTTGAGTCGGACAACAGCCAACTCAAGTCACATGGTAATTTGGTGGCCCATGGTTAAGTGTTCAGTCTCTACTAAGGCAAACCAAAAGCTATTTCTCAAAAGGAGAGTAGTTACCCACAGGGGATGATGGCAGGGCTTCGGTCCAAAATCCTAAGGGCCTGTCCTGTGATTCACTTACAGGGGTCTGCCAAAGCCTCCAATGAGCATCTCTATCTGCCACTGCCACTTCAAGCACCACTGGATCTGATGGATCAGATGGCCCAAGTAGCAGAGAAACTTCCCTGGCAGCCTGGACCTGTGGCAGTGCCTTGTGTAGTTCTGGGCCCCAGAACTAGCAGCTTTTGGTAAACAGGATGGAGTAGCATGCCCCAGTGTGCTGCTCCAAATGAAACCTAAATTCAATGGGAGTAATTAGATTTCAGAGTGGCACGTGGAGGCACTCAGTTGCCATAACCAAGCTGGAAATGGTTACCATGATTTTTTACCTCCAAGACTCAAAGAGGTACACTAAGTATCATGCCTCTTTCTTGCTTGTAGGAGTCGTCAGATGCAACAATTTATCCTTAACCTTAGAAAGGGTATCTCGACATGCCTCACACTAGATGCCTAGAAATTGTCCTGTGTAGAAGGTGGCCCTGAATTTTAGTGAGATTTCCCACCTTCTGACATGCCAGTATTCTACCAATGAGTCTAGAGAAGTCACTACTTCTTGCTCATAGGTCCAATCGATATAATGTCACCAACGTATTGGACCAGAGTGGTATCTTGTGGAACAGAAAGCTGATCAAAATCCTGTAAACTAAACTATGATATATGGTTGGAGAGTTTATATACTCATGAGGCAGGATGGTGAAGGTGTATTGCTGGCCTTGCCGGCTGAAAACAAACTTGTTTCTGGTGGTCCTTACTAAGGGGTATGGAGAAAAAAGCATTTGCCAGATCAATAGCTGCATACCAGGTATGAGGATATGTGTTAACTTGCTCAAGCAATAGAACTGCCTCTGGTTGGAGTAATCACCCAGTTAAGCTTATGATAATCCATTGTCTTTCTCCAAAATTCGTATTTTCTGCAAAGGCCAAACAGGTGAGTTGAATGGGGATGGGGTGGAAATTATTTCTGCATACTTTAAGACCTTGATGGTGGCACTAATTTCTGGCATCCTTCCAGGAATGCAATATTGATTTTGGTTTATCATTTTCCTAGGTAGAGGCAGTTCTAGTGGCTTCCACTTGAACTTTCCCACTATAATAGCCCTCACTCAAGTCAGAGAACCAATATGGTTGGTTCTCTGTGTCAGTTGCTGAGTGTATCTATTCCAATTACGCATTCCCGAACTGCATAGTGAAATAACCACAGGATGGTTTCAGGGATCCCTGGAGCCACTGTGAGACAGACTGGAGGTAAAACTCCATTGATTACCTGACCTCCATAAGCTCCTACTCCAGCTGGAAGATCACAGTGACGTTTTAGTTTCCTGGAACTAGTGTCAGTTTAGAGTCTGTGTCCAGTAATCCTCAAAAGGTTTGATTATCTCTTTTTCCCAATGTAGTTACTAGTAAAAGGCCATAGATCCTTCTGGGAAAGGCTGGGAGAAAGATTTAACAGTATATATCTTTGATAGTGCAGTGGGATCCTTCCTCAAGGGGACTTGGTCTCCCTTTCATTTGAGGGGTTCTGGGTCTGTAAACTAGTTCAAATCTGGGAATTGATTGAGGGGCCATAATTCTGGTTTTATTATTCAAATTAGACTTGTTCACTTAACCGGAAACTCTTCTGCTTATATAGATCAAGTTAGAATTTAATAGATTCCCCATGTATTTCACCTCGAGGAACTCCATGATCATCTAGCCAAACCGTATCTCTGTGAGTCAGACTTTTTTTTTTTTTTGAGACAGAGTCTCGCTCTGTCACCTAGGCTAGAGTGCAGTGGCACAATCTCAGCTCACTGCAGCCTCTGCCGCCTGGGTTCAAGCAATTCTCCTGCCTCAGCCTCCCAAGTAGCTGGGATTACAGATGCACGCCACAACACCAGGTTAATTTTTGTATTTTTGGTAGAGACAGGCTTTCACCATGTTGGCCAGGCTGATTTCAAACTCCTGACCTCAAGTGATCTGCCTGCCTCGGCCTCCCAAAGTGCTGGGATTACAGGTGTGAGCCACTGCATCTGGCCAAGTCAGACGATTCTGATTGCTGCTTTAACTCTGCTGTCCATTATAGTAACTATTCCCACCCTGCCTTTGGCAATTAAGTGTCTCTACCTGGCACTATGGGATCCAATTACTCCCACTGAATTTAGGTTTCCCAATTCAGTGGCAGTGTAATTTCAGACCTACAGAAAAGAGCAATCACAGAGGTCTTTAAGGATGCTGAGGCTTCCCTCACAAATTTACTTCTCACAGTCATGGTGAAGTGTCCTCCAGACTTCCCTCAGGGTGGGAGAGCTGGTCTTTTAAATGATAAATCCACTCTAACATTTCGATCTCCCTAAGCCTTTGAACTACTTCCTCTATAGTATACCAAGGCAGGACTGGCATTTCAACTTCACTTAGGGCAAATTTTGGTCCATGTTTCAACCAACCAACCAACCAGCTAGAGCAGGCACTTTTCGATCCCCCATGCTGCAATATTAAATCCAAAACCTCTGCTTTGTGGGCCCCTATCAATAAACTGAGCCTGATCCAACTTTATGTTCCTTCCACCATTATCACATATCCTTAATATCCATTTCCACACATATTCTCAAATGGGAAGAATCATGTAGTTCTTTTTGAGTGTAGCACACCTCCTCATAGATCTCACTTTGTACCTCACCTTTGGGGCCTGCTGGGACTTGAATCTAGTTATAGGTTTAGAACCAAAGAGGGGTGGTCAGGGTGGGTCCTGAGGACAATCAGCAGTGTCCTGCAAGGCAATTATCTCAGAGGAAGACATCAGTTTCCTCAGGGAAAGCAGTTAATGTCAATTAGGTATAATCAGTTTGGGTAAATCAGTTAACTCTGCTTCTACTGGCAATGAAGACTCATCAGAATTTAGAGATTCAATATTACCAGCTTCAACAGGATCTTCCCATATGTCACCATTCCAATTTTCAGGATCCCATTCATTCCTAGTCAATATCCTCACTTTAATAGCAAAGGCACACTGCAAGGCTCAGAATTCAATTTGCATTGTAACTCAGGCACTTGCAAAATGAGATTCTGGGTTTGGTTTCAGAAATCTCAACTCTGCAGCTACAGAACGTAAAGTTTCTTTCAAAGCAGAAACAGAAATGTTCAGGTCTAGTACTTAAGTTGAGAATTCAAATCACTAAAGTCATCCTTTTCTTTCTCCAATTTGTCCAGTGCAATTAAAAGCAACCAGCCAATCTTATTAGTGTGACAAAAAGTTTGAAGGTATCATATATCTCTGTCAAAACAATAACTGAACATGCACTAAAGGAACAAAGACTTTGGCAATCATACGTGACAAAGAATAGTCTGAAAAATTAGTTTGGGCTGGACGTGGTGGTTCACACTTGTAATGCCAGCACTTTGGGGGGCTGAGGTGGGTGGATCAGTTGAGGCCAGGAGTTCAACACCAGCCTGGCCAACATGGCAAAACCACATTTCTACTAACACCACAAAATATAGCCAGGCATGGTGGCACACACCTGTAATCTCAGCTACTCAGGGGGCTAAGGCATGAGAATTGCCTGAATCCAGAGGCAGAGCATGCGGTGAGCCAAGATCACACCACTGCATTCTGGCCTGGGGTGACACAGCGAGACACTGTCTTAAAAAAAAAAAAAGTTTGGAAATGTCTCAAATGGAGTACTACAGTCTTCAACATAGCAATGAAACAAAAAACAGTAAGCTCTGGAGTAGGAGAATCTGATTACTGGAGTTACCTCATTATAACAGTCAAATGCCCATTTTTCAACAACAAAAATTACAAGGCATACAAAAAAAAAAAAAAAAGGAAAGAAAGAAAACATGGCCCATTCAAAGTATCAAGAAAAAATGATAGACACCATCCCTGAGAAAGCCAAGACATTGGATTTACTCAACAAAGACATTAAAACAACTGTATTAAATATACTCAAAGAGCTAAAGGAAAAGATGAACAAATAAGTAAAGGAAATCAGAAAAACAATGATTAACAAAATCAGAATATCAACAGAGACAAAAATTACAAAGAAGAATAAAAATTCTGGAGTTGAAAAGAATAACTGAAATGAAAAATTCACTAGAGGAGCACAACAATAGATTTGAGCAGGAAGAAGAGAGAATCAGAAAACTGGAAGATAGGACACTGAAATTATCAAGTCTTGGAATAGAAAGAAAAAATAAAGAAAAGTAAACAACGCCTAACAGACCTATGGAACACCGTCAAGTCAACCAATAGATGCACTATGGAAGTCCCTATAAGGAAAGAGAAAGGGGAAGAAAAATTATCTAAATAATGGCCAAAAACAACCCAAATTTAACAAAAGATGTGAATCTACAAATCCAATAAGCCCAGGAAGTCCCAAGTAGGATAAACTCAGAGACCCACACCAAGACACATTATAATGAAATTGTCAAGTCATTAAGATGGCTATTATAAAAAATATGAGCTGGGTGTGGTGGCTTACACCTGTAACCCCAAGACTTTGAGAGGCTGAGATGGGAGGATTGTTTGAGCCCAGGAGATCAAGGCTGCAGTGAGCTATGATGGTACCATTGCACTCCAGCCTGGGCAACAGAGCAAGACCGTCTCTCAAAAAACAAAACAAAACAAAAATATGAAAAATAAGTGTTGATGAAGATGTGGAGAAAATGGTACCCTATTGTATTGCTGGTGGAAATGTAAAATAATGTAGCTGCTGTGGAAAAGTTTGGTAGTTCCTCAAAAAGTTAAAGATAGAATCACCATAATTTCCAGCAACTTCACCCCTGTATACATACCCAAACAAATTGAAAGCAGGAACTCAATAGATACTTTTAAGCCAATGTTCACAAGAGCATTAGTCAAAATTCCTTAAAAGGAGGAAAGAACCCAAATGTCCATCAAAAGATAAGTGGATTAACAAAGTGTGGTAGTCCAGGTGTGGAGGCTCAGGCATTTAATCCCAGCACTTTAGGAGGCCGAGGCAAACAGATCCCTTGAGGCCACAAGTTTGAGACCAGCCTGGCCAACATGGTGAAATCTGGTCTCTACCAAAAATACAAAAATTAGCCAGGCATGGTGGCGCGCACCTATAGTCCCAGCTACTTGGAAAGCTGAGACACAAGAATCACTTATCACTTGAACCCAGGAGGTAGACGTTGTGGTGAGCCAAGCCAAGATCGTACAGCCTGGGTGACAGAGCAAGACTCTGTCTCAAAAAAAAAAAAAAAAAAGTGTGGTATACATAAAGAATGAAATTTGGATACATGCTATAACATGGATAAACTGTGAAAACATTATGCTAAATGAAATAAGCCAGACATGTATTCCATTTATACGAGGTACCTAGAAGAGGCATATTCATAGAGACAGAAAGTAGAATAGAGGTTACCAGGGACTTGGAGGGGAAAGGGGGAGTTAATGTTCTTATTGATACAGAGTTTCTGTTTGGGATGATGAAGTTCTGGAAACAAATAGTGGTGATGGTAGTATAACACTATGAATGTGCTTAAGCCACTGAATTTTATGTTTAAACATGGGTAAAATGGTAAATTGTATATTAGGTATATTTTACTACAGAAAGGAAAAGAAAAGAAAAAGGCATATAATTTCCTCCCTGAATTCTCAAAGAACAGAAAATGTGTTTTTCAAATTTGACTTTTATATGAAAGTAAATGACAAAATTAATCTCATACAATCACTTAGAAATGTTTATCTTTATTTCAGAATAACCTATAGGACCATATCCAGATAAAGGTCCTATCAGTACTTCTCATGAGTTATCACTCAGTTTTGCTTCTAGAGACCCACCAGTCAAAGCAGTAAAACTAAATCTCCTTAACAAAACTGAAGTCTTCAGAAAAGCAGTGCTAAAGGGGTGATGAAACCTTACTTAACCACTCCCTGTATGCAAGATGACTTATTTTGCATTCCTAAAACTTCTACTTTGATTCTCAATATATCCGTTTTTTTTTTCTTTTTTTCAAAAGCATTATTTTGGTGAAAATCCCAATATATGAGTTTAAAAAAAAAATCATTATCATCATTAACAGTACTTTAAATCAATTACTCCTTTTGCCTGCAACAGGGTCCAGCAAAGCCTTACCACCTCAAGCAAACCCACTATACCTATCTATGCTCAAGAAGTAGTTTGGCTACTGAAGACATGCTGGTCTCTTCCAAGTCTTTCCTCAGGATCCACACATCAGACATTCATCTCTATTCTCCAAAGAGCACACCATGGCTGCTGTGTTCCTCTCCTTCTCTTCTTCCTCTTTTGATACCTTTTCTTTATCTTTTAGCTTCTCCTTATTTAGAGTGAACTGGATTGGATTAGCCGCTGGTCTTGTCCTTAAATAATACATCCCAGTCTTCAAACCCTACAAGGAAAGTAAAGACAATTATTAGGAGAAACTCTGTGAGAATACTAGACATTCCACACCAATATTTAAAATACATTCCTGTCCAGCCGCCCCGTCCAGGAGGGAGGTGGGGGGGTCAGCCCCCGCCCGGCCAGCCACCCCGTCCGGGAGGTGAGGGGCGCCTCTGCCCGGCCGCCCCTACTGGGAAGTGAGGAGGTCCTCTGCCCGGCCAGCCGCCCCATCTGGGAAGGAGGTGGGGGGGTCAGCCCCCCGCCCGGCCAGCTGCCCCATCCGGGAGGGAGGTGGGGGTGTGAGCCCCCCGCCCGGCCAGCCGCCCCGTCCGGGAGGGAGGTTGGGGAGTCAGCCCCCAGCCCGGCCAGCCGCCCCGTCCGGGAGGGAGGTTGGGGAGTCAGCCCCCAGCCCGGCCAGCCGCCCCGTCCGGGAGGTGAGGGGCGCCTCTGCCCGGCCGCCCCTACTGGGAAGTGAGGAGCCCCTCTGCCCGGCCAGCCGCCCCGTCCGGGAGGGAGGTGGGGGGGTCAGCCCCCCGCCCGGCCAGCCGCCCCGTCCGGGAGGGAGGTGGGGGGAGTCAGCCCCCAGCCCGGCCAGCCGCCCCGTCCGGGAGGTGAGGGGCCCCTCTGCCCGGCCGCCCCTACTGGGAAGTGAGGAGCCCCTCTGCCCGGCCAGCCGCCCCGTCCGGGAGGGAGGTGGGGGGTTCAGCCCCCGGCCCGGCCAGCCGCCCCGTCCGGGAGGGAGGTGGGGGTGTGAGCCCCCCGCCCGGCCAGCCGCCCCGTCCGGGAGGGAGGTGGGGGGTCAGCCCCCCGCCTGGCCAGCCGCCCCGTCTGGGAGGTGAGGGGCGCCTCTGCCCCGCCGCCCCGTCTGGGATGTGAGGAGCACCTCTGCCTGGCCACCACCCCGTCTGGGAGGTGTGCCCAACAGCTCATTGAGAACGGGCCAAGATGACAATGGCGGCTTTGTGGAATAGAAGGGCGGGAAAGGTGGGGAAAAGATTGAGAAATCGGATGGTTGCCGTGTCTGTGTAGAAAGAAGTAGACACGGGAGACTTTTCATTTTGTTCTGTACTAAGAAAAATTCTTCTGCCTTGTGAGCCTGTTGATCAGTGACCTTACCCCCAACCCTGTGCTCTCTGAAACATGTGCTGTGTCCACTCAGGGTTAAATGGATTAAGGGCGGTGCAAGATGTGCTTTGTTAAACAGATGCTTGAAGGCAGCATGCTCGTTAAGAGTCATCACCACTCCCTAATCTCAAGTACCCAGGGACACAAACACTGCGGAAGGCCGCAGGGTCCTCTGCCTAGGAAAACCAGAGACCTTTGTTCACTTGTTTATCTGCTGACCCTCCCTCTACTATTGTCCTATGACCCTGCCAAATCCCCCTCTGTGAGAAACACCCAAGAATGATCAATAAAAATAAATAAATAAATAAATAAAAAGAAAAAACAAACAAACAAACAAACAAAAAAATACATTCCTGGCTGGGCGCTGTGGCTCATGCCTGTAATCCCCCAAGAGGGGTAGTACATGCCTATAAATTTCAGCTACTCAGGAGGCTGAGGTTGCAGTGAGCCAAGACTGTATCATTGCACTCCAGCCTGGGCAACAGAGCGAGACTCCGTCTAAAAAAGTATAAAATAAAATAAAACAATAATATTAAAATAAAATAAAATACATTCCTGGCCAGGCACAGTGGCTCACACCTGTAATTCGAGCACTTTGGGAGGCCGAGGCAGGTGAATTGCTTGAGGCCAGGAGTTTGAGACCAGCCTGGCCAACATGGCAAAACCCCATCTCTAATAAAAATACAAAAATTAGCCAGGTGTGTTGGCACACACCTGTGATCCTAGCTACTCAGGAGGCTAAGACATGAGAATCACTTGAACCCAGGACAGAGGTTGCAGTGAGCCAAGATCATGCCGCTGTACTCCAGCCGGGGCAACAGAGTGAGTCTCTGTCTCAAAATACATACATACATACATAAAATAAAATACATTCCCATGAACCAGATCAAACTTTTTTTAAACTTGGAATTCTATCTCCTCTAGGAGTACTCTCAAAAATGCTTTGTGAGTCAGACAGAAATATCCTGTTCTTTTCACTCCTAAAACAGGCTTATCTCTTTGGAAAGGTCAAACATTTTTATTCTTTTGTCTTTGTTTTTATGCATATGACTTCCAGGTTTGCCCAAGACAATATGTCTGCCTTAGGTTATAACTGTTTAGAGAGCTAGACTGTGTCTCTGTGTAACAACAGACTATAAGACTTCAAAGATAAAGATCATCATCTTCTATTCAGTATCCTCAGTCCTGGCACATACTAGATGTTCAATAAATGTTAAATTAAAAAACAAATTTATAATTCTACTTAAATACCCAATACATTATCAGGGAATAAGAACATAATCCAAAATCACCAGACTTTACAGCTGGCAACGACTAGCTAAGTAAGCTGGCTTTCACTTTATAAAGTGAGAAAACAATGGATGTTTTTGAATAGCGGGTTGACGTGTGCAAAGTTTTATCTGAGGAATGGTGGTAATGCACACAAAATGGCTGGGAGCAGAGATCCTAGAAGCAATAAGGTCAGTTTAGAATAACAGCAGCAGAAAAGGAAGGAAGATATTTAAGAAATAATACAAAGGAACAATCAACACAACTTGGTAATTGTACGGACAGTAAAGGAAGGAAAGCATCACAGGTAACTACAAGGTTTCAAACCTAAGAAGGAAATAAACCTAACAGAAACAAGAAAATCCAAGGCAAGACCCTGTTCTGGTACAAAAACCATGGGTTGGTTTTAACGTTCTGGATTTGAACTTAAAGAACTTCTAGGTGATAATATTTAATAGGTGGCTAAAACATAAAATCATTCCAATGCCAAAATATCTCAAGCTGGCAATTAAGTACTCCTTGATATTCTCTACCAACCTGCTTCCAGCCGTAGAAGTGCATACTAGTGAGTTTGCCATAGTTAGGCTCAGCAATGTGGATGTTCAAAGATTGGCTTTGATCAATGAAAGCACCTCTCTCAGCTGCCATCTTGAGAACAGTTTTCTGAGAGATTTCCCACACAGTTTTATAAAGTTGCTTCAGGTCATCAGGAATTTCTGGTATGCTCTAAAGAAGGAAAACCCAATGTTTACTTTACTCCAGTTAAAGAAAGCAGTGTATGATTAATAGAATAGTGACACAAGCTTTGATCTTCATTTTACTTCCTGCCAGATCTGACCTTACCATTCAGTATCATATGATATGATCCTTATCAAGTTTACCAAGACTATTTAGAAAGTTGAACAAAACCCCCATCTAACCAACCAAATATCAATCTGGTGATAGTAATTTCAGCATCCCTTTTTTGTTGGTCATAAACCAATTTTTTAATTTTTTAATTGATTTATGACCCAAACATTCATTCTTCTAGAGGCACTTAAAGAAAGGAAAAGTCAGAGCTAAGCAGCAATAAATGACCCTTGAGTTTTGCAGAAAACACAAAAAATAAGGGCTGTAATTCACAGGGACCAAGGGAAGCAATGAGATAAAACCCTTTAAATAAGCTAGGATTTCAAACTCCCTTTGGAATCCAAAATCAGGTTTTCTTAGGCCTAGGGTTAACTTTCATTAAAACACACAGACTGGCTAATGCTACAGTTTCTGTCATTAAATATGGAACTGTTATAGGACTCTTCATCTGTGTTGCTAAGCAGACCAACATTTAGCCAGACACCTCTATCTGCAAATAAATGCCTCTTGACTCTTAGTTGCAAATATTTACACGATTTGTGACTCTGTCTTTTGGACTATCAGTCGTCAACCATGATTTTTAATTAAGCTTGACTCTCTTAATTTCAGTCTTTCTATCTATGATCCCCCAAATTTTGATATACTTTGGAATCACCAAAAGAATCTTTAAAAATTATTGATGTCTGAGGCCAGGCACGGTGGCTCATGCATGTAATCCTAGCACCCTGGGAGGCCAAGGCAGGCGGATCACCTGAGGTCAGGAGCCTGGCCAATATGGTGAAACCCTGTCTCTACTAAAAATACAAAAAACAGCCGGGCGTGGTGGCAGGCACCTGTAATCCCAGCTACTTGGGAGGCTGAGGCAGGAGAATCGCTTGAACCTAGGAGGCAGAGGTTGCAGTGAGCCATGATTCCACCACTGCACTCCAGCCTGGGCGACAGAGACTTCGTCTCAAAAAAAAAAAAAAAAAAAAAAAATTGATGTCTGGTTCCTGTTCCTAGACATTTAATTGGTAAGGAATGCAACCTAAGCTTCAGGATTTTAAAAGCTCCCCAGTTGATTCTAAGATGCAGAAAAATTGAGAACTACTTTTTTATATTATTGCATAAAAACAAGATGGTAAGGGTTATGTAAAGATGTGTACAATCCTAGCACAACAATGCAGAGGTGAACAGAGCTACACAAGCAAAACCTAGATGAACACAATGAAGTCATTCTCTCCATTGTCTAGCATGAGTGAGGAGGTACCACAATGTCCAACTCAGCCCCTGCAGAGCACACTTCATTTTCATTCTATACCTGAATAGAGCCATTGCATGCAATAATCTGGTTTTTCATCTCTTCATGCCATAGGCCCCGCTCGGTAAGATCTTTCAATAAGTGAGGATTTACAATCTGAATGGAAAAGCAGAAAATGTATGAAGAAATAAATAACAGTGACTGCTTAGAAAAGACTACAGCTTTGAAGCTTAAACTAAAATCACTTAAGAGTTATTTAATGCTAGATTGCTTGGTAAATTCTATCTTTTATAAAGACGAGACATCAATGCCACCACACGAAAGCTATATTCCTTTAAGATCTTGACATCTGTTATTCAAGAAACAATATAATTAGCCAGGCATGGTGGCGCAGCATGCCTGTAATCCCAGCTACTCAGGAGGCTGAGGCATGAGAATTGCTTGAACCCAGGAGGCAGAGGCTGCAGTGAGCCAAGATCATGCCACTGCACTCCAGCCTGGGTGACAAAGTGAGACATTTTCTCAAAAACAGTATCGACAACAAAAACATTGTGGTGTGGTAATCGTTATATAATATATACACATATCTAATCATTACACTGTATACCTTGGTTTTATACACAATTTTTATTGTCAATTATACCTTAATAAAGCTGAAAAAATATTTTCATTAAAAAAGAAACATATGGCGTTTGCAAAAGTGAAAAGAATAGCGCCTAAGATGGGTAAATCTATAAATACTTAGGTTAAAAAAATTGGAAACGTATCCTTCTCGAACTTTACAGAACTTTACTTCAAGATATCTGGAAATTCACAAATAGTCTTTTAA
This sequence comes from Homo sapiens, assembly GCF_000001405.40. Classification (NCBI taxonomy): domain Eukaryota; kingdom Metazoa; phylum Chordata; class Mammalia; order Primates; family Hominidae; genus Homo; species Homo sapiens. The sequence goes on along the minus strand of NC_000011.10, from coordinate 4,132,889 downwards.
ATTGAGGTTCTCAACCCTAGCTACACATAAGAATTACCTGGGAACCTTAAAAACAAAGAAAAAACCACTGGTCTCACCCACCATAAATTCTAATTGGTAACCAAGTCTGAGAACCACTGCCTTAAATGATACTTCTTTATACATTTTGAGTATCCTAACTTAAGCATCTGGGAGAAGTTATAGAATATATCACTATGATTACATAATGGTTAAACATCATGTTTAACTATCAACAACTTACTTTCATACTCGACCCTCATTCACTCATTCTTTCAACAGATTATTTATTAAATGCCTATTGTGCTGAAATATTAATAACAAATAATAATATTAGAGATGAAGATGACTGTCTTTATCAAAGTTTGCACCCAAACTAAGAAAATGGGCAAATTAAACATGAGTGAGCATTTACTCCCAACATCAGGCTTTTGAAAGATCTCCCTGTAAGGCTGGTTGTGAACTGCTCACCTGAAATTCTCCTGACAAGACTCTGCGAGTATAGATGTTGCTGGTGTAAGGTTCAATGGACTCATTATTCCCCAGGATCTGAGCAGTGGAAGCTGTAGGCATCGGGGCAATAAGTAAACTGTTTCTTATACCATACCTAAAGAAAAGGAGATTATCAGGTACTAGTCCCAAAGCTACAATCTGCCAGGAAAGCAGCTACTTTAAGTCACTGTAGTAAATGTAGATAAATGTAGTAAATGTAAATGTAACATCGTACATGCATTGAACTCACACGTTGACTTTCAAATTAAACTCCTACAGGGAGGCAATTCCACAGTATGGGTGCTATTATAGCCCACTCTCCTCTTAAATGCCTGACTCCTAAACTGAATTAGTACAATTTTTATTGTTGGCTATCCTTATCATACCATGATTTATGCCACTTGGACTGTGGCACTCAGGAATCATAACACTTGATACACTATCTTGCGTAGGGAAATATTCAAATCACTGTTGAAGCGCTCCCCACCTGTATTAGGTTACACTCATCCAACCCTCACTCTTTTCCAAGTGCCTATAAAATCATTGTGCTAGGCCCCTTCTGGAAAAATAATGATGAGAAAGTGTTCAGAATCAGAGAAATATCACCACAATTCTCCATTATCCTGTAAAGAGGAAGAAATTATGCTCAAAGTATATTCTTCAATTATAAGTTCCTGCAAGAAGGTTAACATCTTTTGACTAATAAGAGAAAATACACTATCTGACACACTGAGAAATCTCCCAACTGCCCCTGGCTCACCTTCAAAGCTCAGCCTAATTGATAGCAATTTTAAAACATCTTTCCTCATCAGGCAGGCACAAATACAAATGTCAAATACAAATATCTACTCTGCAAACATTTTCTCTGACCTGTACCTTTCCGTATACCTTAACTACTTGTTTTCTTAGTCTCAAGTTTTTAAAACACAAAGAGCCTGTCTTTCCTACATTCTATACCTATGGATTCATACAGTGCTTAGCATACAGCCTCATATCCTGACGGAGTCTGTACAACTGGATATAGTTTGGCTGTGTCCCCACCCAAATCTCATCTTGAACTGTAGTTCCCATAATCCCCACGTTACGGGAGGGACCTGGCGGGAGGTAATTTAATCACAGAGGAGGTTACCCTCATGCTGTTCTCATGAGATAGTGAGTTCTCACAAGATCTGGTTTTATAAGGGGCTTTTCTCCCTTTACTCAGCACTTTGCTTGCCGCCGTATTAAAGAAGGACCTGTTTGCCTCCCCTTCTGCTATGATTGTAAGTTTCCTGAGGCCTCCCCAACCCTGCGGAACTGTGAGTCAATTAAACCTCTTTCCTTTTTAAATTACCCAGTCTCAGGCAGTTCTTTATAACTGTGTGAGAATCGACTAATACAACTGGGTTCTCTACTTTTTAGTTATTATTATTTTTTTATTTACTTTTTTTGGGGGGTGGTTCTCCACCTTACTCTGTCACTTTGTAGTGAGGTATCAAGCAAACCACCAACTATCTTCATGTCTTTACTTCCTCATCTGTAAAATAGCAACATCATCTGTCTACAGACAGGTAAATGTTGTGAAAAGTCCTACATATATGATATATTCAAACTATGGAATTGTCTATAATAATTAAAAACATTAGGTAGACCTACAGGTACTAAAAGAGAAAGAGCTCCAAAATAAATCACTAAATAACAAGTCTCAGAATACATCAAGTCTTTTTTTTGAGACAGAGTCACAGTTACCTAGGCTGGAGTACAGTGGCATGATCTCGGCTCCCTGTAATCTCCACCTCCTAGGTTCAAGTGATTCTCATGTCTCAGCCTCCCAAGTAGCTGGGATTACAGGCATGCACCACCACGCCCAGCTAATTTTTGTATTTTTAGTAGAGACTAAGTTTCGCCATGTTGCCCAAGCTGGTCTTGAACTCCTGACCTCAAGTGATCCACCCACCTCAGCCTCTCAAAGTGCTGGGATTACAGACGTGAGTCATGGTGCCCAGCCCAGAATACATCAAGTTTGATCACATTTATATGACAAAACCGTGTATGTGTACCTATCTGCAAATGTACTGAAAAAGATCTAGAAAAATACACACCATTAACAAGTCTTATCTCTGGGAAAAAGAATAAGTTACTTTTTTGGTTTGTTTTCTGAGACAAATGGTTGGCAGAAGTATGAAGAAGGGCTTTTACTTTCTATTTTATTTCTGTATTTGAGCTTTATTAATAATAAATTTGTGTTCATATACTAATTTTGAAATTAGAAAAAAAGTCATGTATATAAAAAACTAAGCCATAGTATTTTGAGGGGAAAAAAAAAAAAAAAAAATATATATATATATATATATAAATACAGTACAGGTCCATTTTCTTAAAAGTTGAATTTCCATGTAAATACACATGTATGTGTACTCTTGGAAGAAAACCTAAAGGATGACAGACACTAAGATGCACACAGGTTTTCTGGGGGAGGCAGTATTAGTATAATTTTCATTTTCTCTTTCCAAATCTATGTTTTCCTAAATTTTCTAACATGTATTATTTGAGTAGGAAAACAATTTTAATTTAACAATTTTAAGGCAAACGGTTATTTTTTTTAAAGAGCATTTTAAAGCTACTGCTTCATTCTCCAAATATTAATCACTTTGCATATGCATTAACCCATAAATGACAAAGTCATCACGATAGAAAACAAAAACAATTTGCTTTGTTATTCACTCTGCAAAACATTCTGTCTGCCTTCGAATCCCTTATGCTTATTAGTTTGAAAGGCCTACAAAAACTCAATTTAAAAATTTTTTTTTCATATAGTCTAAACACATTACCCTCCAAAAACTCTTCCAAAATCCATTATTCCTATGACAATCAATTCAAACAAAAGCCATTTATATGCCCGATGTAACTAAATTGGGAAATAAATAAGAATGAAAAACATTTAAAAAAAAAAATCATAGTTGGAAAAAAGCCTTAATGAGAAAGAAAATTACCTAATCTAGGTGTGTTAAGTCCCTAAAATAAGATCAACTAATAATAGTAATTCCTACCAGGTACTGAAATGCTTTCATTGTGCCAAGCAACTTCCAGGTTACTATATATATTATCTTACGAAGTTTTTTCCCAAAATAGTTTTGTGAGATAGGCCATTTTAGCCCCATTTGTAATAAATGAGTTTAAGAAGTTAAAATGACATATCTAACTTCTGAAGATCCAGAAGGTGAACCTAAACCCTTCTGCCTTCAAAGCTACTTTACATCTTTTCACTTACTTTGCAATCTTCTCCTTGAGAACCTTCCAGTCCCATAGGTCTGTAGGAGTAACATTCCACATATCATACTGAAGAATCTAAGGAATACACAACTCAAATTTATTCTACAGCAAGTTAAAACTATGACCAAAAAAAAAAAAAACCCACAAATGACTAGCTGCCATGTCCCCACATCCCAACAAATGCTGTCTTCTAATCAACCTCTATGAGGAATACAAGCTCCAGAGATTTTCCTGGACAAAATTCCATGTAGTCATATTGATCAGAAGCAGGCTAAGAAAACTGATTATCCCATGTCATATCTACAAACCAGAAAACTCTAACATTCATAAAAGGGTGTGGCTGACACATTCTCTTTTTTTAACACTAAAAATGTTACTTTCTTCAGTGCCTTCATCTGTCCCTTGATCTGTTTACTTAGCTAAAAACACCTATTTTCTAATAACCACACATTAGATTTTCTAATATCAGCAGGAATGTCAGAAATGAAATTAACATTTTATATAGTAAAGAATCATAGTACTGATAATAAAGGCAGTGGGAAAGGCAGAATTCTAAGACAGCTTCCCAGATTCCCACACCTTGGTGCACAGGCTATTTATAATCTCCACTTGAGTATGGACATGACTTGAGAATAGGATGCATGTCACTCCAGCGATTATGGCAAAGGTGAAAGGTTTCTGCAGATGTAATTAAGGTTGCAAATCAGCCGATTCTGAGTTAAATAAAAGGAAGATTACGCCAGGTGCAGTGATTCATGCCTGTAATCCCAGCACTTTGGGAGGCCAAGGCAGGCGGATCACTTGAGGTCACAAGTTCAAGACCAGCCTGGCCAACATGGCAAAACCCCATCTCTACTAACTCGGGAGACTTGAGGCAGCAGAACTGCTTCAACCTGAGAAGCAGAGGTTGCAGTGATCTAAGATCACACCACACACTCCAGCCTGGGTAACAAAGTGAGACTCTGTCTCAAAAAAAAAAAAAAAAAAGCGGGACAGGGGGGTGGTGAGGACATTATCCTATGTGGACCTAACTTATCAGGTGAAAACCCTCAAAAGAGACTAGACTGTGCCCCTTTTGAAACGAGAGATGGTCTCTCCCACTGGCCTTAAAGAAGCAAGATGCCATGAGTCCTTGAAATATATTCTGCCAACAACCAGGTAAGCTTGGAAGAGAACTCTGTGTCTCAGACGAGATCACAGCCCTTACCAACATCTTGAACACAGACCCAGAAAAGAAGGCCCAGCTAAGCTAAGTCTGGACTCCTGACCTGTGGAAACTGTGAGATAACGAATGCCATGTTTTAACCCACAGAAAACTAACATTGGCAGCATCCCTCTTACATTATTTTAGCAATGACTAGTTCTAAATAAGAGATTAAAACAGAGTATCCTTTTTACTCCAGAGGACAAAGGTATTTAAGTTTCCTATGGCTGGTGCAACAAATTACTAAAAACTTGGTAACTTAACAAAAATTTATTCTCTCATAGTTCTGAAGACCAGAAGCCCAAAATCAACATGTTGGGAGGGCCACACTCCCTCCAGAGGCACTAGAAGAGATTCTGTTCCTTGCCTCTTATAACTTCTAGTGGTTATCAGCATTCCAAGGCTTGTGGTTGTAACACTCCAATTTCTGCCTCCATAGTCACGTTGCTTCCCCTTCTGTGCCTCTTGCAGGACAACTGTCATTAGATTTAGGGCTCACCTGGATAATCCAGGTAAATCTCCTTATCTCAAGGTTCTTAATTACATCTGCAAAATACCTTTTTTTGAACCAAATGAAATTAAATTCACAGGTTCCAGGAATTAGGATGTGGACATATCCTTTTGTGGGGTCACCATTCAGCCCACTACAGGTACTCACAGGCAAAAACAATTCCATCCATATACTTACTCCTTTGCTAACTGGAGAGCCCTCATAGGTTTCGTATGGGCCCTGCTCCTTGGCAAGGTCACAGCTGGCTTCCAGAGCACCATAATAAATAGTTTCAAAGATCTGCTTATTCAGTAACTGGGCTTCTGCACTCTCAAAAGGGTATCTCATCAGGATAAAAGCATCTGCCAGACCTTGTACCCCAATTCCAATGGGGCGATGGCGTTTATTTGATAGGCATGCCTTTGTGTCAACAGATTTTAAAGAAAAGGAGAAAACATTACTGAACAGGAAAAGCAACATTCTGTACCAAATGAGACAGACTACCTCTTTTTCTCAAACCATTTTATTGATAACCATTTAAATGATGACTTGAAGATCATGATTGATTCCTTTCAATTTGGATTTCAATAATTACCAATAAGCAGAGAAATCTATTCATACCTCTGGTACAGGATAGTAGTTTATATCAATAATTTTATTCAAGTTTCGGACAACGACTTTAGTGACTTCAGCCAACTTCTTAAAGTCGTATGTGTGTTCTGATGTGACATACATATTCAGGGCCAGGGAAGCCAAATTACAAACAGCAACCTGGAATGCAAAAAACAGGTCAAGAATCACACAATTTTTATTTCTACTTCCTGTGTCAATTACACCACCATGTGAGCCTCTAATACTCAGACATTAAAATTTTAAATTTTTATATTTGACTTCTCCCTCTTCATCATTCATCAGTCCATTTCTAAATCCCACTGATTCTATTTCTTCAATACCTAGTCATATGTGTTAGTTATAACATGCATCAGCAAAATAGGTAAGAGAGAGAGAGAACCCTATGTTCCACAGTACACAGCTCTATTACCAGACATATATCACACTATGTTATAATTAGCTTTTTACATATACCTATCTCATTATTCAGTAGATGAGTGCCCTGCAATATGGTAGCCACTGGCTACATATATCTATTTAAAATGAAATAAAATTTGAGTTTCTCAGTTGCACTAGTCATATTTCAAGTGCTCAATAGCCATCAGATACAGAACATTTCCATCACTGCAGAGTTCTTCAAAACACACACGTCCACCTCACCTTCACTGATATTCTGACAAGCCCTTAGCAACAATGGATCTCAATTTGTGATTTCTGAAAAAGCTCTTCCAGTGATTTCTCCACTACACGAGGCAGTGAGCTTCTTCACACAAGGATCATCTTATTTATATTTATATGTTTAGCACTAGCAACACATCTGGCACACAGTAAGTCTTGATAATGTTGAATGAATACACTTTCTTTTCCATTTTGATTATGACTATCCCAAGCCAAAGTCTTAACTTCTCTCACATGGACTACTGAAAGTTTCCCAGTTGAACTCTTGATGCCCTTCACATCTACTCCATTCTACACATGTTGCCAAATACCCATTTTTTTAAATATAGCTTGAATCACAGAAGTCTAATAAATGCCAGGAAGAAAAATAGGCAGGAAAAGAAGACAGAGAGTACTGGGGATAAAGATGAAGGGGGTATAATTTTTAAACAGAATTGTCAAGAAGGACCTCATTGAAAATGTTACATATGAACAAAGAACTGAACAGGTTAGAAAGCAAATCATGTGGCTATGGGAAGAGGGGGTGCATTTTAACATTCAAGAGGGAAGAAGGAGCAAAAATCCTGAGGTAGGAGCATGGTTGACATGTTTGAGAAAAAGCAAGAAAATTAATAGGGTTGGAGCAAAGTGAACAAAGGGGAAAGTAACCGCAGATGAGGTGGGTTATCCAGTTGTGTAGGACCTTGTAGGGCACTGTAAGAACTCTGGATGGAAAGGAATGAAGTACTGATACATGCTACAACATGAATAAAAGAACATGTTAAGTGAAAGAAGCCTGACACAAAAGGCCACATATTATATGACTCCATTCCTATGGAATGTCCACAATGTCCACAAATCTAGAGACAGAAAATATATTAGTGGTTGTCAAGGGCTGAGGGAAGAAGGGAACAGGGAGTGACTGCTAATGGATAAAGGGTTTCATTATCTACAGTGATAAAAATGTACTACAGGCCGGTCACGGTGGCTCACGCCTGTAATCCCAACACTTTGGGAGGCTGAGGTGGGCGGATCACGAGGTCAAGAGATTGAGACCATCCTGGCCAACATAGTGAAACCTCGTCCCTACTAAAAATACAAAAATTAGCTGGGTGTGGTGGCACGCGCCTGTAGTCCCAGCTACTCGGGAGGCTGAGGCAGGAGAATCGCTTGAATCCAGGAGGCGGAGGTTGCAGTGAGCCGAGATCGAGCCACTACACTCCAGCCTGGTGACAGAGCAAGACTCTGTCTCAAAAAAAAAAAAATAAAATAAATAAATACTACAATTAGATAGTGGTAATGGTTGCACAGACTTGCAGATATACTAAAAAAAAGAAAAGAAAAGAAAAGAAAAAAAACACTGAATTGTACATTTTAAAAAGAGTGAATTATAGCTCAATTTGCAAAAAGAAAGAACTCTGTTGAGGTTGCAGTGAGCCACAGCCCAGCTTGGGCAACAGAGTGAAATCTTGACGCCCCCCGAAAAAAAAGGAATTCTGCATGGGTTAGCAAGCCAAAGAGTAGTTTTGTGCAGACAAATGACATTATCTGATTTTTATTTTAAAAATGTCACTCTAGCCTCTATAATATAATCTGTCTTGCATAATAGTTACCTCAATATATGTCGATGTCTTCCAACTAAATTAGAAGTTTCCAGAGGGCAGCATATTTATTTATATTCTCAGAGCACTTAACATTGTGTTTTACATATAGCTACTGCACAATAAATTTTGAATTAAACTGTAACCTTAGCAGTATATTTAACTCACTTTCCATTTACTTCCTGACTTTTCATTTGTCTTTTTTTTTAAGGTCCTAGAATTGAGGATCTACTCCTTCCTCGTTTCCATAGTTTACATCCAAGATCAAAGCAGCCTGTCATCCAACTAGTACAACAATCTCCCTAGGCTAACCTCTAATCCCTTCTCACAGCAAGACACTCTGTAACCAGAAGCAAGAACCTTCCTTTTCATCTTAACATTTTGATGCTATTTTCCTCTCAGAAACCTACAAGGGCTACCTATCCGTGACGTGTCAGCTTCTACCTTCTATCTCCCTTCCCCCAGCCATAGCCATCTCTCCATATTCCAATAATTAATCTACTTGCACCATCAAAACAGACTTACTTGCCACACTGCATAAAACCCAGCCCTGTCTCTGGTGTATCATACAGACCACTCTTTCCAAATGGAAAGCTCCTCTCTCAAACTTTTTTTTAAAACACCAAATCCATGTCCCATTTCTAGCCTTGATTCTTCTGTGAAGTCTCTTTACAGACTTGAGATTAGAATTTGATCTCACCATTCACTGAAAGGACTCTCTTTATAAGCTTACATACTTTTGTTGTTGTTGTTTTTGGTTTTTTGTTTGTTTGTTTTGAGACAGGGTCTCACTTTGTCGCCCAGGATGGAGTACAGTGGCACAATCTCAGCCCACTGCAGCCTCCACTTTCCAGGCTCAAGGCTTACATAGTTTAAATTGAATGTACATCCTAACACATTTTTGTGTGTGTCCTAAACTAACATAACTGTATATTTCTATTTTTCTTGAGTAAATGTTATTACAGTGATGTGTGTATAAGAAAAAACTGTGTCTTTCCCACACGGCTTAGACTAAAAAACATTTATAGGCACAGATCATACCCTTTCCTTCCTTTGCTCTCTGCCTTTAACAGTGTTCTTCTGCTTACAACTATGCAAACTCCCTTCACTTATCTCAAGTGAAATCAAGTGAGGAATTCACAAATAATAACTGCCTAAGGTTCTCTTCTTAGTACTCTAGGAAGAATTTTTTCTACCTACCTCATCTTTGCTGGTGTACTCCACTATTTCTGTGCACAGGTTGCTGCATTTGATGGTTCCCAGGTTCTGCTGGTTGCTCTTTCGATTACAGGAATCTTTGTAGAGCATATACGGGGTGCCTGTTTCCGTCTGAGACTCAATGATGGCATACCAAAGCTGCTGAGCTTTTACAACTTTGCGGACACGACCTTGTTTCTCATAACTGAAAGGCACAGATAATATTATTTAATATATATTCCCTAAAAAAACTTTATTGTAGACAACTTGAAGACATTAAAATATAAAGTTATGAAAACTCTTAAATTTTCTCTAAGTTTTGCTAAAGAAAAAAAGGAATATGATATTTATTTTACTCTAGCTAAAGCCATAGGGGAAAATGAGGCAGTTTTAGGTGCCTTCAGATGATCGCAATCCCACTAAACCAATAATATCTTTCATAATAAAAAGGAGTAAAAACTAAGGAAGCCAAATCTCTTAAGACTGTGCTAAATTTTTTTCCTTTTTTTTTTTTTGAGACGGAGTTTCGTTCTATCACCCAGGCTGGAGTGCAGTGGCACAATCTCAGCTCACTGCAACCTCCACCTCCCAGGTTCAAGCAATTCTCCTACCTCAGCCTCCCAAGTAGCTGGGACTACAGGTGTGCACCACCACGCCCAGCTAATTTTTGTATTTTTACTAGAGACAGGGTTTCACCATGTTGGCCAGGCTGGTCTTGAACTCCTGACCTCAAATGATCCACCTGCCTCATCTTCCCAAAGTGCTGAGACTACAGATGTGAGCCACTGCACCTGACCTATTTAATTTTAATAAACTACTGACATATGTGTCCTAGTCACTCATGATTCCTTTATGCAACATAAAGCATAGCTTATCAAAAGTACTATATGACAGAGCAAAATAATAACCCTACTAGTCATCTTAAATTTTAAAAGGATCAATTAAAAATCCCAAGAACCTATTTATACATTCCAAAGTTTTAAGAAAGAAGAAGACACAACTCAATTTTGGTGAAGAGTCAGGAAGCAAATCTGACCAAAATTATTAGTCACTTTTTCTCTTAGATGCTTCAAAAGATTCTTGACAAGTACTTTTGATATTTGGACCCCTGAAATAAGAGAAACCATGATTAAAACATTATTGTTTTCTTTCATATTTTTCCCATACCTTGCATATAGTTTCTCAAATTCCTCTCCCCAAACCTCATCCAGACCAGGACACTCATTTGGACACATCAAAGACCAGTCCTAAAAAGGAAAGGACAAAATCACTCATAAGAAACTTCAAATAGCCAACCATAATCCATTAGAAACACTGCAAGCATAAGGTGACTTTTACAAGCTCTCTTGGAAATTTGCTGTAGAAATAATCATTTTCAGGTTCAGGCCCAAACATCTAGGTCTGCCTGTTTATACATGACCTTTTAAGCATTTAGGTCACAAAGCATCTACTTTAGAGAATAGAAATATAAGAAGACAAGCACGGCATCTCTTAACTTGTTCAGAATGCCTTCTGTGGCATCACACACATATGGGCTCTTCCTAAGCATGACTTAAGATGACTAAAAAAGAGAAAGCTCATGTGAATCAAGTTGCTATTACCAACAAGTACCTATCTCTCACCTGATTAGTCTCCACTCGTTTCATGAAGAGATCCGGAATCCAAAGAGCAAAGAAAAGATCTCTGGCACGCTGCTCTTCCTTTCCTGTGTTCTTCTTTAAATCAAGGAATTCAAAGATGTCTAAATGCCAAGGCTCCAGGTAAATAGCAAATGCCCCAGGACGCTAGTGGTAAATAAATCATAATTCTCTTCAGAATAAAAATGAAACAAAGAAACATCATGTCTCCCAAAGCACTTTTATAGTATCTCCTTTGATTTTCACTACAATGAATTAAATAACATAAATAAAAGTATTATAAAAGTGTAAGTTTTCCATATATAATTGTAAAAGTAATATTTTACAATTCTATGAGTAAAAACGAACGAATGATATAAACAAAATGTGAAACAAGATTAACTTTTCTAAAGTGACATGATGAACTACAGATGGAGCCTCCTCTTCAGCAACAGCCCAGCTCTCTTTACACCACATGACATGTACATAAAGCCCAAAGGAAGTTGCTTTGACAGTATAAGCCATGCTCTTATTGTAGGTCAAAAAGTTGATCTGTCTTATCAAGGTCCCCAAAGTCCATCAGAGAGAAATTCATAAACCAACAAGCGATTAGTGTGCCTACAGTCACAAAAGGCAGACTCTAGTTGTAAACCATCCTGTTGATAAAATAAGGTAAACAACCCAATTCTCTCAACTTTACTGTTTCTTCTATCAATTAGGGAGAGTTTTTGTTTGTTTGTTCTGTTTTGTTTGAGACAAGTTCTAGCTCTACCGCCCAGGCTGGAGTGCAGTGGTATAATCTCGGCTCACTGCAACCTCCTGCCTACCGGGCTCAAGCCATCCTCCCACCTCAGCCTCCAGAGAAGCTGAAACTACAGGCGTTCGCCACCACACCCGGTTAATTTTTGTATTTTTTGTGGAGATGGGGTTGCGTCATGTTGAACTCGTGAGCTTGAACTCGTGGTCTTGAACTTGTGAGCTTACACGATCAGCCCACCTCAGCCTCCCAAAGTGCTGGGATTACTGGCAGGAGCCACTGCATCCAGCCAATTAGGGAGAGTTTTGTTATTCCAGGTAGTTTTTGTTTTTGTTTTAAGAACAACCTAGGCGAGGTGCAGTGGCTAACACCCATAATCCCAACACTTTGGGAGGCCAAGGCAGGTAGATTGCTTGAGCCTAGGAGTTTGAGATCAGCCTAGGCAAGAAAGTGAGACCCCCGCCTCTACAAAAAATATAAAAATTAGCTGGGTGTGGTGGCACAGGCCTATAGTCTGAGCTACATGGGAGGGCTGAGGCAGAAGAATCACTTAAGTCCAGGAGGTCAAGGCTACGGTGAGCCAAGATCGCACCATTGCACTCCAGCCTGGGTGATAAGAGAGAGATAAAAAAAAAAACGAAAGAAAAACCTAGAGCACATGTTACAACCCCATTTCAAGTAACAAATTTATATGAATTACAACTTGAGAAATTCTTTGCAAACGAACTATCATGTAAGAAAGCTGAATAGATCAGTGGCTGTCTAGAGCCAGGGATAAAGTATGTGTGGGTAGGGGTGACAGGGGTGACTGAATGTAAAGGTATATGAGGGAGAAAAGATTTTGGGGTAATGGAAATGTTCTACCTCTTTATCAATGTGGTGATTACACAAGTGTATACATTTGTCAAAACCCATCAAACTGTACATTTAAAGTATATGCATATTAAAATAATTATACCTCCTCAAATTGATTTTACAAGTAAAAAAAAGGTAATTAGAAACTACACATAAATGAACCATCTTAAGTGTATATGACTAAATCACCTTTAGTTCTGATTTCCAGTACTTTCAATTCATGGAGCATACCTTGTTCCCACCTTGATCCACATATCGAGCTGTGTTGTTATATACTCTCAGCATCGGTACAAGGCCATTGGAATTGCCATTAGTCTAAAAGAGAGACCATGATAGAAATGACAGAGGGCACTCAGCAAAGAAAAGAAAAAAATGGCCCCATTCTTTTATCAAAAAAGATGCCTAATTTCTAGGTAGCAATCTATGAAGTTTTACCTGCTCTCCATCTCTACTTCTGCTTTGGAAAAATGCCCAAATAAAATCAACAAAATGTTGAATAAATTACAATTATGTACTAAGTTACCTCATGGCATTTCTAATTTATAATGAGATGTAACAATTACAGGCCAAAGGGATCCAAAATCAAGGTAGCTAAATTTAAACTCTACATCTTCTAAAGGTCGTTATATAAAGATACACTTTGGGTAGAGTAAAAAAGAATATAAACACTACTACAATGCCTTTTTCCCAAAAGAAATCAAGGCAATTTACAATAAGAATTATATGCGATAGCTATATCAGGGCAATAAATAAGGTAAAAGGAGATTCTCAGCAATAAGTGGACTCTAGAATGATGTTAAGAAAATAGAGACTCCTACGACTAGAAGATACTTCATCAAATTCTTTAACCCTTCTGATCCCAACACAAGCCTTTAAACAGTCTAGAAAGATAAGTGAGCAATAGCTCACTCTACCACTGTGTAAAGTGCTGTATATATCACAGCACCTCCAAAACACAACATAATGGAATAATTTCCTTCTGGAACTTTATTCTACAGAGTTAGATATTTTCTTCACCTTACAGAAAAGGAAACAAACTCAGACACAAAATAACTAACTCTAGGCCACATTACTAGTTAAGTAGTGGAGCTAGGATTTAAATCCAAAACTATTATCTTGACTCCCATTGAACAGTAAACTAACAAAGGGCTAAAGTTTACATCATAAAGTGTCAATGCATAAATCTTGAATCCTGGCTCTACCACATATTAAGTGATTGATCTCAGAAAGTAACAACTTTCTAAGTCTCAATTTCCTCACTTGTAAAATTAGACAATGGTACCTTTATTCACAAGGTTATTTTAAGGAATAAAATTCCTGGCATGAGTCTATAATCATAGTTACCTCATAGCGTTGTAGTAAGGGTCAAATGAGTACCTCATGTAAAACATTTATAACAAACTTAACATACAGTAAGCAATCAATCAATGATAACTGCTCTTATTACTGCTAAAATAAGCCAGAATTCTAAAACCTGAGCTAAAAAGGATTCTAGAGATTATCTAGTCAAATCTAAATATCTAATATCATAGATGAAAATGAAGCCAGAAGTAAAATGACTCACTCCAAGTCACATAGCCATTTAGTAATTTAACAGAGACCCAGGACTCCCAAAAAATAGCATATGCCCTCTCAACCATGAATCTGTTTGCTTTTAGACTTGAATCCCCCTTTAAAAGTCAAATGGCAGAAACCTACCCCAGCAATGTAGCTGCCAGTAGCCCGAATACAACTCACAGCAACACCAATTCCTCCAGCAGACTTAGAAATCAATGCACATTGCTTTAGAGTGTCATAAATGCCTTCAATGCTGTCATCTTTCATACTCAGAAGAAAACAGCTACGGGGGAAAAAATGTCTCAACTTAGAGCAAGGAAATGAAGCAGAGTCACAAAAATGATTACTCAACACAAAGACACTAAGGCAAAAAAAAAAAAAAGAGTTGAAGTTTAGAAAGTTCCTAAATGATTTTCAAAGAAGAAAACCCACTTTACTGTACATGACACAATAAAACATATCGAAATATCATTTTAAAATCATCTTGCTGCCTCCCCTAGATAGTAAGTAAATAAGCCTAGTAGGAAGTCTTATAGATAAGTCTAAAATATTGGCTTACATTTTCACCAGACTGCAAACGTGCTATTTTCACATTTTCTCATGCATATTCATAAACATACATCACCGTCTTTTCAGGTTGTTAGTAAGCCAAGAAAAACAAACATTTATGAAAATAATCTCTCCAATTGTCAACCAATTCTTTGATACGTCTACCAAAATCATAGCTCCTTTACAGTCTTTTTAAAGACAACCCCTTTACCTCACTTTGGATCTCATCCTGCTCCCCACCTCAGGAACCTTACTCTATCAATAATCTCTTCACTGCCTTGAATATTCAATCATGCAAATGGATTCTATCTATTGACTAGGTGTTTATATAAATATTCAGACATTCAGAAAAATATAGAGAATGATGTAACAAATACTCTGTACTTGCCACCTACCTCAAAAAATTAGACACCACAAATATACCCTCATTGCAATCCTCTAACATTTTCAAGCATTTCCTTTATGACATTTTTACATGTTATACACTTAGAATTTTTCTGGTTGCATATCTGTTTATCATTCTGCAACTTGTTTTAATTCAATATTGCTTTACAGAAATTAATCCTTTTGATATATGTAAACAAACTTTATTTTCATTGCTATAAGGTATTCTATTGTATAAATATACCAAAACATTTGTCCCATGTGCCTGTTGATGAACATCTGGATTATTTCCAATTCATTTGCAATTCCAAACAATGCTGCTATAAAAATTCTTGAACACAACACCTTGTGTTTATCTCTAAGCATTTCTGTAGAATATGAACCTAGGAGAGGAACTGCTGGGTCAAAAGATATACACGTTTCACTTTACTAAAGATTCTCCAAAGTGGATGGACAAATCTATTTCTAGCAATGTATGAGATTTCCTTGTGCTCCACATTCTTATCAGTGCTTGGAATTGTCAGCCTTTTCATTTTTATCAAATATATATATACATAATTTTCATTTTCCTATTGCACAGTTTAACATCTCAGACGTTTATTAGCCAATCAAGTTTCTTCTTCCATGCATTATTTGTTTATAGCCCTTGCCCATGTTTCTATTTGGCTTTCTGTTTTTCTTTTCTTTTCTTTTCTTTTTTTTTGAGACAGGGTTTAACTCTGTTACCCAGGCTGGAGTGCAGTGGCATGATCATAGCTCACAGCAGCTTTGACCTCCTGGGCTCGAGCGATCCTCCCACCTCAGCCTTTCAAGTAGCTAAATCTACAGGTGTGCACCACCACGCCTGGCTAATTTTCTACTTTTGTAGAGACAGGCTCTCATTATGTTGCCCAGGCTGGTTTCAAATTCTGCCCTCAAGCCAGCCTTTGCTTTGGCCTCCCAGAGTGTTGGAATTACAGGCAGAAGCCACTGCACCTGGCCTTGTTTTTCTTATAATCTCTCAATAGTTAACATGTTGCAAATATCTTCTCCCAGTCTGAAACTTGTTTTTTTGGGTGTTTTTGTTGTTGTTGTTTTTGAGACAGAGTCTCACTCTTTTGCCCAGGCTGCAGTACAGTGGCATGATCTTGGCTCACTGCAAGCTCCGTCTCCCAGGTTCAAATGATTCTCATGCCTCAGCTTCCTGAGTAGCTGGGATTATGGGCATACGCCACCACGCCTGGCTAATAGTTGTATTTTTAGTAAAGACAGGGTTTCGCCATGTTGGCCAGGCTGGTCTCGAACTCCTGACCTCAGGTAATCCACCCACCTTGGCCTCCCAAAGTGTGAAACTTGTTATTTGACTTCGTTTTTGGTTCACAGTGATTGGACTCCGGTGAAGACTCCAAGATGGCGATCGCCACCTCGGACACCCTGACTCAGCATTTCCGGGTTCACCTTTCCTGTTCCTGCCACCCCGACTAACGCACATGCCCACTAGGGCGTGTCACACTCAGAAGCGTGAAACTCAACCGACCCTGCCCCTACCCTGACCACTCCTCACCCAGCATCCATAAAAGCACGCTGCACCTTTGGCACAGCGAGACTTCCCTGGCCCTCCCCCTGCGGACCAGTGAACCTCGCCCGAGAGCTCAATAAAGAAGATTTTTGCCCTCTTTGTCTCGCCTCTCGGCCTTATTGATCCACGGTGCCCTTCCATTGCCTTTCACACAGAAGTTTTTAATTGTAGTCAATTTTTCCAATGTTTTGCTCTATGGTGTTTTGCTCTGAGGTCATATTATATATTCTCCTATCGAGATATAAGTGGAAGTAGGGCCAGGCGCAGTGGCTCACACCTCTAATCCCAGCACTTTGGGAGGCCCAGGCAGGTGGATCACCTGAGGTCAGGAGTTCGAGACCAGCCTGGCCAACATGGACAAACCCCATCTGTACTAAAAATACAAAAATTAGCTGGGTGTGGTGGCGCGTGCCTGTAATCCCAGCTACTCAGGAGGCTGAGGCAGGAGAATTGCTTGAACCCGGGAGGCAGAGGTTGCAGTAAGCCAAAATCGTGCCACTGCACTCCAGCCTCAGTGACAAGAGCGAAACTCCATCTCAAAAAAAAAGGTAAGTGGAGGTATCAAGAGTCACAATGTCTGCAACTCACTTTTTTTTTTTTTTTTGGAGTGCTCCCTCCAGAGGTTTTGAGGGAGAATCTGTTCCTTGCTTTGTCCAGCTTTTAGTGGCTAATTGCTCTCCTTTGTGGCCACATGACTCCAATTTCTCCCTCCATCTTTACATCACTTTCTCCCCTTCTGTGAGTCGTTATCTCCCTCAGCCTCTCTCTTACAAGGATACTTTTGATTGGATTAAGGGCCCACCCACATAATTCAAGATAATCTCTCCATGTCAAAATCCTTATCATCTCTACAAAGACCACTTTCCTTATCAGGTAACATTTACAGGTTCCAGGAATTTCGACCTGACATTTTTGGGCAGTCTTTTGCTCTTTCACATGAATTTTAGAATCAGTATGTTGAGATTTTGCCTAGAATTACTTTGAATCTATATTTTAACTTGGGAAAAACTGACATTTTTATAAAATTGAATCTATTCCATTTATTTATTATTTAATGTCCTTTAATCATGTTTTAGAGAAATTTCTAAAAAACTTAAAAAACCGGGCATGGTAGCTCATGCCTGTAATCCCAGCACTTCGGGAGGCCAAGGAAGACGGATCACTCAAGGTCAGGAGTTTGAGATCAGCCTGGCCAACATGGTGAAACCCCGTCTGTATTAAAAATACAAAAATTAGCTGGGTGTGGTGGTGCACGCCTGTAATCCCAACTATTTGTAAAGCTGAGGCAGGAGAATCACTTGGACCTGGGAGGTGCAGGCTGCAGTAAGCCAAGATCATGCCACTGCACTCCAGCCTGGGCAAAAGAGTGAGACTCTGTCTTAAAAACAAACAAAAAAAGTCAACGATGGACTACACATACGACAGTGGTCATCCAGTAATCGAAGGTTAATTTATTATTGAAGAAAATATTTTTAAAATAAATTTAGTGTGCACAATGTTTGTACAGTCTACAGTCGTCAGTAATGTACTAGGCCTTCATATTCCTTTTTTTTTTTTTTTTAAGATAGAGTTTCGCTCCTGTTGCCCAGGCTGGAGTGTAGTGGTGCGATGTTGGCTCACTGCAACCTCCGCCTTCCAGGTTCAAGCAATTCTCCTGCCTCAGCCTCCCAAGTAGTGGATTACAGGCGCCTGCCACCATACCCAGCTAATTTTTGTATTTTTAGTAGAGACAGGGTTTCACCATGTTGGCCCTGTTGGTCTTGAACTCCTGACCTCGTGATCCACCTGCCTCAGCCTCCCAAAGTGCTGAGATTACAGGCATGACCCACCACGCCCAGCCAGGCCTTCATATTCATTCACCACTCACTCACTAACTCACCCATAGCAATTTTCAGTCCTACAAGCTCTATTCATGATAACTGTCCTATACAGATGTATCATTTTGTATCTTTTTTTTTATCTTTTCTTTCTTTTTTGGAGACGGAGTCTCGCTCTGTTGCCCAGGCTGGAGTGCAGTGGCGCGATCTTGGCTCACTGCAACCTCTGCCTCCCAGGTTCAAGCAATTCTCCTGTCTCAGCCTCCTGAGTCGCTGGGACTACAGGTGCACACTGCTATGCCTGGCTAGTTTTTTTATATCTATATTTTTAGTACAGACAGGGTTTCACCATGTTGCCCAGGCTGGTTTCGAACTCCTGAGCTCAGGCAATCCGCCCGCCTCGGCCTCCCAACATGCTAGGATTACAGGCGTGAGCCACCACGCCTGGCCCATTTTTTATCTTTTATAGGGTACTTTTACTGTGATATGTTTGGATACACAAATACTTACCATGGTAATACAAAGGCCTACAGTATTCAGTACAGTAACATGCTACACAGGTTTGTAACCTATGAGCAGCAACAGGCCATGCCATATATCCTATGTGTGTAGTAGGCTATACAATCTAGGCTTACCTAAGTATACTGTATAATGTTTGCACAAGGAAATCACCTTACAACACATTTCTCAGAATATATCCCCATCGTTAAGTAATGCATGGCTGTAGGTTAAGACTTAATTTTCTAACAGCTAAAGTACAGAAACATAACTGATTGATGTATATTGAACCTATATCCAGATATTTTGCTGAAATCTTTTATTTCTAATAATGTGTCTGCAGATGCTCTTGAGTTTCCTATGTAAAAATCATTTCTTCAAATCATTACAGTTTTGTTCCCTGATTTCCAATCTTTTCTTTTTCTTATTTTACAATGCTGGCTCAGGCCTCCACTACCATGCTGAAAAAAGAGACGATACATCTAGGTTTTTATTGGGTATCTTTTGCCAAATTAAGGAAGTTATTTTCTATATCAATTTTGCTAAAGTGTTTATTATGAAAGAGCATTAAACTGCATAAAATGTTAATGCAATGAATTACATTAATGTATTTTTTGATGTTACCATGTTCTTGAATTCCTGAAACAAACCAACTTGATAATGGCATATTTTTTTTTTTAATGTATTACCAGACCGTTAGTGTTCCTTTTCTCAACAAATGGCATCATCATTAATCCTGTTACTTACTGTATCCATAAATGCAAGAACCATTCTTGACCCATATTCTGTCAATTTGACAGCCTAAATATCTTTTATATATATTTTTATCTTAATCAAGGTATCACTGTGTTGCCCAGGCTACAGTGCAGTGGCATAATCATGGCTCACGGCAGCCTTGAACTTCTGACCTCAAGTGATCTTCCCACCTCAGCCTTCCAAAGTGTTGGAATTACAGATGTGAGCCACCATGCCTGGCCCTAAATATCTTTTGATCTATCTGCTTCTGTCAATTTCTACTTTCACCTCCCTAATCTAGACTACCACAATTTCTTATATAAACTGCTATAAGAGTCCCCTAACTAGTTCTTGGCACTTACCTTCTTTTTAAAACAACCTTATTGAAATATAATTCACACCAAGCGTGGTGGCTCATGCCTACAATCCCAGCACTTTGGGAGGCCAAGGCGGGTGGATCACCTGAGGTCAGGAGTTTAAGACCAGCCTGACCAACATGGTGAAACCCCATCTCTACTAAAAATACAAAAATTGGCTGGGTGTGGTGGCGGGCACCTGTAATCCCAGCTACTCAGGAGGCTGAGGCAAGAGAATTGCTTGTACCAAGGAGGCACAGGTTGCAGTGAGCCAAGATCGCAACACTGCGCTCCAGCCTGGGTGACAGAGTGAGACTTTGTCTCAACAACAAAAAAAAAAAGGAATATAATTCACAAATAATATAATTCCCCATTTAAAGTGTACTACTCAATGGCTTTTAATATACTCATAGACTTGTGTAACCATCACCACAATCCAATCAATTTTAGAACATTTTTGTTATAAGCATTTGCCTTTTCTCCAATTCATTTACCACATTACAGTCAGAGATCTTTCCAGAATCTAAATCTCATTTAATCAGAGCAGGCAGCTACTAAAAGGTCATTAAATTATTTTTTATGTGATGAACTAACTGCCCAGTTTCTTCAGGTCAAGGCGTATTTCCCTACTCAAAACACCTACCTAGAAAGTTGTGGGCGGTTGGTACCAGCATTGAAGAGAGTGGGCGAAGCATGAGTAAACCACCTCTCAGAAAGAAGATTATATGTTTCAATTGCTGCATCAATGTCTTCTTTGTGGATCCCAACAGATACTCTCATCAACATATGTTGTGGTCTTTCAGCCACTATAGACAAAAGAGGAGTTTTCACATGATGAGACGTCAGAAAAAGTAGGTTGAGATACGTATTTGAATTTCAGAAAAGGACACCAAAAGGAAACTAGAAAAACTTTATACTAATAAACAGGACAATTATCCACAAACTAAACCTAAAGTCCAAAATGTTATCTAGAGTCTAAGCAAGAATATTAAGACTTATAGCTCAAAGCTATACATTCAATATAATGAGTAGAAAATGTAACAGACAAACATGTTCATTTCTCACCTTTTCCATTGATCTTCAACAAATAAGACCGCTCTAGCGTCTAGAAAGAGAGAAACAACAAAAAATTTTCAGAGCACCGTTTTTAAAGACGCAGTGGATATATCATCCACAATAAGGCAATCTCTTTAAATCTTCGCCGTTTCTATAAAATTTCAAATGAAAAGAATAGCACATTTACTCTTCCTAGCTTCATCTGGAACATTATCATTGGCACTTTTTTTTTTTTTTTTGAGACAGAGTCTCGCTCTGTCGCCCAGGCTGGGGTGCAGTGGCGCAATCTCAGCTCACTGCAAGCTCTGCCTCCCGGGTTCATGCCATTCTCCTGCCTCAGGCTACCGAGTAGCTGGGACTACAGGCGCCCACCACCAGGCCCAGCTAATTTTTTTTTTCTATTTTTAGTAGAGACAGGGTTTCGTCATGTTAGCCAGAATTATCATTGGCACTTTTTTTAAAAAAAACTTTTTAAAACGTTTTGTAGAGACATGGTCTCCCTGTGTTGCCCAGGCTGGTGTCAAACTCCTAAGCTCAAGGAATCCTCCCATCTCAGCCTCCTCACTGGCACTTTTGTTTCGGCAGAGACTGCATGAAAATTTCTGGAAAAAGCCAGCTCTACACACATTAACAGAAGTTGTAGTATTCATCATCATCATCAACTTCACAACAGCTAACACTTAAAAAGCGCCTGTAACAGACTAGGCACGGATCTAAGCAACATATACACTCGTTACACTCATTTAATCCCCTGAAGACTCCTCATGGGGATTAAATGAGCAACATATACATCAGGGATTCCTCAGCGGATTAAATGAGTGTATATGTTGTTTAGAGCAGTGCCTGGTCTGTTACAGGCACTTTTTTTTTTTTTTTTTTTTGAGACAGAGTCTCACTCTGTCACCCAGGCTGGAGTGCAGTGCCACGATCTTGGCTCACTGCAACCTCCGTCTCCTGAGTATAAGCAGTTCTCCTGCCTCAGCCCCCCAAGTAGCTGGAATTACAGGCATGCACCACCATGCCCAGCTAATTTTTGTATTTTTTAGTAGAGAAGGCATTTCGCCACGTGGCCCAGGCTGGTCTCGAACTCCTGACCTCGAGTGATCAGCCCGCCTCGGCTTCCTAAAGTGCTGGGATTACAGGCGTAAGCCACCATGCCCAGCCTGTTATAGGCACTTTAAATTGAAATTTAAACTAAATTGGCCGCAGTGGCTCATGCCTGTAATCCCAGGACTTTGGGAGGCCAAGGTGGGTGGATCACCTGAGGTCAGGAGTTCAAGACCAGACTGGCCAACATGGTGAAACTCCGTCTCTACTAAAAATACAAACATTAGCTGGGCATGGTGGTGTGTGCCTGTAGTCCCAGTCACTCAGGAGGCTGAGGCAGGAGAACTGCTTATACTCAGGAGACAGAGGTTGAAGTGAGCCAAGATCGCGCCACTGCACTCCAGCCTAGTCAACACAGTGAGACACAGACTCAAAAAAAAAATTTTTTTTTAATTAAATTTGTTGTTGAAATTTTATATTCTCCCCATTCTAAAATGGAGGAAACAAGCACAGAGAGATTAAATAACTTGCTAATAAGAAATAGAGCAGAGACTGGAATTCAGGTGGACACTGACATTCATGTTCTCAGTCACTACACTATACTATACTGCCTATCAACGCAAAAATACTTAGAATGTTATGAAATACTTATGGTAATTTATCTGCATAACTCCTCAGGTAATCCAGAAGTAATATGTGGAAAATTCAAAAACTGCAAATAGATAAGCTACCTTTGCCTTAATTCAAACCACCACTGCTACCTTAACCCCACTAATTCCCCAGGTCCATCTCAACTCCAAACAACTTATGGCCTTGATAACTGTCACCAAAACATAAACAAAATCCTTTATTTCATGATTTAAGTATAAATTCCCACATACTTGAAACCCATTATTTACCTTAAAGCCGAAGTAATTGTAAGAGAAATCTCGGTCATAGATAATAGCAGAATTCAGGCGCTGATAGGGGTGAAAAAGAACCCATAATTAAATTAAAATAATTACTTATTTTCACAAAATCTCTTATCTCTCGGCCCTGACTCCAGAACTAAAATCAACACAGGATACAATGAGATAACACTAAGCATTATTACTGTAGAATAGAAGTCCATCTAACATTCTAAAAAAAAGAAACAATACATATAAATTAAGTATCCTAATTAGGTTTAAAAACATGTATATGAAAACACTAGAAGATAATACATAAATATATGTTGTGAGATTAAATGTGATTTTCCAAACTTTTACTATTATGTTTATAGTATGTTTTGAAAGAGGGAAAAAACATGAGCATAAATGGGACTATATTATCATCCTTAAACATGTTTTTAGATTGGCTATTAATCCAAAAGTATTGGTACCACATATTTACTAATATATATATATATTTATTTTAAAAGCTAGCCTACTTCAAACTGTATATAACAGTATATATAATAAACAATGACAGGAAGCAGGCTTATGTTAATTCTGAGGCTCTTCAAAATCTATAGTCCTTTAACAAGTTTCCAACAAAGAACTATTGTAACAGTAAGATTTTAGAGCATAACTGGTCCTTGTTACAGAGTTTTTGTAGGCTACAAAGTCATTCAGAGGAAAATAAAAGCAATAACGTACAAATAATCATTTTGGAGAGAAAAAAAAGGAGCCAGGTTTTCAAAATACTGACAGTGTTTCTACATAATGATCCATATCTAAGGACTAGAAAAACCTATACGAAAGCTTGCTTTCCTTTTCTCTTAAAATTTTAAGGTCATCTTTGTTGCCAAAGGCAGGTATGGGCCCAGTGTGAATATTAGAGAACTGAAATACTTGACTATCAATAGGTATATTTTTAGACACAGGTTTTGCTGTTGCTGCTGCTGTATTTTTGTCTTCAACTTGTCTTCGAGATTACACAAATTAACAACACACAAACAACTCAGTTTTCTCCTAGTCTCTTTAACATCAGATACATGTTTAGAGAGATAGTCAATTAATCATTCTTTTTTTTTTTTTTTTTTTTTGAGACTGAGTCTCACTCTGTTGCCCAGGCTGGAGTGCAGTGGCCCAATCTCGGCTCACTGCAAGCTCCGCCTCCCGGGTTCACGCCATTCTCTAGCCTCAGCCTCCTGAGTAGCTGGGACTACAGGCACCAGCTCCCACACCTGGCTAATTTTTTGTATTTTTAGTAGAGACGGGGTTTCACCGTGTTAGCCAGGATGGTCTGGATCTCCTGACCCCGTGATCCACCCGCCTCAGCCTCTCAAAGTGCTGGGATTACAGGCGTGAGCTACCGCGCCCGGCCTAATCATTATATTACCTAAAGTTAAAACTGGTCTCTAATCTGTCCAGATATACACGGTAAATAAATCCTGTGTGTAAAAGGGCTGGCTAGGCTACATCTTTTCCCTTCTGTCCTCTGGCATCTAGTTAAGAAACAGGTTCAAACACAAGTGGATAATTTTTAAGTTGCTGAGCATGAGCTTGTAAAATTTTACCTGAGCAACCTTTTTGGGAGTCAGTTTGGCAATGCCTATCAAAATTTTGAATTCATATACACATTGGCTCAGCAATTCTACTGAAGGGATTTATCTTACAGATATATTCATCTATGAGCAAAACACCTACCATACAAGAATATTCACTGCAGTGAAAAGATGAAAAACAAATATTGATCACTAAAGGAATTCTTACACATACATACAATGACAATATATCTACAAAATGGAACGTTATACAACTGTTATAAAAAAGGGTAAATTCATAAAGGCTGATATAGAACAAACAAGATATACTTACAAGTGAAGAAAGTATCAATGAAAACTGTATGCACAGTACAGTACCACTGAGAAGAAAAATATGTATGTACACACATACACATGTATGCACACACGTATGTACAAAATAGCTCTGGAAAAATACATTTTAAAATGATAAAGTTGTTTCTAGAGAGGAAAATCAGGAATCAGGGTAGGAAACAGAATTAGTATTTACCTGTATCTTTTGCAGTGTTTAAATTTTCTAAAATGTGTGCATTATTAAAAAAGACTCTCAAAAAATTTCCACCAGATAAGTGTTATACATACATCTTTATTGGCCAGAACAATATCCAATGTTGACTTGGCCACCATGGGAGAGTGTTTGCCATTATGTGGATTTATGTAGTTATAGAGGTCTTCCATCACATCTAAAAAATACAACAAAAAATGAAAATATATCAAGACCACTTAACAGCTAATTCAATCTTTAGGTAATAGTTGAAAACAGTGGTTCTCAACCCTTTTTGTCATCTCAACCCACCTCAATGCCTAGCATATAAAGTGCTCAATAAACACATATATGTTGAAGAAATATGTAATGCCTCATTTAAGGAAACAATCTTCTAGAGTTAAAGTGATTATAAGTTCTTGTAGTTTAAAATAGATTCCTGGGCCGGGCGCGGTGGCTCACGCCTGTAATCCCAGGACTTTGGGAGGCCGAGGCGGGTGGATCACGAGGTCAGGAGATTGAGACCATCCTGGCTAACACGGTGAAACCCGTCTCTACTAAAAATACAAAAAATTAGCCGGGCGTGGTGATGGGAGCCTGTAGTCCCAACTACTCGGGAGGCTGAGGCAGGAGAATCACTTGAACCCGGGAGGCGGAGGTTGCAGTGAGCCGAAATCACACCATTGCACTCCAGCCTAGGCGATAAGAGCAAAACTTTATCTCAAAAAAAATAAAAAAATTTTAAAAAGAGAAAATGAAAAAAAGAACAAAGATCCATCAACCTTTTTATGCAGCAGATAGGCAGCATGGAGAAATACGAAATTGTAGTCTGCTCTTTCCCACTAATTTACATATTTGCTATTTATTTATTTATTTATTTATTTATGAGACGGAGTCTCACTCTGTTGCCCAGGCAGGAGTGCAGTGGCACAGTCTCAGCTCACTGCAACCTCCGCCTCCCGGGTTCAAGCAATTCTCCTGCCTCAGCCTCCCCAGTAGCTGGGATTACAGGCCCCCACCACCACGCCCAGCTAATTTTTTGTATTTTTAGTAGAGAAAGGGTTTCGCCATGTTGGCCAGGCTGGTCTCAAACTCCTGACCTCAGCGATCCACCTGCCTCAGCCTCCCAAAGCACTGGGATTACAGGCGTGAGCCACTGCACCTAGTCTATTTTATAATTTTAGATTTTTCTTAAAACGTAGAGATGGGGTTTCGCCACATTGCCCAGGCTGGTCTCAAACTCCTGGACTCAAGCGATTTGCCTGCCTTGGCCTCCCAAATTGCTGGGATTCGAGGTGTAAGCCACCCCATCTAGCCATATTTGCTTCTTTAAACAGTCAAGATTTATTTCTAGTACCCTTATTACTTTTCTGAGAGTACTAAATTTTTACTTTTTCACCCCAGACTTACCACTGAACACTTTCTTTGTTTCTTTGTGCAAGTTAGAGACAGCGATCCTGGCTGCCAGGATAGCATAGTCAGGGTGCTTAGTAGTCAAGGTTGCAGCTGTTTCAGCAGCCAAAGTATCTAGTTCCACTGTGGTGACCCCACTGTACAAGCCTTGGATTACTTTCATGGTGATCTGAGCCTACAAAAATAAAACCAAGAATTACTTGAGCTTTCCCAAGAAACAATAGCTTCCTTAAAAGAGTAATTAAGAAAACCATCATGGCCAGGTGTGGTAGTACATGCCTATAGTCCCAGCTACTCAGTGGCTGAGGTGAGGAGATCACTTAAGCTTAGCAGTTCACGACACTATTAAAAAAAAAAGCCAGGCGTTGTGGCTCACACCCATAATCACAGCACTTTGGGAAGCCAATGTGGGAGAATGGCTTGAGTCCAGGAGTTCGAGACCAGCCTGGGCAAGCTAGGAAGACCACCCTGCCCCGCCCCCAATCTCCACAGATAATAAAAAAAATTAGCTGGGTGTGGTGGTACACACCTGTGATCCCAGCTACTCGGGAAGCTGAGGCTGCAATGAGCTGTGATTATGCCACTGCACTCCAGCCTGGGTGGCAGAGTGAGACCCTGTCTCAAAAAAAAAAAAAAAAAAAAGGAAAGAAAAAAGAAAACAATCAAATTCACATCACAATAAAAACGACAGGTTGGGCACAGTGGCTCACACCTGTAATCCCAACACTTTGGGACGCCAAGGTAGGAGGCTCGCTTGAGCCCAGGAGTTTGGGACAAACCTGAGCAATATAATGAGACCCCATCCCTACTAAAAATAAAAAAATTAGCCAGTCATGGTGGTAAGTGACTGTGGTTGCAGCTACAGGGTAAGCTGAGGTGGGAGGATTGCTTGTGCTGAGGAAGTCAAGACTGCACTGAGCTATCTATGATCATGGCACTGCACTCCAGCCTGGGCGACACAATGAGACCCTGTCTCAAACAAAGAACAAGACAACTTACTTCTCTGAAAATTTATCTTTCAGAATGGTGGGCAGTGGGAAACTTAGTAATGAGAATGCATAATCCAGCAGAACTATCAGAAAATGTAT
Organism: Homo sapiens; assembly: GCF_000001405.40. Lineage (NCBI taxonomy): Eukaryota > Metazoa > Chordata > Mammalia > Primates > Hominidae > Homo > Homo sapiens. The sequence continues at coordinate 4,105,132 of NC_000011.10, read as the reverse complement.
ACTACATATAAAATGAAAGTGTCATTAAAAAAAATCTAAGTATAGCCTTTAAATCGATTAGTCTCACAGGGAAATAGCTGAAAACATACTAATGATTCTATATTTCCCTATTTTTCATTCAAATTCTCCCAACAGACTGATTCTATATAAGGGTTTCCCCATTTTTCATTCAGATTCTCCCTAAGTGATCAGGGCTCCAGCTCCATACTTACTTTTCCCAAATTCCACATAAGGTAAGTACAGAAAAGCAAATGAATCAAACTTTAATCAGGCCAATTAAAGGAGACAGAAGTATAAATTAGGTCTGGGGCTGAATTATGATAATTTAATGACAACTTTCTTTAGCACTTCACAAATTACAAAGTGCAACCTCCGCCCCCGAGGTTCAAATGATTCTCAACCAAAGTTGATAAGTAATTATCAACTTTGATAATCTCTGACATTTCACAATCACTTTGTGAGATGATTATTACTATACCTATTTTACATGAAGAACCTGAGGCTCAGGTTACTGAGACTTGCCCAAGGTTATATTATTATACAAGTCTTCTGGCCCCAATCCCATTAAACCTCACTGCATTTCACTGTTTTCAAGGCCACATTATAAGTTCCAGTTTTTAAGACAGGTAATGCACAGGGTATTAGCATACATTTTTAAGAAAAACAAATTCTAAGTTGTGAGTGGTTTATTTATTGAATCTTTAAGAAACCGCTTAATCCAACAGAAAATAAATGTGTTTCCCAGCTGAACAATGCATACTCCCCTCAAAAAAAGACACATACGTGTGTAACTATTTTAACAGTCTGCAATCTATTCTAATTATAATATAGCTAAGCCCAAGTTGCTCCTGATCACTTTCTTCCCAGATCCAGCAGATAAGGTGTGTTCAGTATAAGAGCAGTGAAGTCTTCTAAATAGTTTCTAGAGCAATAAGGCAAACAATTAGAACTCAGAATAAAATACCATCTGTGTGCTAACTGTGCCAGATCTAACAGCACACAGTTTTTCTTTTTTTCTTTTTGAGACAGGGTCTCATTCTGTGGCCTGTGCTGGAGTACAGTGGCACAATCTCAGCTCACAGCAACCTCAACCTCCAGGGCTCAAGCGATCCTCCCACCACCAAGTAGCTGGGACTACTGGTATGCGCCACCACACCCAACCAATTTTTTTTTTTTTTTTTTTTTTGTAGAAACAGGGTTGAGGGCAGGCACAGTGTGGCTCACACCTGTAATCCCAGCACTTTGGGAGGCCAAGGCGGACAGATAACTTGAGGTCAGGAGTTCAAGACGAGCCTGGCCAACATAGCAAAACCCTGTCTCTACTAAAAATACAAAAAAAAAAAAAAAAAAATAGCGTGGTGGCACATGCCTGTAATCCCAGCTGAGGGAGGCTGAGGCACAAGAATCATTTGATCCCCAGGGGTGGAGGCTGCAGTGGGCCAAGATTGAGCCACTGCACCTGGGCAGTTTCACCATGTTGCCCAGGCTGGTCTCAAACTCCTGAGCCCAAGCAATCTGCCTACCTCAGTCTCCCAAAGTGCTGGGATTACAGATGTGCACCGACAGTTTTTCAACAGAATCTACCCTAGGAAGTTTGAGGATGCTGCAACATTCTTGCGCTCTAAAATGTACTACTGCATGAGGCAATAGAACATGTAGGAGTCAAGAGACCTAGGTGCTTCTCCCTACACTCCCACTAACTTAAGTCACTCCCCTCTCTCTTTGGAACTTTCTTATCTATAAACCAAAGATGAAATGGGATGGACTCTTAAGTTCATTCCAACTCTAACATTCTACTATTCTAATTATTGCCTAAGTCCTCAATATAAAAGAGAATTTACAATAAACATATTTTCAAGATACATAAAATCATTTTCTCTTGACCAAACTTACTTTGGTCAAGTGGCTAATTAGATACATGTCAAGCACTGAGGATATCACAAGAATAAGATACACAGCCCATCCTCAATTCTAGGGGAGGACAAAGATCCATAATTAATTTCCATACTATATGATTAAAGCTATGAGATGAGCACAGGTTTTACGGATAAGATACCTAAGATACCTTAGCAGTGCGGATAAGATACCTAAATAAGGAGACGGAAATATGGGTGGATTTGAAAAAAAGAGTTCTTAGAGATTCTCATTTAAGGAAGATCATTTTAGAAGTCAGGTGGAAGACGAGTTTGAAGAGGGTAAGATTAGAGGAAGTCCAGGACACTGCAGAGACCACAGAAAACAGTCCAGATAACTGATGATGAGAGTCTAGAATACAGAAGTTATAAAGGATAAGGAGAAAAGCAGAGCAACTGGTTTATGAATAGTTTGTTCTTGACTTAAATATTGTCCATGAAATCTACTTTATATTACTTAAATCTTTTTACATAAATAACAAAAAACAAATTTTAAACCAGTCCCTACCTAAATAACCACAATTCCAAAACAAGCTTTACTCTAGGCTTCCCTTTTTTTTTTTTTTTTGAGAGGGAGTCTCGCTCTGTCGCCCAGGCTGGAGTGCAGTGGCACGATCTCGGCTCACTGCAACCTCTGCCTCCCAGGTTCAAGTGATTCTCCTGCCTCCCAAGTAGCTGGGATTACAGGCGCCCACCACCAGGCCCGGCTAATTTTTGCATTTTTAGTAGAGACGGGGTTTCACCATGTTGGCCAGGCTGGTCTTGAACTCCTGACCTCAGGTGATCTGCCCACCTCAGCCTCCCAAAGTGCTGGGATTACAGGCGTGAGCCACGGCGCCTGGCCTAGGCTTTTCCACTAATGAATAAAACAATTTACTCAAGGAAATATCTGATATTAAATGTTAATATCAAATTTTCCTCTTTACTCACATTCATAGTTCTCTGAAAAGTGAGAACTCACAGGACAGAACCAAAATTAAGGAAAAAAAAATGTTTTAAGCAATGAATTCAAATTTTATATCGAAGGGCATAGCCAGAATACCAAAGTATATCAGGTGAATGAAGGTCCAGGGATAAGAGACAAATGGAAAGAAACACATGAAAGAAGGAACCCAAGATAAAAACCATATTTACTTACAGGATCAACAAAATCCATATTGAGTCCATAACAAAGCTTCTGGATTCGAGATGTAATTTTGTCAAACATGACTCGTTCTTGGCGGCCATCTAAAGAATCAAATCATGTTAGCAATTATTAAATTCATGTTAGCAATTATTAAGACTACAATGTCAAAGAATCAAATGTAATTAACATGTAAATTGACCAACATGAAGTGCTATTTCACAGAAAAGATTGAGGCCCCCTCAAAAGATTCATGAAGAGATTGTCTTCTCTGATGTCACCTTCAAAGAGTATGAATTCTATACAGACAGACGTTTACGGATAATTTCCTAAATTTTTCCCCCATCCCACATGGCAGCCAAAATTACCCTTTAAAAGTTAAACTCAGAATCATATCATTACCTCCTTCAAAACTCCTAATAGTGGCTTATGATCTCCAGAATAAAAGTCAAAATTGTTATAACAATCCACAGGCCAGGCCTAGTGGCTCACACCTGTAATCCCAGCACTTTGGGAGGCCAAGGGAGCGGGGGGGGGTGTGGATCACTGGAGGTCAGGAGTTCGAGATCAGCCTGATCAATATGGTGAAACCCCGTCTCTACTAAAAATACAAAAAATTAGCTGGGCATGGTGGCAGGGGCCTATAATCCCAGCTATTCGGGAGGCTAAGGCAGGAGAATTGTTTGAACCCAGGAGGCGGAGGTTGCAGTGAGCTGAGATCACGCCATTGCATTCCAGCCTGGACAACAAGAATGAAACTCCAACTAAAAAAAAAAAAAAATCCACAGAATCCTATACCACTTGTCCTGTGCACCCACTTCCCAATTTCACCTCCAACTCTCCCACCTTCCTTCCTATTGTACCTTGACAACTTGGCCTTCTTGCTATATATCTCCTTTAGGTCTTTTGCTCAATGTCATCACCTTCTCAATGTGGCTTTCCCTGATGATTCCATTTTAAATTGCAATGCCCCAAATAGGACCCTTGCTCTTCTTATCCCCCTTCCCCTTCTGTGCTTTTTCTCCATTGCACTTACCCCATCTGACATACTATATATTTTACCTAATATTTTTCATGATTTTGGACTTAGATTATATCTTTGTCCTTCTAGACAAAAAAGTCTTACTACTCTTAGTTTAACCTCAAATAGTAGCTCATCCGACCTTTATTTATTCTTACCAGGAATAGTGAATATATCCAACCACCAAACAGCCTTAACCTTAGACAAGCCACAAAACACAATCAGTCATTTCACAGATCTTCATTTGTAGAAAGGGGTTAATTATTATATCTATTTTACTTGCCTAATCAGTTTACTGTGACAATAAAATTAGATAAGGTAAAAAGTGCTTTTGTTGTAACAACTTTGGCATAGTTACAACTATACCTCGTTATAAAATAAAGCTGCTCCTATGGGGGAAAAAAAAATCACAGTATGTGATACACAATAGGCACTCAATAAATGTTAGTGTCTCACACTGATTTAGTTTTTGTCTCTTTTGTGCACCTACAATCCATTGTAACTATAGGCTGAGTATCCTTAATCCAAAATTCCAAAATCCAAAACACTCCAAAATCCAAAACTTTTTCAATGCCAACACAATGTTCAAAGAAAATGTTCCTTGGACCATTTCAGATTTTGGATTTTCTGATTAGGGATGCCCAACCAGTAAGTATAATGCGAATATTCCAAAATCTGAAACAAATCCAAAATCCGAAACACTTCTGGGCCCAAGCATTTTGAATAAGGGATACTCAACCTGAAGTAACCAATAAGAAACATGCTAAATATGTTTACATTTATTTGGCCCTCTGATTCACATCTGTATTCTCAAATTTAGTGCCTAGAACAAGGCAAGTTCTCAAACATTTGATGAAGAATAAATGAACAATAAGACATCACTATTAACCCATTATCACTAGAACAAGTTGCTTTTTCTTCTACACTGATATGTTAGCCCCTCTCTTTCTGATCACCATTGTGATAATTTTCTCATCAGGCTCACATCTGCAGCATTTAACTCTGAAATGGGGTAAATTAACTGGCTGGCACTGGGACTGAAACCTCAGTGCTCTAGCAATTGGATAACTAAGCAGGCAGGTAACTGCAAAGCAACATTAGCGTTCTGCAATTATACATGCAGTGGGGGGGGAAAGCAACTTAGCAAAAAGAAAATTCTACAACTGCCAGAAGTTCTGAAGTCAATCAGGAAACTGACAAAAAAAAAAAAGTGCATTGGTAATTATCTTAACTCACACTTGAAAATAGGAGGCAGACTAAAGATCTAAAGGTCCAATGACACACAGTTCTCTATTCTGTCATTCCACTTGGTTAGTTTTTCAAGCCAGATGTTGATTTTATCACATCACTAATCCCTGCTTCTCACTGCCTACATTATCCTCTTCTCTCAAGCAAAGCCTTTCTTAGTTTGGCCCCAGATCTCTTCAACTGTTCCCTGTGAAATATAAGTCCCAAGAGGGCTTCCCATTCCCATATCCACATCATTGCTTATACCTTACTCTGCCTAAAGGTTCCTCTTCCACCTTTCCATACATCTAACTCCTACTCACCCTCCAAATCTCACACCTCCATAAAACCTGCCTCAACCACTTTTAACTCACACTGACCTTTTCCTCTTTTAAAATCCTCTAGCCAGCAGGGCATGGTGGCTCAGCCTGTATTCCTAGCACTTTGGGAGGCCAAAGCAGGCGGATCACCTGAGGTCAGGAGTTCGAGACCAGTCTAGCCAATATGGTGAAACCCCATCTCTACTAAAAATACAAAAAAAAAAAAAAAAAAATTAGCTGGGTATGCTGTAATCCCAGCTACTCGGGAGGCTGAGGCAGAATTGCCTGAACCTGGGAAGCAGAGGTTGCAGTAAGCCAAGATCACACCACTGCACTCCAGCCTGGGCAACAGAGCAAGACTCCGTCTCAAAAAATAAAAAATAAAATTAAAAAATCCTCTAGCATACTAGTGTGATTTCCTCTTGGCTATAAACTGTCTTTCATTCTTCTCTCTTCAGGAAGACTTCCCTAATCCTGTAAGACCAAGGATGCGTGCCTTTTCCACAGGATACAAACTTTCTAATTCCCTCTGCCGAGAATGTTCAGGCCACAGATCTCACATTACTAGCTCTTAATACTATTTAGGGTTCAGCTCAAATGTTGGCTTCTCAGAGAAGCCTTTCCTGGCTACCCAATCCAAGGTTATTTTCTCATTCATCTTTATCACATGATCCTGTTTTACTATCATCTCATTAATCAGTATCTGAAATTAACTGATTATTATGTTTACTTCTTATTTCTTATATACACTTACCACTCCCACCCACACCAAGAAGTCAACTCAATGAGAAATGTAATTTAGCTTTGTTCACTGCAGAATCTCTAATGCCTACAACGGTTCCTAGCACAAAGAGGTGCTGAATAAATGCTTTATGAATAACTGAATGAATGGCCTCTACTGCCTATACTTTACCTATCAGAGTATTTATCATATTTTATCATATTACTTCTTTATTTGTCTATCTTTCTCAATTGATTGTAGGATCTTTGGAAGCTGGAACCATGTCTGCCTACTCATCACTGCAATCCCGGTGAACAGCACGGTATCCACAGAGTTGTAAAATAATATTAGCAGGCTGTGAATGGAATAGGAAGGAAGGAAGGAAGGAAGGAGGAAGGGACGGAGGGAGGGGGAGAGGGAGGGGAGGGAGGGAGGAGGGCAGGAAAGAAGGGAGGGAGAAAGGAAGGAAGGAAGCAAGGAGGGAGGGAAGGAAGGGAGGGAGGAAGAAAGGGAGGAAGGAAGGGAGGGAGGGAGGCAGGGATAGGGAAAGAATCTGGAATAAAAGAAAGATTAGAGTGCAAATGGATGCTTTCAAAGACATTATTTCGTAAACTTTTGTATCATTTTATGTGTATCCACATATATACACATGTCTGTAAAATGTTTTGTTTTTTACTGTGAGTTACAATCCAAAGTTTTGAAAATACTACACTAAATTCCAAAACAGTTTACAACTCAGTTAGCTACTTTGTCATTTACTGCAATGGTTCTCAATGTTTATTTTTTTAACCATAATCTCCTTGAGGAATGATACTCTCCCATTAGGAAAAATAGCTCAAGATAGCAGATGAAAAAAACTCATCTACTATTCTCTTCTATCTAATAATTTTCATATGGATTGTTCCTAAATCCCTAACAATTTTAAGTTCTTTGAAGATAGAGCTGCCTTCTCCATTACTGCCCTCACAGTGTTTAGCAAGACATTAGCATATTCAGTAGGTACTTCAAAGTCAACTTCCAGTTGCCCTTGTTATTAAAAATAACAAAAACTAGCCAGGCGTGGTGGCACACATCTGTAGTCCCAGCTACTGAGGAGGCTGAGGCAGGAGAATCTCTTGAACCCAGGAGGCAGACACTGCAGTGAGCTGAGATCACACCACTGCACTCCAGCCTGGATGACAGAGCAAGACCCCATCTCAAAGAAAATTAACAAAAACTGTAGGAGTTAGTCTGCTATTCCACTGACATGCCAAAAATAAGGGGGTACAAAAAAAGTCCAGAAAACCAAAAACCCTATGCATATTAAAAAACATTAAAATATAGAAACATAGAAATATAAAAAAAAAAAGAAACAAACAAATCTAAGTACATGTTGTATATTAAGTCTTGCTGAATGCTACAATGGCAGAATCTACAGCATGAACCATCTGGATCAAATTGTGCTCTATGAAGGAATGAGAAAATAAGCTCTGCTTTTTAGAGCTAGTTATAGCTAGCACTTTGTGGTTTTTTTTTTTTTTTTTTTTTTTGAGACAGAGTGTCACTCTGTCGCCTAGACTGGAGTGCAATGGCACGATTTCAGCAACCTCTGCCTCCCAGGCTCAAGCGATTCTCCTGCCTCAGCCTCCTGAGTAGCTGGGATTACAGGTGCAAACCACTACCGTCCGGCTAACTTTTGTGTTTTTAGTAGAGACGGGGTTCCACCATGTTGGCCCAGCTGGTCTCAAACTCCACACCTCAAATGATCCACCCACCTCAGCCTCCCAAAGTGCTGGGATTACAGGCGTGAGCCACCATGCCCTGCCACGCCAGGCCAAGGTAGCACTTTTTAAACGAAAGTATTTAGAAGTAGACTCTAAAAGTTCAAAATTCAACACAGGGTTGAATTTTACCCATTCTGGTCATCTAAGTCCATACATTTTCAATTCATCTTTGTTACTGACTTATCATAGACCATCCTAAACATCTCTCCCATATCTAAAGATTTAAAAAATAGATGCTCAAGCCAGGTGCGGTGGCTCCCAGCACTGTAATCCAAGCACTTTGGGAGGCTGAAGTGGGAAGAATGCTTGAGCCCAGGAGTTCAAGACAAGCCTGGGCAACATAGCGAGACTCCTTCTCTAAAAAAATACAAATAAATAATAATGTAAAAAAATAAAAATACAAAAATAGATGCTCAGCTCTCACTCTTATGAATGGATCAATAAAAGTGCACTATGTTATTTTGCTCTTTGGTCAGCTAAAATGTGAGCTAGGAAAATTCACAGAATGATGTTCTCAAGATACCAAAAACAAGAAAGGCCACTACTGTCCACCTTTCCAACTCTTGTCTGTAGTTAAACCAATCTGGACATTGGCTGTAGTTAAACCAAATCAACTACCTGCTTATTCACAGCATTCATCGTGTCCTACATTTTGATACAACTATTTTCATTCATTCTTTAAGAATCTGTTCATGTCAGGTCCTGTGCTAAACGTGAACAGAAAAGTCTCCATCTTGCTTGTATTCCCAGCACTTTGGGAAGCCAAGGAAGGGAGGATGGTTTGAGGCCAGGAATTCAAGGCCAGACTGGGAAACACAGCAAGACTCCTTTACTACCAGAAATTTTTAAAAATTAGCCACTCATGGTGGTGCATGCCTATAGTCCCAGCTACTTGAGAGGCTGAGGCAAGAGCATCGCTTGAGCCCAGGACTTCAAGGTTACAGTAAGCTATGATTACACCACTGCATTCCATCCTGGGTGACAGAGCAAGACTCTGTCTCAAACAAGTCTCCATCTTTGAAATGTTCACAGCCTAGAGGACAAAATAGAAACAACCAGTCGATTAACCAGTATTTACTAAGTGCCTACAATTTTGAAATCATTGTATTGCTTTAACAAAGGCAAGTAGGTTCAACTCAAAACTTGTTCATACGTATCTCATGCGGTTGTTAAAAGTATGTTGCTCTTGTTTTTCCAACCCGATGAAGCCTGTTCCCAAGGCAGGGACTGTCTCCTCCTACAATCTCACAAAGCCAAGCAAAGGGCTGGGCACAAAGCGGGCACTTGGCAAGTCTAATGAAAAAGAACTGTTGAGAAAGAATACGAGTTCCTGACTCTTCCCAGTCCCCATCTTGTCAGAAGATGTCTCAGCCACCCTTCTCTGATTCAGCATCTCTTCCCATGAAGGGAAAGGAACTCGAGGGTGCTGTCTGTCTGGGATCTGTTTTTTCCACGCCACACTCCTATCCTCACCCCACAAAAGAGATCAGTAAACTGACAAGTGCCTACGGAGGGTAGAGAGGCCCCCTCCTTCTTTCCTAGCTGCCCCCCGACCCTGTGCCTAAGACAGCTCACCAACCCCACGGTTTTCAAATCAAACCGTATTGTCACCTATGGGTGACTTTGGGTCAGTCGGCGACACCTCGCTCTGAGCGTCAGTTTCCTCATCTGTAATAAGCTAATCATCTCTCAGAGGCTTGCAGGGAGGAATAAAATAGTGCCTGGCAAGTGCTCGGCGTACGCAGTCACTACTCGATACGGGGTAAGTGTTATCCTTTTGAAAGGCGGCAGGATGACAAAGCCGAGGGGGCGCAGCCTGAAGGCCCGAAGGAGGTTCGGGGCAGGCTGACTGAAGACAGAAGGCCGAGCGGGCTGACAGGGCGGAAGGCCGCGGCGGGAAATGCGGGAAAGGCGGGAAGCAGCGAAGGCGGGCGGGCGGTCTGGGCATCAGCTCCGGCGGCGGCAGCCCGCATCCCCTCACCTTCCTTCTCGCCCACCTCGTCCCCCCCTCACCTCGCTTGATCACATGCATCGCAGCTAGTGGCTGAGGCTCTGAAGGATCCAAGACTGGACTGCGGCTCTAAAGCGCCGGCGGGATCGAGAAGGTGACAGAGTGGGAAGGGTTAGGTTCCAGGCGCTGCTCAGGGGAAAGAACTGGAGTTGGAGCCAGACAGCACTTTCTTCAGAGCAGAGGCGCAACAATCCAAATCCCCTTCCCGCGCCCGCCACCCGTGACGCACAAAGGGGCGCGACGGGGTTCGAATGACGTTACTCGACGCTGCGGCCCACGCCCGGGGTAGGCTTCACAGACTGACAGGCGACGTGTAGCCGCCATGTTGAGTCTGGGCAAGACCCAGAAGACTACGCCTCTCCCATGGGCCCCATTGGATATGGACATGCCCGGCGGAAATGCTGCTCTCCTGCTACCATGTTTTGTGTGGGCAAGCCGAGTTCGGGACCCTCGGGGCCCTGGCGTAGCACCTAGAGCCCGCTGGGTCAGGCGCCGCCCTCTCACCTGCGCGTCTCCGCCGGAGGAAAGGCGGTTAATTTATTTTTGAAATAACAAAACCTAACCGGCGGGAACGTTTTTCTTGCTCTGACATTTATTATAATAATACTAACACTGCCGTCCGCTGTGGGCTCCAGCCCAGGCTCCACAGCCGTGGGCAGCTTGGAGCCCCAGGGCTTTTAGATCGGCCAGAGGACTGACACTCTGGAACTGGAAGAAAACCGCGCAAGGCCGATGGCGTTTGGATTTTATCCTGACGCAAATCAGAGCCCTGAGAGAATTTTAAGCAGGGCAGGGTCAGTACCCATTTGCTTTTAGGGTTCTTCAGTGGATGGTGGCAGAGACAGGGTATTTGCCTTGTGGAGGTAGGATGGACTTGGTGACTTAGAGTGGAGAATAAGAATAGATGAGAACCGTAATATGTAAGGCTGGTGTAGAAGCTTCTGATTTGGGCTACCCAAAGCGATCTTTATGAAATTTCATCTGTGGCATCTTTTCCCTAAAGCCTTTTCGTTGGTTTCTCACTGCCCTCCAGAAGCTGCCCAGGCTCCCTGTGAAGTAATTTCAAAAATCATGGAAAGTCGTAAGTGAGCCTGTAATTGCAGCATTTTGGGAGGCTAAGGCGGGAGCATCATGTGAGGCCAGGTGTTGAGATAAGCCTGGGCAACATAGTGAGACCCCATTTCTACAAAAAATAGAAAAAGTAGGCCAGCGCGGTGCTTCACTCCTGTAATCCCAGCACTATGGGAGGCCAAGGCGGGCAGATCACGAGGTCAGGAGTTCGAGACCAGCCTAACCAACGTGGTGAAACCCCCCCGCTGCTAAAAATACAAAAAGTAGCCAGGCATGGTAGCACGCGCCTGTAATCCCAGCTACTCAGGAGGCTGAGGCAGAAGAATCGCTTGAACGCTGGAGGCAGAGGTTGCAGTGAGCCAAGATCGCGCCATTGCACCCTAGCCTAGGCAAGAGAGTGAGACGCCGTCTCAAAAAAAACAAAAAAAAAGAAAGAAAAATTAAATAGATATGTTTTTTAAAAGTCGTAAGTGAAGTTATAGGATAGATAGGGTCAAGTTTACCCAGACATAGGGTTTCCCAATTTAGCAAATAAAAATGTGTCCCAGATACTGCATGAGAGAAAATTATACTTTAAAAACTGTTTATCTGAAATTCACATTTAACTGGTCATCCTGCATTTATCTGGTAACCCTGCCCACAGAGCTTCTGGGCATGTGCATTCAAGTTTCATTTTCCCTGGGCAAAGGAAAGATTGTCTCTTTATCCCATCATGCCACAGCACAGAGAACACAATGAGAGTCAAAGCCAGCAGTGGTTAAAATCTCCTACATGCTTTATTGGACTTCAAAGAATTTTATGAAATAACACAGAAAACCCCATTTGAGGGTGTCCAGGGAGTACAAGGCAGTCTGCAGCCTAGCACCCTCCTAAGACCAGCCCCAGGTATACCCACCCCAGGCCCAAAATAGGATCCCAGGATAAAGGTATGGCAGGGAGTGGGGCAGAGGAAAAATACCTTTACAGCCATAGCAAAAACAGGTAAGGGAGAGAGTTGTCTAGAGGGTGGGAAGGGTGGGGGAAAGTGGTCACACAGCCGCCTTCACCTATACCATCTTCCTTAGCCACCCCTTCCCCAAACTGGTTGTGTCCTTTTTGAGCCTCTGGCCAAGGCTACAAAGTAACATGAAAATGGGATCTAACAAGGGGAATATGCAGCGTAGGCACTTGGGAAATTCAGATTACTTTTTTTCCTTTTAACCTGTTTGTCTTTTGGTTCAAAAAATGACAGCATCCTTGCCCAACAACTCCAGGGCTCCATAAGAGCCCTGTATCATGGCTGTGGCTCTCCTGGCCAGGGGAGCCACTTGTCCTGAGCCCTAGGAGTATTGATGCTTGGGGAGCTTTGGGGCAGCACCTCTTAGAGACAAATCCTCCTGCAGTGTGGGGGAGCAGGGGTAAGAGGGAGGCAGGTGTGGGTGGGAGTAGAGAGAAAAAGTGACTGCCTTATAACCTACAGTTCTGGCATCCACTCATGCTCCAATGAACAGATGCCTCTCCCAACCCATTCCCAAGCCTGGCCTCTCTTTAAAAGTCTCTGGTGGGTTGTTCTCTGAGAATTGGTTTCACTCCCCCATGGATCCCTGGAGGCCTGAGTGAGATTAGGATGAGGCTCCTTCTGACCCACATCAATACCAAAGAACAAACTTCAAAGATTAGGCCCTAGCCCCAGTCTGGAGCAAACAGAACCACTGTGAGTGGGGTGGAACAGATCTGAGGCACACATGTCAGAAGCTACTCGTCCTATCTTCCCTGCAACTGCTAGGGGAAGTTGGGGAGTGGTGGGAGGGAGGAGCCCGAAAGCAAGAGACAGAAACAAGAAACCAAACCTCAAAACTGGGACAGCAGAGACAGAAGCTGAACCCCAGAGGTGGAGCTGGGAGCTGAGGGAACAGCAACTAAGACATGCACTGAAGTGGAGAGGGAGTGACAGCAGCAGCCCATGGTTGGGACGGAGGCAGGGCAGGCAGGCCATGGTGGTCAGTTAATAAATAATAATGAAGGACCCAAGGATGAGGGGGCAGGTATGTACAGTGCCCAGACCCCTGGACCAGCCCTTCCCATGCCCCACTCTTGGGGCCAGTTATCTTGAAGGAAGGGAGGGAAGGAGAGACAGAACACCCAGGGAAGGACAAGCTGTCCCTTTACTGCCACCCCATCCTGCCTACTTCTTAAGAGGCTTCTTAAAGATTTTGAGGGGAAACTTCTTCCGGCCTGGGCTGGAGTCTGTTTCCTCGCCAATAGAGCCATTATCCTCCTCAGCCACAGCCTTCTTGCCAGCCAGGTGGGGAATGCGTGTGTTTCGGCTGGCTTGCAGGGCTCGGCTGTCCCCAACTGGAGATGGTGTGTCTGGGTCTGGGGAGCTGGGGCTGTGAGAACGGGAAGAATCCAAATGTGGAGAGCCACCAGGTGGGGCTGAGGGGCTCAGCTCCATCAGGCTGTGGGCCTTGTCCAGCCCATGGTTCAGCGCCAGTAATGCCTTCTTGGCCAGGGCAGGGCTGTCAGGCAGTTTCTCCACCAGAGACCCTGGGTGGACCCCCTCGATCAGCCGGTGGCTGCCATTGGAAGTCATGGCATTGAGAGCCTCGTCTGCAGCACGGCTCATCTGAGGAGGTTTGGGGGCCACACGCTGGCGGTCACTCATGTGGAGGGAGGACTCCGAATCGGAATGGGTCAAATCCCTGCAAGACATGGGGCAGAGAGGAAGAAAGGGACATATATTGGATGAGGTGATAGGGGAAAGGCGAAGAGGAGAGAGGGACAACACGAGAAGACAAGGACAGGGTAGGAAAATGGGGATAGAGCGGCAGGAGAGAGAAATAGGATGAACAGGCAGGTGGGAAGGAGAGAGGAAAGAGGAATAGACAGAAGTTGAGCAGCCATAAGTATAGGATAAGAGAGGAGGCAGGAGGAGGGAATGAGGATAGATTGGAAAAGAGACAGGAAAAGGAGAGTAGAATTGTAGAGGAAGAAAAGCAAAAGGATAAGCAGGTAGAAAGAAGGGCCAAGAGAGAAAGACAAGAAAGGGAAAAGTGATAGGGAGGGAAGAAACAGATAAGAAACAAAAACAAATGTCATCATACCATCATCTGTCTGGCAAATGGTTTTCCAATACCTGGGCCCCACCAGTGGTGAATGCTCTGGCTCTGAACTGGTGCAGCCATAGGCTTAAATTCCACAGGCGGCATCCTCAATAAAATCTCTGCCTTCTCATAGCTGGCTGTATTTCCTGGGACTCAAGCTAACACAGAACCTACAGCCTGCTCCGAGTCACCATTTTCCATGCCTTCCTTCCCCACTTACTCCTGTCACACCTTAGGATATTATCCAGTCTGGGCCAGGCCCCAAGGAACAGGGCACATGCAGTCAGTGGACCTGACCCAGGCTGGAGATGAGAAGGTTAGAACAGCCTTGCAAATAATCCTTCACCCACCCCAAAAGGCCAGGATGCTGCCTCTTCTAACCATCTCATAGGATTCAAAGGAGGTCATAGATAGGTATTGCAGAGTTCAAACCAAAGTCTGTGGTGCGGCAGGAAGGGTGGGGTCTCTTTCAGAACTCTGCTGACGGAGAATGTAGGGAGGCATAGAAAGACAGGATGTTGGCCTTTAAAGAGCAGTGGTTCAGAAGAGGTCTGGACTCCTGTGTGATCTTGGACAAGTCAAGTCATCTAAACTTGCTAGTCCTTAACTTTGGCCTAATGAAGATAATACCAATTCAATTTATCTTACAAGACTGTTTGGAGGATCAAATATGCTGGCAAAGCACTTGGAAATGTAGAAATTATTGTGGGAATGAAGATGATGAGGCCTGCCAAGCTGAAAGGCCTATGTACGGGCCGGTCGCAAGAGGCTTCTTTGCAAGGCTGAGTTATGGAGACATGCCACCGCACACTGGACATGCACACACACAGGCTAGTCTAGGAACTTGAGACCCTTTAAGGAGCTGGTGGTTGCTAAGACCATGAATCAATTCCAGATGCCACTCCTCCTGCTCTACAGACAAAAAGGTAGATATGGAGGTGCTCTCTCTGCCAATCCTGAATCCTCCTTCTGCCTTCCTAGAGGCCTGAGAACCTCAGCAAAAGCAGAGGAGAGACCTAAGGGAAATGTTTAAACGTCTGCTAGCCAAAGGGGAAGAGTCATGAATGGAAAAGGAGACCACCATAGGACCTAGAAAGAAAGAGGCTGAGGGTCAGAAGTTAGGAAGGGTACCAGGCCCCTGAAACAGGCAAAAGCAGGGGGTTGGCTCATAGCTATTGTAGATTTAATTCTCAGTTGGAAGCAAATAACTAAGTAGCCACCCCATGGGCCAGTACCTTCCTGGACTCAGCAGGCAGCAGAGAACAATTCCAACTCAGCTTCCATTCTACAAATACTGTTTTAGCCACATATTCTAGTATTTACAAATATTCAGTCTCATATTTGGTTTCATATATCTGACACTGTCCTTGCTTCTAAACTTGTCCTTGTTTCTCTAAGCCCCAAGATGATCCTCTCCATATCTTGCCTTCTCCAAACACTATTATAAACCAATGAGCAAGGTGCCAAGGAAGTTCTGGGAAGCAATCACACTGAGAAAAAGGGTCCTCTAAGCTGAGGAAGTGAAGATTCTGGGATCCTACCCTCTCTAACACCAAGGAGGAGAAATCAGGAGGTTAGGGCCCTCCCAGCCTCACTTCTCCTGGACCAGACCCCTATTTCATCTTGATTCCTATCCATCTTTTTATTTATTTATTTATTGACAGGGTCTTGCTCTGTTGCCCAGGCTGGAGTGCAATGGCGCGATCTCGGCTCACTGCAGCCTTGACCTCCCAGGCTCAAGTGATCCTCCTATGTAGCTGGGACCACAGGCATGTGCCACCATGCCCAACTAAATTTTTGATTTTTTTTTTGTAGAGACAGGGTCTCACTTTGTTTCCCAGGCTGGTCTCAAACTCCTGGGCTTAAGCAGTCCTCCGCTCTCGGCCTCCCAAAGTGCTAGGATTACAGGTGTGAGCCACTGCACCCAGCCTGATTCCTGTCCTTCTATGCCTCTCTCATCAGCTAAAAGTTGGGACTGCCAAAGCAAGATAAGAACCTGGGAGGAAGCCTAGGGAGATATAGGAGGGAAAAGGCCCAGTGAGGCAGGCTCACCTTCCCTCCCTGAATCACTGAGAACAATCAGGCCAGAGGTCCCTCCCCAAAGGCTGGGCTGCCTCGGACTCCCATCCCAAGCTACTGACCTTACTAGAGAGCCTGTTTGCCTTTAGAGATGATCCTCTGGTGCGTGGTGCAAAAGAAAATTAAGTAGTGAACAGGCCAGGTGGATACAGGTACCTCTCCGCCCTTCCTCCCCACTGCCCTCAGCTTAAACCTTGGAGCATGGAATTCACAGCATCCCTTAGTGTCCCCAACCCAATTTGATCCTCTCCATCTGTACTGGAAGGAGCAGTCTCCCTTCCTAGGCTTTTGGATGAAAATGAGAATGAGAATGGATATGAGTGGCTCTGCTGAGTAATAATCCTAGTAAGGGCAATCCCTTTGTGCAAGAGAAAGGAACAGCCCTCAAGCATAACTATCCAGAGGTTTAAGGGGCAGAGCTGAATAAATGGGTATCCAGAGTGAGATAGAACTAAAAAAAAGCAACAGAGTAAGCAGACTGCAGCCCAGAGGCCAGGACTGGGCTGTGGTCACCATTTCAGAGATGAGAAGTACTTCCAGAGGGGAAGGACTTTCTGAAGGTCTCCTAAGCTTGTTCCAGGCAAGGTCAAGGCTACTATCTCTGATTCTAGTCTACCATCTTGGGTATTAGCAAGAATAGTCTCTGCAGCTGCCAGACAAAGCTGTGGAAGAAAAACCTTTCACCAATTATTTTCCAGTACACTTTTTGAGACCTTGTGAAAAGACAAAAATATCCAACGGAGTATTCTGGAATGGAAAGCCAAGTTCTAATCTGTGCTCTGCTCTCAACTAGCTATGAGACCTGGAGGGAATTACTTACCCTTTTAGAACCTTAACTTACTGTTCTTAAAATGTGTATTTTAATTCCTGCCCCACCTATAAACTCTTCTTGTCCAAAACCCCAAAACCTATGTCCGCTATCTTGGTTCCCGAATTCCATGAAGGACGTTATGTCCACTCAGTCACTCAAGCTATAAACCTGAGTGTCATACTAGATCCTCCCTTTCCTTCACCACTGTAGCCAGTTACCAAATTTATCATGTCTTTTTATCCCAAGTCCTCATTACCTCCCCTAGTGGTCTACTGGAATGTTTTCCAAATTCCTGTAGTCTTCCACTTCCTTCCTTCACACAGCCACTAAAATGTTATTTCTAAAATGCAAATGTGACTGATTCACTTTCTCTTAGAAACCCTTTTGTAGTTCTCCATCTCCTAACGGGTAGAGGCCAAAACCCTTCCCTTTCGGAGCCTTCGTCATTCTAGCCTCACCTGTTTCTCCTTCCCACCAACACATATCCAGTGTTCTAACCACAAATATATTGTATTCTCTGGAATCTCCATGTCTCTGCATACAGTGTTTCCTCTGCCTAGAATACTCTTTCTCCTTTCCCTTCACACAGGATGTTAGCACAAATTCATCTCTTTGGTGAAGCATTCCACCCAGGTACACACTGTTAGTCACTCCTTCCTCAACACCCCCATAGCACTTAATAAATTTTTCCATAATTATTTATGTATCTCTCTCAGACAAGATTGTAGTTCTTGATGGCTGGGATTGTATCTTATCACCAGTGAACCCCTATGCCCAGCAGAGCCTGGCACAGAGTAGGCATTAGTAAATGTTTGTTGAAGGAGTAAAGGAAGTGAGGGCCCAAGTGAGATAACTAATGTGAAAGTGCATAGTTTAGGCAAAAGTGCTATAGGGTCATGAGGGAAGAAAGTCGTTACTCATTTTTAGAGTCAGCAAACCCCAAACACAGAAGGGGAGAAAGTAGGCTGACCTTAAAAAGGAATCCCAGAGCTGGGAACAAACAGGATAAGAAGATTCCCCACTGCACACACCCCCAGAGTTGATCAAGCAGCAGCTGGCAGGCAGAAACCAAGGTAAAAGCAGCAGAAAGGGAAGGAAGGGAAGAAAGAAAAGAGAGACAGCTGATACCCCAAGCTCTCTGAATGCCCAGGCATCACAGCGGTGCTGTCAGAAGGGGGTGTGTCAGGGTAGGGCTCCATCTGGAGGAAATAGGAAGTGCTGTGGTGGTAATAAACAGGGTGGACATGGACGGTGGTGAAGGTGGTGGTGGTGGTGGTGGTAGTGGTGATGGTGGTGATGGAAGAGGAGCAAGAAGCAGCAGCAGAGGCAGATGGAGAGCTGGTCCCGTAGCCTTCAGAACTGAAAGACTGTCCAGATGAAAGGCTGCGCATTCGCCGCAGAGATACCCGGCTTGTCAAGAAGTGGCCAGCCTCGCCCTCTACCAACCTCTGAGATCCCAGGCCATGCTGTGGCTCCGTCAGGCGCTGCCGAACACTGCTCTGCAGGCTAGGGGCTGCAAGGAGAATAAAGAAAGTGTCAGGAGGGGCCAGCCCACTTTGGGCTGGCAGGTAAGGAGGTGCCCATGAATAAATGCTTGCTGGAGACCACCCTGGGCCTCTAATGCCAATCTGGAGAATGGGGCACCTCCTCCCAGAAACCTCCCACCAGGGGTCCTAAAAGGATGGGAAATTGAAGATGAAGTGCCCAGGTCAGTTTTAGTGGCAATTCCAATAGAAGGAGACCTATGGGCAATATCACTATAAAGGGAAGTGGCAAGGCAGTTAGTGGGTAGACACAAGCAAGGAAGGGTAGGATAGGGGCTTGGGATAAGGTCCGGGAGAGCACTAAGAACCAGCCTTTTCAGAAAGCCAACCTCAGGAAATAATTCACAGCATAGACAAGGACTTATACATAAACATGTTCATCATTATTAATAATTAAATGAGAAGTAAACATAATTGTTTACTTTTTATTAATAGTTGTATGAAAGTAAACATAAATAATGAACAATGGGAAAATGATAACATATCCAGTTTCTGGGAGACTATAGAGCTATTAAAAATGATGCTTATAAAAAGACTTGAAGAAAATGGAAAAATGCCTATTAAAATGTTCAGAGGGGAAAAAGGATACAGAATTATAGGTACTAGCCTTGAGCTTTGGAATACCAAACACTAGAGGTTGAAACCAGGACTTTCACTTCTAGCTGTGACCTTGAGCAGCTGACTTCCCCATTTTAATTCCTAATTTCTAAAATCCTGCAGGGTTCTTCTGAGACTTCACAATAATGTCTTTAAGGCACCTGAAACAGGTCATGGCACTCAATAAGTGGCAGTGGCTATCATTATCTTAACCACATAAAAAATTTCACAGAAAAGAGTGATAGAGAAGGTGCTCAAATATGGTGGGACTATGGATGCTTTTTATGCTAATGTTCACTCTTTTTCGCTTTCCAATAAGCACATAAACAACAAAGAACCAGCTCTTGGATCAGGCTGCAAATCGGGGTCCTGGAGATAATGGCCACTATGCCCAGTGAAGGGATACATGGGCACCAAGTAACTTAGGAATATGCTAGTGCATCCCCCTTTGGGCTCACTCCCAGCTAAAAGAGAGTGCAGACCTTTATTCTTTCTCCTCTAGCCTGATAGATAAGCTTCCCTGCATTCTACCTAAAGATGAGAGAAAGGGCCAGGTTACAAGGGTGAGCGAAGCCTTGGAAGGACCACCAGGGAGACAGCATAATTCCATAGTGATGGAGAGTTCAGGAGGTAGGGCTTCTATGCTGGTAGCTTTCAAGGTACGAAAGAGAGGCTGAAGAGGATGAGGAAGTCTGGAATAGGGGGGGGAAGGGGGAGAAAGAAGGGGGAAACTGGGAAGAAAAGGGAGAAACATGAAAAAGAGAAAAGAAAGGGGTCATTTGTCCTTCCCTCTTTCCCTCCCAGCCCAGATGGAAGAAGGGCTACCAGGTTACCTGCACAGCTGCGCTAAAGGGAGAAGCCTAAGCCTTCCATTACCATGGGTGTTCTCTGTCCAGCTCTTGCCAAGCAAGCTGATTCTTCTCACCCCCGAACCCCTCCCTGTAGTTAGTAGGGACAGTGCTGAGGGGATAGAGGGAGCAGGCAGGGGCGTGAAGCAGGCAGGAGAAGGGACCCATGGGGTAAGAGTGTTGATTTAGTCCCGAAAGTCAGAAAAACAAAATGCCCCAAAGGGGCTCCTCAAACCGGGGTATTTCCAGAGGGACTGATCATCCGAGCCGGCGGATGTAGAGCAGAGAGAGCGGTCACTGAACCTACGCCCCATCAGCCAGGCAGCATCTAGGGTCAACAGCCAGGCCAAAAGGAGAAGAGAATCTGATTTATGGAGGGCTTCGGCCTGCCATCAATGTAATAAAGGAAGGGCTGGGGGCAGGGATTGGGTAGCTCAGAGCTAATTAAGGTCCCTCCCAGCCTGGAGAACACAGAAGCCTTCAGATCAGCAAGTCAGGATCAAGCTCTGCCTGTCAGTGATCCTGTCCTTGTTAAGCCTTTGATTAAAGGCCTAACGAGTTATCAGATTAGAAGAACAAAGAGGCTTGGCCAGGGGCAAAGTATTATTGATAAAATTACAAATAAATTCTGTCTCGAGTGGGAATCCAGCCTGATTAAAGAATCTGAAAGTAAGCCCCTAACCCAGCCCCGGCCTTCTGCCCTCCCGCTGAACTGGCAGAATATGGGCCTAGGACAATAGCTTTACCATAAGGGCTATTCTACTTACTTAAAATAGCATCTGATCCAAAGAAAAATTCAATTGTGGGCCAGTAAGGGAAAACTCCCTTCATTCACTGAAGAATTCCAGTGTTGTTCCTTTTGGCTCTGCTCTACTCAACTCTCATCACTTGCAGGGGAGAAAAGGGAGAGGGAAGATCCAGGACAGAGGAAGAGCGGGTAGGATCCAAGAGTCCAGGTGGAAAGCCAGACATGCTTGTGCAGGAGATCCCTCCTGGGCAAGAATGCCTTTCCAGCTTAGAGGATTTAGGACTATATCACTTTAAGGGACTATTTCTTTATAGGGCCTCTCACAAAAACACAAAAAGAAACATCATTCCATTCATCTACTTTAGCAATAAGAATAAGGAACAAAAATCAAAATAAATAAGTTCAATAAATAGAATAAATGCCATTTTTACATTGAAATTCACTAAAGGACATATTTTTTATAAAGGTAGATAGAGTGGTAGTTAGGGACAATAAAGTGAAAAAGAATGAAGGGAGACACACTTAGCACAATAGACCCAAAGGGGCACACAGAGCATACAACAAGGAAAGAACACCAAAAGGACAACTATAAAGAAATAACCTGAGTAAATTGTGCTTTATTGACCAAGGTCATGAGTTGAACTATCTTCCTGGGTATCTGCCCCATCTGCTGTTTAAGCACAACAGAGGCCACAGACTTCTCAACCTGTACATCAAAGGCTCCTTCCTTCATCCCCGCAAAGAGGTCACCTACACTGCATGGACAAGGGAGACACAATCTCCTCATCCATGTCATCCACGTCGTCAGTCATGATGAAGTGAGCAGGGTTGGGGCGTGTACTGCCCATCCAGCTGGGGTCTATGTTGAGGGCAGCCACCAGTGAGTGGATGCCAGGGTTGTTGACAATCTGGAAGCCACAGAGGATCTCGATCTGTTGCCAGCGGTGCAGGCGCTCCCGCAATGCTGCTGTCACCTCGCTCAGTGCTTGCCTGAAGACAGAGGAAAGAGAACTGCAGGCATGGACTTGGTGTGAGCCCCAATAGGAATGAAGCCTCTTCTCAGAGGAACAAGTTTTGAGAATATGTGTGAATAAAACACACAATAAACTCAAACTTAAGAGCAAGGCAGGAGATAAATAAAGGCTGAGGCAGGAGACCAGAGCTGTCCCTCCACCAATGAGGAAATGGAATTGGTGTTGGAGGCCCTGTATGCCCTCAAATTCTGAGGATGATATGGACATTGCCAGAGTAGATAACTGGTGTTACTTACTTAGCTGTTAGAATTTTATGATCTACATCATCCAGGGAAGAGCTGTGGGCCACGTGGAAGGTGCCAAAGAGTGTGTTTCTCTTCTTTTTTATCTTCTCAGCCTGCAAAGATGAGGCCCCCAGCTCAAAAAGAGCAGGGATTCGAGAATGGAATAAATGAGAAAGGCCTTCCCCTATGGCTGGGGCCCACTCCTCCTAGCACAACTGAGGCTGTACAAGGAAAGGGAAGAGAAAGAGGAAAAAGAGAAAGGCAGGCAAGGTAGAAGAAAAAGGAGGGGGACAAAATAGAGAAAGCGAGGGGAGAAGCAAAGGGGTCCTTGATAGCCCTTTTGCCCCAGGAGGACCTCTGTCCCCATGGCAGCCTGGGGCTGGCAGAGCTTTCCCTCTGCCTGCCTCCACTTGTTTCATCTTTCCCAGAAGACAGGCAGGAATGCCCCTACACCCTCATTCCCTCCTCCAGAAGCCTGAGGACACTGTCAGGAGCTGAACATTAGGAAAGAAACAGAACCCACCACCAGGATATCTCTTCACCCAATGGGAGGAACAGGGAGAGGGAGAGAAGAGGAAGATATGCAGGTAAAAAGGAGAAGGGCAAAAAGGAGAAAAGAGGACAATAGAAGGGCTGTTCTCACCCCCTCCTTGGCCACCAGCAGCTGCTTCTCAGCATTTTGCTTCTTGATGTTGTAATATTGCACCTCCACCTCATGTGTCAGCTGCAGCCACTTCTGAAGGGCCTCTGGAGCATACCATGAGCTGTGAGATTCTAGCTCCTTCTCTGCTTTCCTCAAGGCCTCCCGAACCTAGGCAGCCAAAAGGATGTGAGTTCATTTACTGCTACTAAGACTCTCCAACATCTCTGTATGATGCTTCAGAACTCAGACTTCTTATCTGCTTTACAACTCTCCCAGGAAGGAGAAAAGGTAAGGATTATTTTCCGTATTTTATATAGAAGAAAGCAAGCTCAGCGAAGAAAATTAACCTACTCAAGGTCAACAGTGTCAACCAGAACCCAAATTGAGATGTTTCTGTTCCCAGACAAAGGCATTCTTTTCTATCACATCAGCTTACTTTCCTGGTCATGCAGCAAGTTCCAGCAGTCTTCCCTGATCTCTTCAGGAACAGGTCAGCTAGTGAATCATCTTACCAAGAGTCAGGGTCTGTGCTTAGACTTCAAGACATCACAGTGTGACAGAAAAAGCACTGGTCAGGAATCTGAAAATCTAGTTCTGGTCCCTGGTCTGTCGCTTAACTGGTTGTGTGACCCTGTGCTTCCTAAACCGGCTCTTAATTCAGTGTGAGGAAGGACTTTCTCCCATGCAAATCCAAACTATCAGTGAAGGGGTGATCTCAGGAGAGAATGAGTTCCCTGTCATGGGAGTTATGTGAAGAGCTCATGTCAGAGAGAACTGAAAAATGATTGGTACTTCAGAAGGGCATTGTCCTGAATGCTCTCCAAAGTCTTCTCTAGCCCAGAGACTGCGTCTATGATTCTCTCAGGGAGTAGAGCAAGTGGGCTTTGAAAAGAACTCTGTAAAAGGTGGGAAGATAATGAGCATGCCCACACCTAACACAGGCATTGCCAACAGAAGCCAAGACATGAGAGGACCAATGTATAAGTAGAAATAACCGACTTCTCTGCAGGGAGCACACAATGAGGCAGTCACAAAGCACTAAAGTGTAAAAGACTTGAAAGTACATACAGACATTATGTACACTGAGTTTCTTGCTGTCTCATCCAAGCTACCAGCATAAGTGATCTCCAATTCTCCTACCTGAACAGAATCCCAGAGAAGATGCATTGAAAGCAGTCTTATTATCCCCAGCTTCAGCCAATGAGGTAAACATCCCATAGCAAGCCTGAGGTCCTCTCCACAGCTAAGATAGGCCAGGAGGGCCTCAGCTAGGGACAGAACACCTTTATTCCTTTAAGAGGCAATGAGAGTGCCAATCTTCACTTGGTTTCTGTTCCCTGAAAAAAAAAACCTAAAAATAGCCCATTCCTGGTTTTATAGCTCTAAATGAAGACTAGATACCTTAGAGACTAATATACCAAGTCTGAAAATTTATGATCAAGTTCTATATTAAAAGCAGTTTAAGGAATGGGATA
This sequence comes from Homo sapiens, assembly GCF_000001405.40. Lineage (NCBI taxonomy): Eukaryota > Metazoa > Chordata > Mammalia > Primates > Hominidae > Homo > Homo sapiens. Next base: position 4,080,876 of record NC_000011.10, on the reverse strand, counting down.
AGCTAAGAAGGGAAGAATGGATGAAGAAGAGAAAAAAAGAGAGCAAATAGAAGCATGATAGTCAGGGAGGCATACAAAGGGGCAGGCCTACAAGGCTCAAAAACTGTTGGGAGCTAGGCACAGTGGCTCACGCCTGTAATCCCAGTAGTTTGGAAGGCCAAAGCAGGAGGATCACTTGAGCCCAGGAGTTCGAGAGCAGCCTGAGCAACACAGCGAGACCTCATCTTACAAAAAATTGTAAAACTAGCCTGGTGGGATGGTGTGCACCTGTGGTCCCAGCTACTCAGGAGGCTGAGGTGGGAGGATCGCTTGAGTCCAGGAGGTCAAGACTGCAGTGAGCCAAGATCGTGCTACCACACTCCAGCCTGGGCAATAGAGTGAGACACTGTCTCAAAAAAAAAAAAAAAAACTGTTTGGTTAAAGAGAGAAATAACTACAAAATAAGGAATAGGGAAGATGGAAGACAGACAGACAGAAAGAGACATATCATGCCATGCACAGTAATAAATGTCTGATGGGAAGACAAGAGATGGGCAAGTCAGAGTTCTTGTCCTTTTATTTTATGGCTGTGGTTCTCAACCTTGTCACATACTGTAAACACATGGGGAACTTTTTTACTTTGTTTTATTTTGAGACAGGGTCTCATTGTGTCGCCCAGGCTGGAGTGCAGTGGTGCAGTCTCAGCTCACTGCAACCTCTGCCTCCCGGGCTCAAGTGATCCTCCCTCCTCAGCCTCCCGAGTAGCTTTGGGACCACAGGTGTGCACCACCATGCCCAGCTAATTTTTGTATTTATTTATTTATTTATTTATTTATTTCTTGGTAGAGACAGGGTTTTGCCATGTTGCCCAGGCTGGTTTCAAACTCCTGGGCTCAAGCGATCTGCCTGCCCTTTGCCTCCCAAAGTGTAAGGATTATAGGCGTGAGCTACCATGCCTGGCCAGGAACTTAAAAAAACACAGATACCTGGGTCCCAACCTAGAGACAGTGATTTCATTTATCTGGGGGGGTTTGCCTGGGCATTAAAATAGGCTCTCCAAGTCATTCTAATATGCAGCCAAAGTTAATAAACACTTATCTATATGTTTTAAATAAAGTGTTATCACCTGACTTCCACTTCCCAGTAGGATATGGTAGGTCATGGGAGAAAAACAATTCTGATCCAACACAACATCTGGAGAAAGCTGTATGCATTTTATGAAAATTGTGTTTTCAAAATTGTTTTTATTTTGAAAAATTTAGAAAATATGTTGTGTTAACATCTAAGGGGTTTGATATAGTTATTTTTATTTTATTTTTTTTTTGAGATGGAGTCTTGCTCTGTCACCCAGGCTGGAGTGCAGTGATGTGATCTCGGCTCACTGCAACTTCTGCCTCCCAGGTTCAAGCGATTCTCCTGCCTGAGCCTCCCGAATAGCTGTGATTACAGGTGCCTGCCACCACACCTGGCTAATTCTTGTATTTTTAGTAGAGACGGGGTTTCACTACGTTGGCCAGCCTGGTCTCGAACTCCTGACCTCAGGTGATCTGCACACCTCGGCCTCCCAAAGTGCTGGGATTACTTACAGACATGAGCCACCGTGCCCAGCCGGAGTCTTGCTCTGTCACCCAGGCTGGAGTGCAGTGGCGCGATCTCTCAGCTCACTGCAAGCTCCGCCTCCCAGGTTCAGGCCATTCTCCTGCCTCAGCCTCCCAAGTAGCTGGGATTACAGACACCCGCCACCACGCCCGGCTAATTTTTTGTATTTTTAGTAGAGACAGGGTGTCACCGTGTTAGCCAGGATGATCTCGATCTCCTGACTTCATGATCCGCCCGCTTTGGCCTCCCAAAGTGCTGGGATTACAGGCGTGAGCCACTGCACCTGGCTATATAGTTATTTTAAATGAATTAATAAATATTTTTTAATGTTCTCAGTTTTAATTTCTAATAGGTTAAATATCAACAGTATTACCCCCTATCAAAATGTTCTTTGAGGTCCTAAATAGTTTTTAAGAGTAAAGGGTCCTCGCTAAGTGTGGTGGCTCACGCCTGTAATCCCAGCACTTTGGGAGGCTGAGGTGGGTGGCTCACCTGAGGTCAGGAGTTCGAGACCAGCCTGACCAACATGGTGAAACCCCTTCTCTACTAAAAATACAAAAATTAGCCAGGTGTGGTGGCAGGCACCTGTAATCCCAGCTTTTCGGGAGGCTGAGGCAGGAGGAGAATTGCTTGAACCTGGGAGGCGGAGGTTGCAGTGAGCCGAGATTGTGCCATTGCACTCCAGCCTGGGCGACAAGAGCGAGACTCCATCTTAAAAAAAAAAAAAAAGTAGAGTCCTAAGAACAAAAAGTGTGAAAACCACTAGACTAGATAAACCAAAAGTCAGAGAGAAAAAAAGCCTTTCTAAGATGATTTGTCAATTGCCAGTCATTTTCTTCCTGGGAGACATTGATGATTTTAGGTGACAGCCGAAAATTGGGCTGGACCCATGTAGAAGATCTCCACTGGGGCACAAAGAAAACAGCCTACGAAGTGGCAGAACTGCATCTCTCACAGTCTTTCAGGGCTGAAGAGAAAGAAATTTAACAGCTTTCCATTTAAAAGTCAGGGAGGGACATACCTGAGAAACTGGGACAAATGAAAGCTACACCAAGTTTTACTAAAACTACAACCTAGTTCAAATGCAGCTTGATCTCTGATTGGCTTGAGGTGATCAGTTCCTTAATATACTTCACAAAAGAAAGGGGGAAAACTACCTGATGGAAGAGAAAATCATCTGGAGCCTCTATTGTTTTTTTATACACACTGTCCAGCATGTAATAAAAATAAATTATTAGACATAAATGGCAAAAAATATGACTAATAATCAAGAGGAAAAATAAGCAGTCCCATAAATGATCCAGATGTAAGAATTATAAGACAAGGACTTCAAAATAATTATGATTGCTATGTTAAGAGAAATACAGGAAAAGATGGATACAATAGATAAAAGATAGAAATTCTGGACAGGGAACTAGAACCTATAAAAGAGTAAAGTGGATATTCTAGAATTGAAAAATACATTGTCTGAGAGTAGGAACCCACTGGATGGGTTAAACACCAGAATGCTTACAGTAGAATGCAGAATTAAAGAACTTAAAAGATAGATCAATAGAAAATAACCAAACCAAAGCACAGAGAGAAAAAAGAACAGAACTGAGCATAAGAGACATGTGGAATACAGTTAAAAGATCTAACATAAATATTAGATTCTCAGAAGGAGAGGAGAGAATGGAGCAGAAGTATATTTTAAGAGATATATAAGTGCTAAAAAGAATGTATATTCTAGAGTTAGGCAAAGTGTTCTATATGTGTCAAGGAATTCAAATTTATTAACCATGTTTTTAAATTTTTTATATCCTTATGGATGCTGTTGGTGGCTTATTGAGAGAAGCATATTAAAATCTCTAACTTTGATTATAAAATTTGTCTAGTATCATTTTAGTTCAGTCAATATTTGCTTTACATATTTTAGACTACATCATTAGATGTATCCAAATTAAGGGCTGTTATATATTAAATTGAATTCATCCACTTATAATTATGAAATATCTATTTTTGGAGTCCAGTAATACTTCTTGACCTAAAGTTTACTTTATATTAATGTAAATATTACATTTATATTAATATATAGCTACCCTTGCTTTATTTCACTTAGCAACTGCTTTAGGTCAATACTTCATGACCTAAATCCTATTTTATATTAATATAAATATTATATCAATATATAGCTACTCCTGCTTAATTTTGCTGCTTTATTTTGTAACATATATCTTTTCTCATATCCTTTTCCTTTAACCTTTTTTTGTGTTCTTATATTTAAAATGTGTCTCTTACGAACAGCATATAATTGAGTTTTGGCATTAATCCAATCTGACAATCTTTGCCTTTTAACTGAATTGCTTAGTTGTTTTTTTATACAAACCAAGTCTCAACAAGTTTCAAAGGACTACACCCACACAGCATATGTTCTCTGATCTTAGTGAAATTAAACTAGAAATCAGCAAAAGAAAAATAACTTAAAAAGTCCTCACATGTTTGAAAATCAAGCAATATACTAGATAACCATGTCCCAAAAAAGGAACCACAATAAAAATTAGAAAACTTTTTGACCTGAAAAATAAAAAAAAAAAAAAGAGATTCCTGAATGATCACCTTACTTGGGGGAAAAAAAACAAAGATCCTTGACAGCCTACCTCATATCACATACAAAAGTTAATTTGAAATAATATCCCTAAATGTGAAAAGACAAACAATAAAGGTTCAGAAGAAAATTTAGGGAAATATCTTGGGGATAGGGAAGGATTTCTTGAACAAGAAACAAAAAGCAAAAAGCATCAATTTTTTTTTTTTTTTTTTTTTTTTTTTTTTTTGAGATGGAGTCTCACTCTGTCACCCAGGCTGGAGTGCAGTGGCACTATCTTGGCTCACTGCAACCTCCACCTCCCAAGCTCAAGCAATCCTCCTGCCTCAGCCTCCCAAGGAGCTGGGACTACAGATATGTGCCACCACACCCAGTTAATTTTTGTATTTTTAGTACAGACGGGCTTTTGCCATGTTGACCAGGCTGGTCTCGAACTTCTGACCTCAAGTAATCTGCCCACCTCAGCCACCCAAACTGCTGCGATTACAGTCATGAGCCACGGCGCCTGACTGCATCAATCATTTTAAAAAACTGATTAAATTACACTTCATTAAAATCAAGGGCTTCTGTTTATCAAAAGACAATAAAGCAAAAAAAAGTCAAGACTGAGAGAAAATATTTTCTATATATATGTGTATTTATATTGACAAAAGACTAATATCCAAAATATATAAATAATGCTTACAAATCAATAAGAAAAAGACAGACAATCCAATTTTTAAAATGAGAAGAGATTCCCAAATCAAATGGCCAATAAATTTATAAAAAGGTGTTTAATAATATTAGGGAAATGAAAATTAAAATCACAAGATACTACTATATATTTACCAGAATGTTTAAAATTAAAATGCCTAAAAATACTGAGGTCATGGATCAACTAGAATTCTCTTACATTGTTGTGGCAGTATAGATTGGTACAATCATTTTGGAAAATTGTTTGACAGTTTCTAATAAAGCTAAATACATGAATATTATATGTCCAACAGAAATGAGGGCTTATGCCCACCAAGAGACATATGCAAGAAGGTTCATAGCAATATTATTCATAAAAGTCAACAAAACTGCAGACAACCCAAATGTTTATCAACAGAAGAGTGGATAAATTAAAGTATACTCATACAATAGATTATTACTCAGCAATGGAAATAAACCAACTATCACTACATGCAACTTTGATGACTCTCATAGACATAATGTTGAGTGAAAGAAACAAAACACAAAAGAGTATATACTGTATAATGCCATTTATATGAAGTTCAAAATTAGACAAAACTAATCTGGTTTACAAGTTGTGACAGTAGTTAACTTTTGGATGAAATATTAATTGGGGTAGCAAAAGTGAGTTTCCTGGGGTGCTGAGAAGGTTCTGTATCTTGATCTGGGTGGTAGTAACACAGGTACATGCATATGCAAAAGCTTGCCAGCTGTATACTTATGACTTGTACACTTTATGTAAATACCTCAAAAAAGGAACAAAATAACTGTTATCACCTATTATCCACTGTTCTTTGAAAATCATAGTGACTATTTTTATAATTTTCTTTTTTTCTTTCTTTCTTTTTTTGTTTTTTTTGAGACAGAGATTCACTCTTGTCACCCAGGCTGGAGTGCAATGGCACAATCTCCACTCACTGCAACCTCCACCTCCGGGGTTCAGGCAATTCTCCTGCCTCAGCCTCCCAAGTAGCTGGGATTACAGGTGCCCGCCGCCACACCCGGCTAATTTTTTTGTATTTTTAATAGAGATGGGCTTTCACCATGTTGGCCAGGCTGATCTTGATCTCCTAACCTCAGGTGATCCACCTGCCTTGGCCTCCCAAAGTGCTAGAATTACAGGCATGAACCACTGTGCCTGGCCCATAGTGACTATTTTTTACAACTTGAACTCTTATTGTTGGTAAGAGTCCAGTGACTCTAGAACATAGTCTTTGGATCATATTTCAAATTCCTCACACATGTAACTTTCTAGCCAGACCCTGGGCCCCTGCCCTTTACCCACCCGTCAAGGTGTCCAGGAATTTGTGGACTCTCCTACCTGCTCCAACTCCTCCTCAGCATATTTTTGGCGGCTCCGCTCATTCTCAGTACCCTCCCGCAGCTCCTTCAGCCGCTGGGCTTCCTGCTTAGCAAGGTTGATCTCATCGCGCAGCTTCTTTTCCAGATGGACCTTCTCCACCTCCACTGTGCGGTGCTCCTCCTGGGCCTTGTGCAGCCTGGGGGGGCAATGCAGGGAGCTGGAGGAGGCCAGGCAAGGGGGTGCCAGCCAACATGCCATGAGTCATGGCATCAAAGAGGAAAATGACAGCTCCAACTCTCAGCATATATTCTCCCTGCTCTGCTGTGTGTCTGGCTCTGAGCTAGCTCAAGGCCCATAGAAACCACAGTCATTACCTAATTCACACACTGACCATCATTTTGCTGCCAGTAATCAAGGCTATGAAGCCAGGCTCTCAGGCATCTGAATCCCTCCTCGAAACTATCTCATACTAAAATCATAACAAGTACCAGTTTACAAGGTATTTCCCATTTGTCCTCCCAGCAGATAATGATATATTGGTATCATTATCAGCCTGGGACAGGCAGATACAGAGTCTTGCAACTTGTAGGAAGAACTGAGGCTAGAATTCCAATCTGTGTGACTTCAAATGCCACAATTATTCCTCTTATGTAGTGGTATCTAGAAAGTTCAATGAATGTAGAATACCCTGCAAGCTTGACAAAAAGATCCAGGGAAAACCTAATGGCTGAGAAATGACTGGGGTGGTAGCAGAGGGGTGGATTAGGGAAGATGAGGAGGAACTATTGAGCTAGGAGTCCTCTTGGACTCCTGAGCTTCTGTTCCCAGAAGCACAAAACAAATTAAATTTATGCCAAAGGACTCAGGAGAGTCCCCTGCTGCCCCCAGGCCCTGAGTTCCTTTCCTAAGTATCTTCCTTAGTGGATAAGATCTCAAGGGCATGAGTTATAATGTAAGTCTACCCTTGCACCGTCACACACATTCCCTCAGTTCACCGACAAAACCTTCCATCCAGCTAAACAAGCCTTCCCGCTTCTTCACTTCTTTCCTCCACACGGCTATCTATGTTAATACACTCATTCATTCATCTATTCATTCACCGAGTTCTTTCAAGTGCCTACTAAGTGCCAAGCCCTGTGCTAAGCCCTAAATACGTGGCGATAAATCAGAAAGCTCTCCCTGCCACTGAGGAGCTCATGATTTACTCCAACAAAGACAAGTAGACAGATAACTGTATTCAGTGTGACAAATTCTATAATAGAAAGAGATAGATATAGATATATAAGGTCTTGGGTCTTCCCAAAAGATGGAGTCATCAGCTCTGCCTGAAAGGAGTCAGGGAAAGAAAGAGAGACTTGGGCTACACCCAGAACAAAGACTGAGAGTTTGCTAATCCCTTTGGAAGAGAAAACGGACTTTACTGTCTGGTCTTCCTTTCTAAGTAAAAACCACCAGGTTACCAGGGGACCAGATTAGGAAGGAGAAAGGATGGTGAAGAAGAGATAAGATATATAGCTTAGACTTGAGGTATAGAAAAGAAAGGATAGACTACAGAACAAGAAGGACCCCTAGAGAACACTGACCACTGAGATAATTAAGTAGATGAAACAAACAGAACTCAATCTGTAAAAAAAAAAAAAAAAAAAAAACCTCTAAGTCCAGAGCTATCAGTGGCGGAGACTTCAAAAGACATCATGGAACAAGCAAGGAGGTAAGAAGAGGAAATGTTAGGCTGCAAGCTTCCCGCAAATTGTGATCTGCCTAATTTGTCCCTGAAGAGAAAGGGAGTTGAACCCCCTGAAAATGAACACCAGATGGCGATATATGCATAGGCAAAGACAAATCAGAGGCGCCATTTCCTGCCATCTCCTTCCCTTGCTGAATATCCTCCTTTACTGTACTCTTCCATGACCCAACTATATAAAGTTACACCATTAAGGATTCACTTCTTCACTGAAATACTGTCCTTTTATGAAAGCAGCCTCTTGAGAAAAGCCAATACTATGATATGTCTGTCCTTTATAATAATAGCGAGCTCCTTTAAAGTAGAATCAAGACTGACACCCTTTCATAGTTCCAATAAGGTCTGTTAGAGATGGAGAACAATAATCATTGTTGGGTGTAGAAATGAGCAAATAAGTATACAATTAAGCACTGCCCCACTCCAAGGCAACAACAATTAGCATTGCAATTAGTCCTGGCTCTAAGCAGTTGTGTGACTATGAGCAAGTTTTGCCTGTTTTGGGAATCAAAATTCCTGCCTGCCTCAAATAATTATCTTGAAACTCAATGAAATCCTAACTGGACTGTATATGTAGAATTATATTTATTCACATAAATTATCAGGAACTCTGTAATAAAGCTCTGTGAAAGCTGGCATTGCAGGTCTGTTAATACAAGGAGGAACCAGGTGGCATGTGGGCTCTGGACACTCAGAGGAGGATATATGTGTGCATGTGTGCAAGCCTATCTCTAGGGGGAAAAGGGGAGGGGTGTCTTTGTCTCTTTCTAAGTGCCACAGTGGTCATTTAGCTCTGGAAGCTTTAGGGAGCAGGGAGTGCTGGGAGCTTAGTTTTATCCCCAAACTTGGAATGTCTCCTGCCTAGATTCTTTTGCCTTTGGAATGGAAACAGTACATGTTTTTCAAACAAATGAGGTATGGGGACTGCTCAGACAGCAGCAGTTAGCTCCTAACTGGCAAAGGGCCCAAGAACAAGGGGCCCAGCAAAGTAGCCAGGAATCAGCTTAGAGATCAGACCCCTCTTGCTCCCTAGAAGCCCAGCCCATGGAAATAAATCCAATAAGTCTGCTACCTCAGTAGAGGCAGCACCCTGGAGTGTCAAAATTCCTAGTTCACTACTTACTGATATATGACCCTGAACAAAGCACTTACCCTCTCTGAGCCTTCATTTCCCCAACTCTAATAGTACCTACTTCAAAGGGCCATAGTGATTAAAAGTAATAATGCATTTAAGTATTTAACAATACCTGGCTCACAAGAAGTCTTGTCCCTACCCCTCCAAATTAAATAGTGTTTACCATTTAAAAATAACACAATGGCTGGGCACAGTGGCTCAGGCCTGTAATCCCAGCACTTTGGGAGGCTGAGGTAGACCTCTTGAGTCCAGGAGTTCAGGAAAAGCCTGGGCAACACAGCAAGACCCCTGTCTCTACAAAAAATAAAAAAATTAGCCAGGCATGGTGGCATGCACCCAGCTACACAGGAGGCTGAAGCAGGAGGATCTCTTGAGCCCAGGGGGTGGAGGCTGCAGTGAGCCATGTTCATGCTATTGAACTTCAGCCTGGGCAACAGAGCAAGACCCAGAGTCAAAATAATAATAATAATAATAAATAGAAATAAATGAAAAGACAAGACTTCATTTCCTTTTACATGAATTCCTGCAAAGACTTCCCAACTAGAGTCCCTAGGCTTCCAGAATCATTTTCTAAAAGACAGTCTTGAATAGACCTCTCCTCTTCTCGAAAACAAAACAACCAAAAAAACCTGATTTGACTCTCTATTGCCTTCTGCATCCTACTAACTTCCCCACATGCATCTTAAGGTTCCAGGGATCTGACCCCACCCTATACACTCAACCTTAACACCTAGGACCTCGCTACCCATCTTTAAAGGCTACCTCCTCAGAGTCCCACATCCACTCATCCACCTCTTTGTCTTTCTAGACATTAGCATTCTTATCCTATAAGCTGAGTCTGGAACTAAGTCTGCATTAAGTGTGCTCTCACTGCTGCTTCTTGTGGGTGTGTAAGTTTTTTTTCTCAGGACCAGTGAATTTCTCATAACTGCCATCACAGAACTGGTTCCTAGACGTCAGGACTGACTGACTGACTGACGGGCACTCTCTTTTCACAGTTAAATCTTCTGCCATAGTTTTGAAGTCACATTTTATTTTAACAGAATCCCAGACCATCTGAGTTGGAAGTGTTCTCCTAGGAGAGTTTAGCATTCTCCAAGGTCAATCCCTTCATATTACCAATGAGGAAATAAATCCTGGGAGGGAAAGAAATTTATCCAAAGTTATATAGCAAGTTAGTGTTTATGAGATTTAGACTCCTTATAAGAAAGAACTAAGGACAGTAAGAAGGAAGGTTTTGAGGTTTCTTTGGGGAACAGTAAAGAACAGTTCATTACATCTATTTATATGCTAGGAGAAGCAGTCCAGAGACAGGCAGAAGGAAGAATGACCCCATAACAAGCAATGGGAAGCTCAAGACCTCTGGCAGCTACACATTTCTCCCTCTGAAGCTAAGAGGCAAAAAAGATAGAAACAAGTTTCTCCCCAGGAGGAATAACTGCCCAATAGCAATTGGAATATCAGCAACCTAAACTTGCAATGCAGTTTTGGAAGGATGATGCAGCCTGGGCTGCCATGCTGACAAGGTCTCAGGGGCCAAGTGGCTCACACCCAGGTGGAAATAGGAGGTTCCCAAGAACTGGCAGGGCCTCACCTTTCCTGAAGGGGCAGGCCTTACCTTTCCTGAAGGTCATGCAGACTCTGCTCAGCTCGGTGTAACCCCTCCAAGTCCTTCATCATCTTCTTCATGTGCTCCTTGGAGTAACGGTTCTGGATATAGGCAAACCAGCAGCCGCCCACACCAATAACGATAGACACCACCAGCATGAAGTCCTTGAGGTGATTATGGCGAGTCACTGCCAGAGAGGGGAGGGCATGATGAGTTAGGGTGCCCACTGCACACTTAGCCTTGCAGACTCCACTGCATCCCTCCTCTATGAAGCCTTCCATAACAGACACACTCTCCCACTGAGAAGGAATTAGTTTCTCTTCTTAGATACACACTTGCCATACACTATTACAGTAAGCTCTATGTCTATCTCTCTGCTAGCCAAGGCTTTGTTTTGAAATGAGAGGCCTTACAGCAATACAGGATGCTTATTAAATCACACTTTCTTAAGATGCAGTGAAGAGGAGAGAACTAGTGCCTTCTCAATATGCCCCAGCCATCTCTGGGCTGGATGAGCCCATATGCCAAGATGTAGTGGCTTCTGTCATACAGGGTAAGCAATTCTAAAGTTCCACAGTAGGTAAATGGAGATGACTGGTATAAAGGATATAAAGCAATGTCACCAGAAGCCTCAGTTCTGGCTGTAGGACTGAAGTCACTGTAGGAACTAGGTATCCTGGACTACCAGGCCATTCTTGGCACAGATCAGGGAAAGGTCCAGAAGTCTCAATCTATGGAGAACATTTCTAGGCTACTGTGAAATCCAGAGACTCTAGAACAGGATAGCATGAATACATTCATATGGATGAGACATTATACCTACCAGAAATTGAGGGGCAGAGCTATTTTCAGAGAACACCTGGTAGCAATTCAGTGAACCACGAGGGCCCCAGCCACCAGCTGGGGTTCAAAGAATGCCCATTGTCCAGAGCAAAATTTAAATGTTAAACAAGAAATGACACCACAAGATAAAAAGCAAAAGCCACATCCTAAAAACTTAGCCAATCAGGAGAGAGGCATTTCTGGAACTAACATTGTTCCTGGTATACCAGATCTGGGCTCTGTGCCACAGCACAAAAGACTTGAAAGGGGCACTATAAGAAGGAGACAGCTACTCCTGCATCCTCTGTCTAGGTTTTGCTGTGGGCTCAGAGGAGCCCTGGATGTGGGAGTCAGAGAAAGAGGGAAAAAAGGGAGTTATGCCAGGGCTAATGACCCTCTGTGCACAGCAAGTTGCCCTTAAACAGCAGAGAAGGAGGTAGGACTGGCATGATCCTTGGACATAGTAAGGACATGGGGCTGGTGGAAATCCAAAAGGACCCAGGTAGAGCCACCAAGTTAAGGGAAGGTCAAGACACCAGAAAAAGAAACCATATGATACTGATGCCTATAGTTTGACAAGAAGAGTTACCATCATAGCTCCTCACAGAAAGGCTGAGCAGCAGAACATGGGGATGAGATGGGATCAAAGACAGATTAACACATCCTATTTCCACCCAAGGGAGGGGGGTCACTAGGTCAGGGTGGTGGCCATGTCCTTCATATGTTTATTCCAGGCTCTCTGAAAGAAAATTGAGGGTCCTCTAGCGGCCATCCCCTAGCCTCCAGGCAGGCTACAAGTCTAGCCATACGTAAGCCATCACTCTCCTGTCTTTCAGGTTCCAAGGGGAGCTATTTCTGCAGCACAGTGAGTTGCCTTACTTCCTGGAACACACCTGCCTCCTCCAGAGCCACTACCAGAGCCTGGGGTATTCTTTGTCTCCCCTGTTTGTTAATGACTTTTAATCTTGGTTTCCTAGGGTTTCTCAACTTCAATATCCCCTTTATATTCTTACCAAAAGTCAAAGGTATCCTTATTCAAACAAGACTCCATGCAACGAGCACTTCCAGTACCTCAAATACTTAAGGTGGGTATGCAGATTGAGCCTAGTTATTTCATTTGGTTTCTTATTCTACCTTATCCAGTTCAATTTGGAACCAGATCTATTATTTTGCCCAGCTTCATATTCTCATCCAAGTCATGAATAAGAATACTGAATAACCAAGGCCAAGGATAAGATCTAACAGTCACTCCCTCCCTCTAAGGTAATACTGTTCCACCTATCAGTACCACTGGATTCCTTCAACTAGTTTTGACTCCACTTAAATATACAAATATCCATCCTATCCAACCCTCTGCCTTGTCAAATGTATAGATAAAGTCCGGAAATACTACCTGCCACATCCATGAGCTACCAAGCTTGATAAAAGAAGATGATTCTAACACGGTTGATTTACTCTTTAAGGTTCCTAGTGATCATCACTTGCCTATATATGCCAGTGCACAGCATAACATCAACCAGCATACAGAAGTCACTCAATAAATCTTGGAAGGATTGATTCTTTACTGATAAGCTTCAAGTATGATAATATCTCCCTTCCCTTAATCCGTATAAGAAAGGAAGGGAAATAGAGAAAATATAAAACATATCAGGCATTTATATTCATCGTCTCTTATCCTCACAACTACTACATAAGATAGGTTATTGGTATTCCCATTCTGTAGACCAAGAAACTGAGGCTCTGTAAGGGACACTAACTTGCTAGAGCTGGGTTTAAATCCAGATTTGCCCAACTACATTGTCTTTCTGCTACACCACACTTTCTCACTACAGCTTTCATATTCACGCAGCAAATATTGTTTCTGTTTTGTTACAGGCAAACATCTCTTACAATGGAGATGTCTAATATGGCCCTGATCTAGCTCAAGCTAGACTCTTGGAACTCTTGACTCTAAGAGTTCCAAGGCCTGAGTTTTCCCCCACACAATATCCTGGAAGCTGATAGTGGCATTGCCATCAGGGCAGTGAATACCCCAAGGCCAAATAACCAGGCCTTAAGATTAAACACAAGGGTCCGTGTAGAGAAATTCTTGTGCTACCAAGGGAGGCATCCCACACTATGTGTTGGGAAGCCTGGTTCTATGTTTGCCTCTGCCCCAATTTGTTATATAATTCACTTCCCCTATCTAGACCTCAGCTTCCTCAGCTGTAAAATGCATTAGAGTTACTACAGAGATAGAATGTGTGGTTACTAACGAGATCGAACGTGTAGGTGTAAATGACAGCACTTTGAGGTGTCTTGGAGATACTCAGATGGACATGCCAGGAGATAATTAAGAATATAGATGTGGAGTTTGAGAAAGAAGAAGTAGCTGAAGCAGTAGATGTAAGAATTGTCGGGTCCCTCCCGCAGAGCCCTAGGCTGTACCCCACACCACTAAGTGAGTCTATGAATCATTGTGTAGAAAAAGAGGAGAGAATAGGCAAATCAAGAGTCTAATCTATGCCTTACTAATAATCTGCTTCTTCCCATTATAATCCCATTCCCATTCTTCAATTCCTACTGTCTTCTCCCTACCATTGCCCACAAAGCCTTCCATTCCATCTCCTGTGAGCTACGATCAACCCATTCTTTGGACAGGTAAACATAGGTTATCTCTTTATTTCTCAGGGACTGTCTTGTGTGTTTTTCAACTTTTTTTTTCTTTTTTAGAGATGGAGGTCTTGCTATGTTGCCCAGGCTAGTCTTGAGTTCCTAGCCTCAAGAGATCCTCCTACCTCAGCCTCCCAAAGTGGAATTACAGGAGAGAGTCACTGCGCCCAGCCTATTTTTCAACTTCCATGTCAGTCACCATCTGGTAGTCTGTGAGTTCCTCAGGGCCAGGGCACAAGGTTTATTTATATCTCTGTAGCCCCATACTCTTAGCACAGGGTCTGACCAGAACAGGTATTTAGCAAAGGCAGAAAAGGGAGAAAAGGGGAGAATGCAGGGAGGTTTTAGGTGGAAAGGGAGCTACAATACAAAGTGCATATAGAGGGCAAATGCCAGCTCCTGGAGACAAAAAGAGCATGGCCAGCTGCATCGCACAACCCCTACACAAACTCAGCTCTCAGAATCTACCTTGCACTCAGTAACCATAGCCAGGGCAGAGTAACCATGGAGGTTTCAGGAGAACAGATGTGGCTGGCTAGGTGAACAGAGCTAACCCAGGGAAGCTGGCTGGGACTGGGGGAACCAGAGGATGGCAGAATTCCCAGTCTGTGTGCTGCAATTAGATTTTAGCAAAATGAGGTCAACTATTAACACCATCAGGCCTGAGACAAGGGAAGTGGTTGTAAAAAAATGAGATACTGAGATGTTAACAAAGTCAGGGGTAATAATAAGAATTTTCAGGGTACAAGTTAGCACTGAGAAAGTGAGCATCCAATCATTATCACCTTCTGGAATCCCTTCTCCCAATCTATTCTCTCCACCCTGTCCACTTCACACAATACCCTGGCAGATATAGATATTCATCCCTCACTGCCAAAATATGTAGTAGGAATTTCTTTTGTCATTTACACAGCCTTCTGTGCTGGGATGTCTGTTTAACGTGTAAGAGCTACTCATGGGCCCCCCTCCCTTCTAGTTATAGCCCAACAAATGCTTTAAATGCCTCAGCTATTCAGGTACTCCATAGATAGCATTTCTCCCCAAAACCAAGCTGGGCCAGATTCTTCTCCCAAATCCCCTCACTTCTGTAGTCTGGAGAGGCCCAGCCTCCTTCCATATAACTTCTAGCACACATCTCCCAGCACTTAATTCTGGCTAGATCTTAAGCTGGGTGCTGATGACAGATGAACAAAATTCTTTCATCAAGGAGTTCCCAGTTTAAAGGATAAAAGGCAGAGAGACATATTGTTATCAAAAAAAAAAAAAAAGTACAAAGGGCTGTGGGTTCCTACAGGAGAATAAGAGGAAAGAGTTGAGCATGCCTGTAAAAGGATGGAAAAACATCCTGGAGAAAGCTTGAAGGGCAAATTGGACCATAACAGAAAAGAGAGAGAGGGTAAGGATGCAGGTACAGAGATCAGAGTGAGCTTTGCCAGAAAAGCAACCACTCCTGCTCACTGGGGACTTTCCCCTATTTTCTGAGCCAATGAAGAAGGAAGATGAGGCATAGTCTTTTCTTTTCCTATCTCCAACTGCCCCTGACCCGCAACAATTATTCTGTAGGCCTCCCTGCACTTTTCTCAATATTCCTGCTGAAAGCACAAAGGGCATGCTAGCCCCTAGCCCAGGACTAAGCACACTGTAGGCACACATTAAAAATTAAAAATAGTAGCTACCATTTATTTAGAGCAAATTGGGGCACAGAGAACCTTAGAAATGTGTCCAAGGTCACAAAGCTACTGAGTGATAGAGCTGGTCAGCTTGATTTCAAAGCTGGAACTCTTTATTATATCTTGTTTCCTCTAATGGAAGTAGAAGATGGATAACATCTCCTAACATCTCCAAACACACCTAACATCTGCAAACTGGTACTGTTTGGCGAGCCCTAGATGGGCCTGTAAACCCAGAGCCAACTCTGTAGAGTGAAAAAGATCCTAAAGGGCAGTGTGCTACTCTGTGGTCACATGGGGAGGATTAAGCATGCCATCTACTGTCAGAAAATGGACCTTGAGGTGGCCCTCTGCTGAGCCAGTCTGATCCCTCTTCCCTCTTCCCTCTTCCCAAGTTCTGAGGCTGCTGTGGACAGATGGCACCTGTTCCCTCAGCAGACCCTCTTGGCTACTGCATGACAAACCTTTAATTGAAGATATGTCAAGCCTCAGACCAATAACAGAATTTTTATTATAGCTCAGTAAGGTGGCCATAGCTCACAGCTGTAACAAGTCTAGGTTCTCTGGGGTGTTTGTGTGCTAAATGACTGATGATGAGGTCTAAGTGTCTGCTCACTCAGCCTTAAGAACTCATCCTAAGTTCAGAATACAGGTCAGAGCCAGTACAGGCCTCCTAAATGGGTATTAAAGAATAGAACTGAAATAGGGATTTTTAGTCCATGCTCAGAGGGGAAATAAAGTCTAGAGGGGCACAGATCAAGGGACTTTTTGTAAACACCCAGCAGGCATGTCCCTACCCCTTTCAGAAGTCTCCTGGCAAAGAGCTCCTTAGTATTTTCCTCAGATTCCAGCCGGCGATTTTCAAATATTTCCTTTGACAAGCATCAGTAGAAAAATATAAAAACAATATTTGCCATCAGGACAGCTGCTGATTTCTAAAACCTTAGCTTCCAAGAGTATACCCAGCTCTATCAGAATCCTTGAATGAGAGAACCAGTAAGAACCTTTAATGAACAAACCCATTTTACAGATAAGGAAACCCAAATCTAGGCAGAACTGAATTGCCAAAGCTCACTTAATAAGGCAAGGACCAAGCACAGAAGTCCTAAAAATACAGGATGCAGACACCAGGAAGGAACAGACCTCCTGTCTTTTACACAGAACCCTTATTGAGGAAGAAGTTCCTCCCAAAAATCATAAAATGTCACAGCTGAAAGGAACTGTAGGGAGGAATCTCCTGATACAAATCATAAAACACACCTGAGAAAAGTGACTACCCAAGGTCACACAGTGAGTGGCAATTTTGAAAAGGGACCAAGGTCACCTGCCAATACAGGGTTCTTCCCCAAACTTCAAACAAGTTGTCTGAATAAAAATCCAGGAGCTACAAAAAAAGCTGTTCAGGCATACCTCGGATACACTGCAAGTTCAGTTTGAGGCCACTGCAATAAAGCTAATATAGCAATAAAGTGAGTCACAAAAATTTTTTAGTTTCCCAGTGATAAAAGTTATGTTTACACTATACTGTAGTCTATTAAGTGTATAATAGCATTATGTCTAAAAATACAGTGTGCGTGCCTTAATTTAAAAATAACTTATTGCTTAAAAATTCCGACACAGAGACTCAAAAGTGAGCACATGCTTTTGGAAATATGGTACCAACAGCTTGATCAACACAGGATTGCCACAAACCTTCAACTTGTAAAAAATGCAATTATCTGCCAAGTGCAGTAAGGCAAAGCACAATAAAACAAGGTATGCATGTATATATTTATTATTAAGATATAATTCACAGACCCTAAAATTCTAAGTCTCTCTCTTAAAATGGGCAATTCAATGATTGTACTATATTCACAAGGTTGTGCAACCACTGGCAAAATTAATGTTAGAATATTATCATTACCCCAAAAAGAAATGCCATATCTATTAGCAGTCACTTCCTATTTCCCACTGCCCCCACCCCCAGCCCCAGAAACCACTAATCTATTTTCTGTCTCTATGGATTTGTGTGTTCTGGGCATTTTATATAAGTGAACTCACAAAATTATATAATATGTGGCCTGTTGTGACTGGCTTCTTTTACTTGGCATGTTTTCAAGGTTCATCCGCATTGTAGCATATATCAGTACTTCATTCCTTTTAGTGACTGATTAATATTCTATTGTATGTATATACCATTTTTTTTCCATTCATCAACTGACAGACACTTGAGTTGTTTCCACTTTTTGGCTATTATTCTAATTTCAACACATCCTCACCAACACTTGTTACTGTCTTTTTTATTATATCCTAGTGGGTAAAAAGTGTTACCTCATTGTAGTTTTGATTTGCATTGCCCTGATAATGATGTTGAGCATTGTTTCAGGTGTATATTGGCCATTGAACTGTGGACTATACAAATAATATGTTCAAATCCTTTGTCCATTTTTTGTTTGTTTGTTTGTTTTGAGAGAGGGTCTCACCCTGTCACCCAGGCTGGAGTGCAGTGGCACGATCTTGGCTCACTGCAACCTCTGCCTCCCAGGTTTCAGCAATTCTTATGCCTCAACCTCCTGAGTAGCTAGGATTACAGTCATGTGCCACCACACCCGGCTAATTTTTGTATTTTTTTAGTAGAGACAGGGTTTTGCCATGTTGGCCAGGCTGTTCTCAAACTCCTGTCCTCAGGTGATCTGCCCACCTCAGCCTCCCAAAGTGCTGGGATTACTGGCATGAGCCACCGTACCTAGCAAGAATTTTTTATGTATTCTGGATAGTAGAGCCTTGTCAGAAAAATGTTTGCCAATACTTTCTCCACTTTGTGGGTTGTCTTTTCACTTTCTTGGTACATTCTTTGAAGTATAAAACTTTTTTATTTTGGTGAAGTCCAATTTATCTATTCTTTCTTTTGTTGTATATGCTTTTTAAAAAATAATTTGAGGTAAAATTCACATAATATAAAAGTAACCATTTTAAAGTAAGCAATTCAGTGGCATATAGCACATTCATGATGTTATGCAACCACTACCTCTATCTAGTTCCAAAATATTTCCATCACTCTACAGTAAAATTTTTTACCAGTAAGCGGTTTCTCCCCATTCCCTCCTCCCACCAACCCCTGCCAACCATTAGTCTACATTCTGTCTCTGTGGATTTATCTATTCTAATCATTTCATATTAACAGAATCATATAATATGTGATCTTTTGTGTCTGGCTTCTTTCATTTAGCATAATGTTTTCCAGGTTCATCCACATTGTAGCATGTATCAGAACTTCATTCCATTTATAGGTGAATAATATTCCATTGCACCACAATGTATTTATCTATTCATCTATTAATAGACAGTTGGGTTGTTTTATTTTTTGGCTCTTGTGACATGTGCTGCTATGAAAATGCATGTACATGTACTTGTTTGAGTACTTGTCTTCAATTCTTTGCATATATACCTAAGTGTGGAATTGCTAGGTTCTAGGGTAACTCTGTGTCTAATTTCTGAGAAACCACCAGACTATTTTACACAGTAGCTGAACCGTTTTACCTTCTCACCAGCAATATACAGGGTTTCAATTTCTCTATACCCTCGCCAACACAAGTTTTCCATTTTTAAAAACTATTATTATTATAAGTATCCCAGTCAGTGTGAAGTATATTCTTAGCTTCAGTACCTGTGTTCTGCCTATCTCAGGAAGATAGTTTTCCTGCTGATCTCTGGCCTTCCTTAAGTTAGATCACATGCAGCACATGGGCTACATGCAATAAGCCTAAGAGAAGAATACCCCTGTCCTGGTATCAGTCCAACCTGCTCCACCAGGGCCCCTCTTGTTGGTTCTGATATCCTGGACCCAGTACCATGTCCCCAGCATTCTGGTTCCCATGCTAGCTGATTTTTTCAGATAAAATCCTTGACTGCTTTAACCTGCAGTTTCTACTGTATCCTTTCAGACATGATAAATCTGATTTTGATACAGATAAAGCTTGATAATATATATTACAAGGCTAAGGAAGACTTTCAGGCTGCTGAAAGCTTCCCCTTGCATGGTGGTGACAGAGGAGAACCTCTGCAAAAGTAGCCTAGCTTTTATAGTTGGGTATAAGTGTCCTTGTTGGTGTATACAAAGAGATGTGTAAGCTGTTAACATAGGGAGAGTTTAATAAGGCCACTTCTCATCTTTTAAGACTCAGCTCAAGAATTACTTTCTCCATAAAGTTTCCCTGGACTCCAATAGGAAACTCCTCCCTAGTTTGTGCCCCCAGTTGAACTCTGGAAAGACTTACATAATAGCTATAACACTTACTATATTTGTTGACACTTTACTATATTTGTTGACATAGCTATCTCCATTTAGATAGAAGTACTGGAGAGCAGGGACCCTGCCGATTATGCTGGTACATAGAATGTGCTCAGTAAAGGTTAGTGAATGACTGGAAGGCCATTGCTCAATACAGAGACTACGCCTTACATAAAGAGTAGAACCATTCACTGTGTCGTTATTCAAAACCTACCAATGAAGGTGAGTAAAATGTGTCCTAGAACCCTCCACTCCCCCAAAAAAAAGGTGGCAAAGGAAGTGGAAACATTAGTCTTCTCCCAGGTTGCTCTGTTTCATACTTTCAAAAAGTATGGATCCACTTGTATTGAGACATCAACTTGCACATTAGCCAAGCCATATTCACAGACAGGGAAATGTTATATGGCCTCTGACCTTGCCTGCCAGCTGCTTCTCTGGACTGTTTCCTGGTTCAATAGCATTCTTCTGCTGGCACCCTAAATCGAGGCCAGCCATTCCCAAAGGGCAGGAAGTGGGCCCTAAGATCCTGTTTGGTTGAAAATAGTTTTCCAAGAAATCTCACTACTTTTTGCTCCCCCTTGGTTAACTTAGAATTAGAAAAAGGATTACAGGCTGGCCGTTCCTACCACATAGATCTGTAGAGACTGAACAACCTAATTCTCTCAACTAGACCCTGGCTGAAGAGACCACCCTTTCTTAGGCCTGAGTGTGTCTACTGCTTCAGTGAAAACCCACTTAGTCCTCCTTGGTCATTCAATAATACAAAGATGTTCATTAATCAGTTCATGCACTCTACATGTCTACAATAACCCACTGTCATTATATATATATAAACCTGCTGATATGCTATTGAAATGAAATATAGAAGTAGGTAACAGGTAAAAAGCTTTCAGCCCATAGGGGGTTACTTCTATCCCTGAGCATACTTTTCATATTTTAGCTTTTGTACTCTTGCTCAGGTTGTTTACTCTGCCTAGAATGTCCTATTCTGCCACCTCCATAGAATAAAGCTCTATCCACCCTTAAAGGCAGAGGTAACATGTCACCTTGTCTATAGGATACCTTCACTAGCCCTCATCTGGGCCTCAGAAGTACTGTGTACCTCTACAGAACACTCATGTTGTCCCTTCAGGGCAGAACATGATTCATTCCAGGTCTTCCTACAGGGTCCAGCACAGCATTGGCACAATGCAGATATTTCCTTAAAGTATTTAATGAATGCATGTTGCTACGTGTCTGGACTAAAATGTAAGACTCTTTCATACCTTAATACCAGTGGAAATAGTATAGGTGCTATCTTGCAGGTGTGCCTAGGAGACCCAGAGCCTTAGCCTTAGCCTATCCACTACAACAGCTTTGGTTTCCATGGCACAGCAGTAGCCCTTCTCAACACAAGACTCACAGAGAGGAGGCCCAAAGAGCACTGTATCCAGAGCCTTCAGCTGCAGCTTCTGCCGATGACTCCGGTCTGTCATCTTCAGCACAGTCCCTGTCATGGTGGTGTTGGTGACAGCCAGCCTGTTGAGGCAAAGAGTAGCAGATCAGTTCCCTCCCAGTAAAGCCAGGAAGGATCCTGGTAGGATTACCCGCCTCCCCCAGGAACACTTCTAGCTCTTGGTGATTGCTCCCCTCTGCACTCTAGAACACAGAGTCTATACCAGTTGGGTCTCAACAGGGTATATGGAGAGACACATAACATTTACCAAGAATTTGTTCAGCCCTCTCCCCATATCCACCAACTTCTAAGCACCCTATCCTCTAAGGATTACCTGTCTGTGACCATTCCCACACCCAACTAAATTTTCTGTTGTGCTTCTCCTTCCAGGGTTTATCCTCTACATATTTTCCCCACCTCCTACCATTTATAAATGCATTTCCTGTGCAGCCCAGGTCAAACTGTCATGTCATATGACCCAGTGATTCTGGGATTTATGAATTATCCTAATCTAAACTCACTGTCATTATATATAAACCTGCTAATGTGCTATTGAAATGAAATATAGAAAAGGAAAAAAAATTTTAATTAACCACTGATGACAAAAATGGAATTAGTCCTGTTAGCTTGTATTTGAGTCACTGCAATACAAGTTACCTCCAATAAAATTACTGTAATTTTTTATGACCTCCACCCATACTGTCAGTGATAACTTTAATAAGAGAAAGCCTGTGAACAAGAAAATGACCTAGGAAAAATGGAACTTTGTTTCTCTTCTGCTGGAACACAGTGGATATAAGAGGAGGGGGGTAAAAGATATGAAAGGTTGAAAACCACTGGTCTAGGTCCCACAAGTAAGCACTTAATTCTATACTACTCTATAAGATTGGTGCTCTTTTCTGATGCATAGCTTTATTTCTCCAGCTAGAAAAGAAGCTTCTGACATCACAGTGTGATTTATACTCCTGTCTGAGCATACAGGAACAGCTACTTCCTTCTCTGGCCTTGGAAAGCAATCAAGCCCACCAGTAAGAGACGCAGTGAGGCACTGTGATGGGGTGTGGGAGTGGTTAGGAGATCTGGCTTCTCATTTCAGCTCTACTAGTGACTCATTTGTCTGATCATAAGTTGCTTTGTTCCTCCCCGAGGACCTCAGTTTCCTACTGTGCAAACTTATGTAAAATCAGATGCTTCCTACAAGCCTGGGAGTTCTTGGGGTTCCTCTTTGAAACACTTGTGCTGCAGTTCGTCTGACTAATGAGAATAAACATTGTCGTCTTTTCTACAGTCTATTTCTCAAAGAAACCTATGAACTGGAATGCTATCTACTTGTAAGCAATGAAAGAAATGAGAAAGGAGCTAACACTGACTAAGCAACTACTGTGTGTCTGCTACTGTTCTGATACTTTACATACAATACCTCATTCAGTCCTCACAACAACCTTAAGAACTCAGTTCCATTATTAGTGTCACTTTCTTTTTTTTTTTTTTTTTGAGACGGAGTCTCGCTCTGTCGCTTAGGCTGGAGTGCAGTGGCGCGATCTCAGCTCACTGCAAGCTCCACCTCCCGGGTTCACGCCATTCTCCTGCCTCAGCCTCCCGAGTAGCTGGGACTACAGGCACCTGCCACCACGCCTGGCTAATTTTTTGTATTTTTAGTAGAGACGGGGTTTCACCATGTTAGCCAGGATAGTCTCGATCACCTGACCTCGTGATCCACCCACCTTGGCCTCCCAAAGTGCTGGGATTACAGGTGTGAGCCACTGCACCCGGCCTAGTGCGACTTTCTAGATAAGAAAATGGAGACTTAGAGTTGAGTAACTTGCCCAAAGTCACACACAAGTAAGTGGCAAAGCCAGAGAATGAACTCAAATCTGCTAGATTATTCTCATTATACCATGTGAGCTAGTGATGGGCCTAGAACCACCCTCACTTCACCCCAAGCACTGAAGGCCCCATGCTTCCTGCTGTCACTAAGGTGCCACAGCTTGACATCCCCTACACCTGTGCCCAGCCTGGCTGGACCTGGTCTTGGCTGTAATTCTAGCCACAAAAAAGCTAAGTGAACCAGTGACCTGAGAACTGACTTCTTATCCTATGCTTTGCAGTTTTAATCCAAGCCAAAGATATCCTTCCCATGAGGAAAATGGTCCAGGGATCCACAAGGCAATATTGCTATTTCTATGGGTAGCAAGAAAGAAACCTAAATCCTGGATCTTAGTGGTCAGTCATCTACTTTTCCATTAAACATGGAGTTCCTCAAGTCAGGGGTCAGGTCTAATACATCTCTTTGTCCTCTGGGCCCACCAGAGAGTATGGCACATGGTAGGTGCTTAGTGAAGTTTTGTAAAATAGAACTAAACTGAATATTGAAAGGAAGCCTATCTTTAACCACATGGCACAAGAGGAAGATGCAGTGAAAAAAAGCAGGGCATTTAGAACAAGACAGACCTGGGTTCAAATCCCAGCTCTGCCACTTACCAGCTTGGATAAATTATAAAATATTTGAGATTCAGTTTGTTCACCCAAAGGTTGGGATACTCTTCCTCCCAGAGTTGTGAGAATCAACTGAAATAATATGTAGGAAAGCACTCTATAAAGGGAGGTACAAACATTAAGATTATTACTCTCTCCAGAGCAGAGAGAAGCTGTGAAGAAGAGGCTGCAGGCAGCAGAGGAGGGAACAGCCAGCTCAGCTAGGCCTGGACAGCAGTGCTCAGTAGCTCTGTGGCTGGAGACTGCAAAGTGTGGGCATTCCAACAGCTTCACCTTCCCCTTTCCCCTTTGCTGAAGCTCAAAACCAGATGCACCTACATAATAAGATGACAGATTATACATAATCAGCACTTACCAGATAGTAAGCCCTTTGAGGGCAAGGACAGCTTGTTGTCATCTTTATCCCTAGCACCCAGCACAAGTGCTTGGCACAGAGCAGGTACCCAGTAAATATTTGTTGGATGAATAAGTAAATGGATTAATGACTGAATGGCATATGGCACTAGTTTGACATGACAAGAAGTCCAAGCAGTACTCCATCCCCTTCCCACTCCCAGCCCAAGCCCTAGCATATTCAGCGTGTAAAGTAGGCAAAGAGTTATGAAACAACAGCTGTTGGAGCCATCCCAGAGATGAGGCTGGGGCCAATGGCAATCAGCCTCTCCTCTGTACCATTTTTATTATAAATAAGCTGTATATGGATAACCCAGGGGAGGCTAAAAGAGCCCTGAGGCTCCCGGGTGATAAAAGAGGCAGCTGCTCAGGGCACAGGAAAAAAAGAAAAAAGAAACACCAACAGGGTTTGATGTACACCAAGATTCAAATCTCAGTTTTGCCCCTAACTAGTCATGTTTGTGACCTTGGATAAGTTACTTAACCAGTTTCATCATCTATATACAATAATACCCACCTTACAGGACTGATGTAAGAATTAAATGAGATACTGTATACAGTGTTGAGTAGAATGCCTGGCATGTACTAAGCACTCAGTAAATGGCAGCTATCAGTACTATTCCCAGGACTGACAGGAATATTAAAGAAGAGAGTGGATACAAAGCGCCCATCATACTTTATAGCAAGTGCACAACAGATGTGAGAAGAGGCAAGATCTATAGACGCTGCCCTGAAAAAGGCAGAACCTCACTTAACTGGCCAGAGCAATCTGAAGGCAGGCCCACTCCAGCCCATTCCCCGTACCCTCAACAGAGAAAAACCCAGTCCCCTCCTGACCTTGGCATGGCATGGCCACTGAGCTGCAGCTTCCGGAAGGTCTCCTCATACTGAGGCAGCTCCACATATGTGATCAGCCACTGTACCACCTCATCCACGGTCCAATTGTATACTGTGAAAAGAGACAAGCAAAGCCATGACTCTAGAATGCCAAGCACTGCTTTCATTTGTTGTCATGCTGACCTTAATATTTACCACATTTGTGTGTTTAATATCTATCTGTCCCATAAAATACTAAGTATGAAAGGAGTATACACTGTGAGTCTATTTATATGAAATCCTAGAAAAGACAAATCTATAGTGATAGAAAGCAGATCAATGGTTAGCTGGAGCCAGGAAGGGAGCTGGGGACTGACTGGGAAAAAATCACAAATGCAACATTATAAGGTGATGGATATATTCTATATCTTGAATGTGGTGGTGGTTACACAAATGATAACATCTGTCAAAATGCATCAAACTGTACATTTAAAATAGGTGTATCTTCTTTTATGTAAATTATAACTCAATAAATTTGATTTTGGAATATTTTTAAACTGTTGTGACCAGGGTTGAGAATCAATTATCCATCCATCCATTCGTCCAGCTATTCAACTGAGCATTCATAAGGGGACTACTTAGTGCCAAGCCTGGAGGAAGTTAGTTCCCAATCCAGTGGAAGAGATCAAAAGCTAAACAGCATGAGTGAAGCACAGATTCTGATGAGAAAAATACATACGGCACAGAGAAGAAAGGAAATAACTGCCTAGGGCTTCAGGGACAGCCTCAGAGAAGATGATGTATTGCAACATAAAGGATTAGTAGAAGCTTATCTCAAATATTTCATGGGTGTGGGGAGAGGAGGGCACTCAATACAGAATGAAGACAGGTGCAAAAGAAAAGATGTGAAATTTGATGTGTGTGAAACAGCAGTCCCCAACCTTTTTGGCATGAGGGACTGGTTTCATGGAAGATGATTTTTCCATGGACCTGGGCAGGGAGATGGTTTCAGCATGAAACTGTTCCACCTAGATCATCAGGCATCAGTGAGATTCTCATAAGAAGCACGTAACCTAGATCCCTCACATGTGCAGTTCATAATAGGGTTCGCACTCCTATGAGGATCTAATGCCACTGCTGATCTGACAAAAGGTGGAGTTCAGGCAGTAATACTCCCTCACCCACCACTCATCTCCTGCTGTGCAGCCCAGTCCCTAACGGGCCATGGACTGACACAGGTCCGTGGCCCAGGGGTTGGGGACCCCTGGTCTAGAATATAGAATATATGGCAGGTAGTGGCAGAAGAAGGTTGAAGCCATGTCACAAAGAGTCTTGACTACCATGCTAAGATAGCTACTAGTATTGTCCTGGGATAAGCCTAACTCAGGTTGCTCTGGCCAGTTAGGTGAGGCCCAACCCTTTTCAGGACAGAATCTATAGACCTCTCCTCCTCTCACATCTACTGTGTGCTTAGTATAGAGCACACTGGGCACTTTATAGCCATTCTCTTATTTGATGTTATTCAGAGCTGCACTGTCCAAGCAGTAGTAGCCAGTAGCCACAGTGGCAATTTAAATTTATTAAAATTAAATAAATTAAGAATTCAGTTGCTC
Source organism: Homo sapiens (assembly GCF_000001405.40). NCBI lineage: Eukaryota > Metazoa > Chordata > Mammalia > Primates > Hominidae > Homo > Homo sapiens. Next base: position 4,054,045 of record NC_000011.10, on the reverse strand, counting down.
GATGGCACTAGCCACACTTCAAGTGCCCAATAGCTAGATGTGGCTAGTGCCTACCATATTGGACAGCATAAACTATACAACATTTCCATCATTGTAGAAAGTTCTGTTAGACAGCACTGGTCAAGATAATCTAATATAGGCCGGGCATGGTAGCTCACACCTGTAATTCCAGCACTTTGAGAGGCTAAGGCGGGAGATTGCTTGAACTCCAGAATTCAAGACCAGCCTGGGCAATACAGTGAGACCCTGTCTCTATTAAAATTTTTTTTTTTCTATTTGGTCGCCTGGTTTTTCTTTCTTTCTTTTTTTTATTTTATTATACTTTAAGTTCTAGGGTACATGTGCACAATGTGCAGGTTTTTTACATATCTATACATGTGCCATGTTGGTGTGCTGCACCCATTAACTTGTCATTTACATTAGGTATATCTCCTAATGCTATCTCTCCCCCTTCCCCCCACCCCACAACAGGCCTCAGTGTGTGATGTTCCCCTTCCTGTGTCCAAGTGTTCTCACTGTTCAATTCCCACCTATGAGTGAGAACATGCGGTGTTTGGTTTTTTGTTCTTGCGATATTTTGCTGAGAATGATGGTTTCCAGCTTCATCCATGTCCCTACAAAGGACATGAATTCATCCTTTTTTATGGCTGCATAGTATTCCATGGTGTATATGTGCCACATCTTCTTAATCCAATCTATCGTTGATGGACATTTGGGTTGGTTCCAAGTCTTTGCTATTTTGAATAGTGCTGCAATAAACACACGTGTGCATGTGTCTTTATAGCAGCATGATTTATAATCCTTTGGGTATATACCCAGTAATGGGATGGCTGGGTCAAATGGTATTTCTAGTTCTAGATCCTTGAGGAATCACCACACTGTCTTCCACAATGGTTAAACTAGTTTACAGTCCCACCAACAGTGTAAAAGGGTTCCTATTTCTCCACGTCCTCTCCAGCACCTGTTGTTTCCTGACTTTTTAATGATCACCATTCTAACTGGTGTGAGATGGTATCTCATTGCGGTTTTGATTTGCATTTCTCTGATGGCCAGTGACGATGAGCATTTTTCCATGTGTCTGTTGGCTGCATAAATGTCTTCTTTTGAGAAGTGTCTGTTCATATCCTTCGCCTACTTTTTGATGGGGTTTTTTCTTGTAACTTTGTTTGAGTTCTTTGTAGATTCTGGATATTAGCCCTTTGTCAGATGAGTATATTGCAAAACTTTTCTCCCATTCTGTAGGTTGCCTGTTCACTCTGATGGTAGTTTCTTCTGCTGAGCAGAAGCTCTTTAGTTTAATTAGACTCCATTTGTCCATTTTGGCTTTTGTTGCCATTGCTTTTGGTGTTTTAGACATGAAGTCCTTGCCCATGCCTATGTCCTGAATGGTATTGCCTAGGTTTTCTTCTAGGGTTTTCATGGTTTTAGGTCTAACATGTAAGTTTTTAATCCATCTTGAATTAATTTTTGTATAAGGTGTAAGGAAGGGATCCAGTTTCAGCTTTCTACATATGGCTAGCCAGTTTTCCCAACACCATTTATTAAATAGGGAATCCTTTCCCCATTTCTTGTTTTTGTCAGGTTTGTCAAAGATCAGATGGTTACAGATGTGTGGTATTATTTCTGAGGGCTCTGTTCTGCTCCATTGGTCTAGATCTCTGTTTTGGTACCGGTACCATGCTGTTTTGGTTACTGTAGCCTTGTAGTATAGTTTGAAGTCAGGTAGCATGATGCCTCCAGCTTTGTTCTTTTGGCTTAGGCTCTTTTTTGGTTCCATATGAACTTTAAAGTAGTTTTTTCCAATTCTGTGAAAAAATTCATTGGTAGCTTGATGGGCATGGCACTGAATCTATAAATTACCTTGGGCAATATGGCCATTTTCACGATATTGATTTTTCCTATCCATGAGCATGGAATGTTCTTCCATTTGTTTGTGTCCTCTTTTATCTCATTGAGCAGTGGTTTGTAGTTCTCCTTGAAGAGGTGCTTCACATCCCTTGTAAGTTGGATTCCTAGGTATTTTATTCTCTTTGAAGCAATTGTGAATGGGAGTTCACTCATGATTTGGCTCTCTGTTTGTCTGTTCTTGATGTATAGGAATGCTTATGATTTTTGCACATTGATTTTGTATCCTGAGACTTTGCTGAAGTTGCTTATCAGCTTAAGGAGATTTTGGGCTGAGACGATGGGGTTTTCTAAACATACAATCATGTCATCTGCAAACAGGGACAATTAGCCAGGTGTGGTGGTGCACACCTAGAGTCCCAGCTCCTCAGGAGGCTGAGGTGGGAGGATCACTTGAGCCTGGGAGATTGAGCCTGCAGAGAGCCATGATCACGCCACTGCACTCTAGCCTGAGTGACGGAGTGAGACTGTTGCAAAACAGATAAAAAAAGATAATTTATGGCCAGGCAGTGGTTCATGACTGTAATCCCAGCACTTTGGGAGGCGAAGGCAGGTGGATCATCTGACCTCAAGAGTTCAAGACCATCCTGGCCAACATGGTGAAACCTCGTCTCTATTAAAAACACAGAAATTAGCCAGGCGTGGTGGTGCATGCCTGTAGTCCCAGCTACTCGGGAGGCTGAGGCAGGAAAATCGCTTGAACTCGGGAAGCAGAGGTTGCAGTGAGCCGAGATTGCGTCACTGCACTCCAGCCTGAGTGACAGAGCAATACTCCATCTCAAAAAAAAAAAAAAGACAATTTACCATTAAAGTGTTTTGATTCTATATTTATATTTTGGAAATAAGCTAAAAGTAAAAAGCAAAAGTTTATTCTGTATCATCTAGATATATAAGAATACAGGCTCTCAACTTCAGTGCTCATGTTGCATTTGTGTTTATAAGTGTGTTGATGCAAAATAGTTACAGTGACACCGTTCACCTTTAAACAATGCAGGTTTTAACTTCCTGGGTCCATTTATACATGAATTTTATACATGGATTTTTTTTTCAATAAAAGGTATACTGAGTGTGCCTGCTTCTCCCACCTCCCTTCCTACCTTCTCTATCTTTTCTGCCTCTGCCACCCCTGAGACAGCAAGACTAATCTCTCTTCTTCCTCCTCCTCCTCAGCCCACTCAATGTGAAGATGAGGATGAAAACCTTTATGATGATCCACTTCCACTTAATAAACAGTAAATATATTTTCTCTTCCTTATGATTATCTTAATAACATTTCCTCTTCTCTTACTTTATTGTAAGAATACAGTATATAATACATATAACATATAAAATATGTGTTAATAGGCTGTTTATGTTATTGGTAAGTCTTCTGGTCAACAAGCTATTAATAGTTCAATTTTGAGGGAGTCAAAAGTTGCAAGTGGATTTCTGACTACATGGGGGAAAAGGGACAGTCAGCACCCCTAACCCCTGTGTTGTTAAGGCTCAACTGTATTTTCCTGGAATTTTAGGACATAATGTACTTCATAACAATAATATATCTCAAATTTAAATATTTTAATACAAAAGAACCCAGAGGTCAAACTGATGTTTTTACACAAAATATACATTCATAATTGCAATTCAAAAAGACAAATATTACCCACTAAAAGATATAAACTGTCTTTTAGTTTAATTCAGACAAGAACTGTCCCAATTGGTGCATCCCCAGAGAGACTAATGTAGTATAACAGGATCACCTATTACGATCTATCTGATAGCACTATAATGAACATGGTTCACTTTTGCCACCAAGCATCCACTTCCCTTTTTGGTGGCAACAGTATTCTGAATTTGTATGAACAGAACCACTCCTCCCTTGCTCTCAGCTAATATGCTTCAGGTAAAGCTAAATCAGCCTTTAAAAGTAGAGTATGTAACCCAAGCTAAACCAATCAATACATTCCATCTTTCTGCCCATAGTGCTTAGTTCAGGGATGAGTACATAACCCAAATCAAGGCTGAAGAAACTGAATTCTAAAATTTTTGTTTGGCCCATAGGGGATATGCTTGCTTTTCCACTATACTGGTGTCTGGGATAAAATGAACCTGAACTATAATGTTAATAACAACAACAATAATAATAATAGTAATAGAAGCCATCTCTTACATAGCGCTTAGTCTATGAGAGTATTGTTCTAAGTACCTCACATATATTAACTCACTAATCTTCATCATTTTCATATGAAGTAGATATCCCATTTTATCCCCATTTTAAGGATGAAGAAACTAAAGCACAGCAAGCTTATATAACTTTCCCAAAGTTACCCAGCTAGGAACTGGGAAAGCCAAGATTTGGTCTCAGGCAGTCTGGCTCCATCATTCACGTTCTAAGCATGTGTGTGTGTGTGTGTGTGTGTGTGTGTGTGTGTGTGTGTGTGTGTGTTTGGGCAGGGGGGTTGTGTATACAACCTCCCTGATGCTGCTGGAAGCCTTCATACAGAGGAAAAGCTGAGTCAAGATCCAGATGACAGGCCAGGCACAGTGACTCACGCCTATAATCCCAGCACTTTGGGAGACTGAGGCAGGAGGATCACTTGAACTCAGGGGTTTGAGATCAGTCAGGGCAACATAGGGAGACCACATATCTACAAAAAATAAAAAAAAAAATTAGCCAGGTGTGGTGATGTGAACCTGTGGTCCCAGCTACTCAGGAGGCTGAGGTGGGAGGATGGCTTGAGCCTCGGAGGTCGAGGTTGCAATAAGCCGCGATCATGCCATTGCACTCCAGCTTGGGCAACAGAGTGAGAGCCTGTCTCAAAAAAAAAAAAAAAAAATCCAGCTGATATAATTTAAGCCCTGAGTCAGATAATGCCTGTAGAAAGTCCTATTCATAGATATTTCAGTTTTGTGCAAGAAGTACATTCTCCCTTTTGCTTATATCAGATTGAAAGGATTTTCTGTCATAACAGGAACCAACTCTAACTGAAACAACTGAATGGTCATTTGCAACATGGCAAATTGCATCATCACCATACGTGGAGCACTAGAGCTAGTGATTCCTCAATATTATAATGTGATGTTTTTAATGAATAGTCATAAAAAGTACCCTTTTAAAATAATTTATAGGCCAGGTGCAGTGGCTTACGCCTGTAATCCCAGCACTTTGGGAGGCCGAGGCGGGCAGATCACCTGAGGTCAGGAGTTCAAGACCAGCCTGGCCAACATGGTGAAACCCCATCTCTACTAAAAGAACAAAAATTAACTGGGCGTGGTGGCGGGCACCTATAATCTCAGCTACTCAGGAGGCTAAGGTAGGAGAATTGCTTGAACTCGGGAGGTGGAGGTTGCAGCGAGCTGAGATCGTGCCACTGCACTCCAGCCTGGGCGACAGAGCGAGACTCTGTCTCAAAAAAAAAATTAATAATAATAATAATAATTTTTATATCTGTATTGTGTTTAAACACACAGAAAGCAAATTTATCTCTATACTTTGTTAAAAGTCAATTATGAAGGAATAGAAGTAGACTTAATACACAATACACAAGGAATAGTTCCAGCCCAGTGAAGGTCAAATGAGATCATGAATCAAAGTTTCATGGTAGCTTAAATAAAGAAAAATGGTGGGAGGAATGAGTCATCACATGGTACCCAGCAATACAGATATGCTGAACTTAAAAAGAGCCTGGAAGCAACTGATTTTCAGCAAAAAAGCATCATTTTATTGGATCTGAAGTTTATTTTTACTTAAAGTATAAATCTGTTTTTGTTTACACTTATATACAAATTTTACACAGTGACTTAAACTTTGTTCTATGTTTGTATATACTTAAATAACATTATAATAAAAATAATTTAAGTCAGCACTGCAGGTCCAAGATGTATTATTTACCTTAAAAGGAATTTGTACATTCTTCAAGTTTGAAAACCACTGCTGTAAGCAGCAAGAAGCCAAAAAAGTTTTGAAGTTGAATGATACGGTGAGATTCATCACTGTCCTCTCATAAGATCCATATCTTTTTTCTTTGAAGACACAGGTCTTGGCCAGGCACGGTGGCTCAACACCTGTAATCCCAACACTTTGGGAGGCTGAGGTGGGCAGATCATGAGGTCAGGGGATCGAGATCATCCTGGCCAACATGCTGAAACCCTGTCTCTACTAAAAATACAAAAAAATTAGCGGGGCGTGGTGGCACGCACCTTCAGTTCCAGCTACTTGGGAGGCTGAGGCAGAAGAATCACTCGAACCTGGGAGGCGGAGGTTGCAGTGAGCTGAGATCACGCCATGGCACTCCAGCCTGGGTGACAGAGTGAGACTCCATCTCAAAAAAAAAAAAAAAAGAGAGACAGGTCTTGCTCTGCCACCGAGGCTTGAGTGCAGTGGCATGGTCACAGCTCACTGCAGCCTTGAACTCCTGGGCTCAAGAGATCCTCCTGCCTCAGCTTCCTGAGTAGCTAAGACTACAGGCATGTACTACTACCATGCTAGGCTAACTCTTTTTTTGTCTTTGTCTTTGTCTTTGTTTTGTTTTGTTTTGTTTTGTTTGAAAAAGGGTCTTGCTCTGCCACCCAGGCTGGGGTGCAGTGGCACGATCTCAGCTCACTGAAGCCTCCGCCTCCCAGGTTCATGTAATTCTCCTGCCTCAGCCTCTGGAGTAGCTGGGATTACAGACACATGCCGCCACACCCAGTTAATTTCTGTATTTTCAGTACAGATGGGGTTTCACCATGTTGTCCAGGTTGGTCTCAGACTCCTGGCCTCAAGTGATCCTCCCACCTTGGCCTCACAAAGTGCTGGGATTACAGACGTGAGCTACTGTGCCTGGTCAAATTCTTTTACTTGTTGTAGAGATGGGGTCTCCCAATGCTGCCCAGGCTGGTCTAGAACTCCTGGCCTCTGGCAGTCCTCCAGCCTCAGCCTCCCAAAGTGATAAGATTATAGGCATGAGCCATCAGACCTGGTCTAATTTCCCTTTAATAGGCAGAAAACATTGAAGGCACGGAATGTGTCCTGTTCATTTTTGCTCATCCACTGTTTCTGAACTAAGAGCTTCATATACAGTGGCATCAATAAGAACTACTCTAAATGAGGGGTTCCAGAAATGATTTGATGTGGGCCTCAAAACAACAACAACAAAACCTCCTTAGAAAAACATACAGCTCACGTGGATAAGTAACTTCTGAAATGCTTGTCAAAAAACAGGCATTTGGCCAGACATGGTGGCTCATGCCTATAATCCCAGCACTTTGGGAGGCTGAGGCAGGAGGATCACTTGAGGCCAGGAGTTTGAGACGAACCTAAGCAACACAGCAGACTCCAACTCTACAAAAGAAAAATAAAAAAATTAGCCAGGCCTAATGGCACATGCCTGTAGTCCCAGCTACTTAGGAGGATGAAGTGGGAGGATAACTTGAGCCCAGGAGTTCAAGGTTGCAGTGAGCCATAACTGCACCATTGCACTCCAGCCTGGGCAGCAGAACGAGACCCTGTCTCAAAAACAAAGAAAACAAAACAAACAAAATCAGGCATTCCTCTCAGCCCAGGATGTGATGCAAAGCAGATAATCAGGGAGACATCCTGAATAAAATAAAGTTGAAGGCAAGAATGCTCCAATCTCTTAATGTCCTCAAGAAGATGCTGGAGTTCAGAAGGAAAGCTCTGAAGCTGAGTGCCTTTGGGGGAAGATTAGACTATTTGCAGAGGCATGGGAGGTGAGAAGGGAAAGGTGGCAGGGGAAGGAAATGAGGCAGACACAGTGTGTCCAGGAATGCATCCTAGGAGACAAGATACTAGAAGCTTAAGTGAAGGGTGCTTAGTCAGTGCTTGGTTATATTTCTAATTCCCAGACTAGAATATGTTGGAAGAAAAAGATAAATTAATTTCCAAGAGATACCGTTGAGAAAAGAAGGATGACAGAGCTGGGGTTAAATTAGTGTTGAGGGGTGGTGCGTGCCTGTGATCCCAGCTACTTGGGAGGCTAAGGCATGAGAATCACTGGAACCCAGGAGGCAGAGGTTGCAGTGAGCTGAGATCGCACCACTGCACTCCAGCCTGGGCGACAGACTGAGGCTGTCTCAAAAAAAAAAAAAAAAAAAAAAAAAGGTAGCTCACGCCTGTAATCCCAGCACTTTGGGAGGCCGAGGTGGGTGGATCACTTTGAGGTCAGGAGAGTTCGAGACCACCCTGGCCAACATGGTGAAACCCTGTCTCTACTAAAAATACAAAAATTAGCTGGGCATGGTGTCACGTGCCTGTAATCCCAGCTACTCGGGAGGCTGAGGTGGAAGGATCACTTGAACCTGGGAGGCGGAGGGCTGCAGTGAGCTGAGATCTCACCACTGCACTCCAGCCTGGGCAACAGAGCAAAACTTCGTCTCAAAAAAAAAAAAAAAAAAAAAGAAGTGTTGAGGGATGGACTTGGTGGCTCATGACTATAATCCCAGCACATAGGGAGGCTGAGACAGGTGGATCGCCTGAGCCCAGAAATTCAAGGCCAACCTGGGAAATATGACAAAACCCATCTCTACAAAAAAATATTAAAAAATTAGCCAGGTGTGGTAGTACATGCCTATAGTCCTAGCTACTCAGGAGGCTGAGGTGGGAGGATCACGTAAGCCTGGAAGGCAGAGGTTGCAGTGAGCTGAGATTGCAACACTGTACTCCAGCCTGGGTGACAGAGCAAGACCCTGACTCAAAAAAAAAAAAAATGCTGATGGAAGTTAAATGGACTAGAACGTATTATTCCTGAAAATGAATATATATCCTAACGCATTGCAGATGTTATCATTTACTATGGTCTGGAGTGTCAGGTAATGAAGGCATAAGAGAGTGACACACAGATATAAGGCAGACAGACAAGTGCTAGCCTGTAAAGTACAGAGAACAACACACTCCTGCCACTGCTGCCAAGGGAAGTCGACCTCATCCAGCACAAAGGGGCCTTTCTGCTTGGAGTGTAGTGGAAAGAAGGCTACTTTTTTATTGCTAGAAGGCCTGAGGCCAGCAGTACATCAAGGGCCTTTTGTCTACTGGGAGGATGCCTTGATACAAGTCTGGGCATAGAATCTTGGCATGCAGAAACTCCTCTATCAGCACCCTACACCACAGTGGTGACAGGCAGAAGTCACTCTAGACCAGAGTTTCTGAGCCTCTGCCCCAATGACATTTTAGATGAGATAATCCTTCGTTGTGGAGGCTGTCCTGTGCATTGCAGGATGTTTAACAACATAGATGCCAGTAACATGCTGCCAATCATGACAATTAAAAAATGTCTCCAGATATTGTTCAACATCCCATGGAAGGGAAAAACTGCCCCCAGCTGAGAACCACTGCTCTAAACACTGCATTAAGTGAGGCACGGGGTTGCCAAGGGGGCCAATACACTCCACTGAAGATGGACTCTAGAATAATCGCTCCTACATAGCTAAGCTGTAGGGGAAAAGGAGAATAGCTTCAGCATGTCAGACCAAACCTCAAGATTGTTTTGGTTTGTTTGTTGTTGTTGTTTTTATCTGCATATATCATTCTGTTACCTAGGCAGATGCCCTATCTAGGTAGGGTTTGGCAGCATGGTGTCCACCTGGAGTCACTATAGTCTGAACAAAACAAGCCAGGATGAGCTGTATCCTCTATAACATCTGTATCTCAGATAGCAACCCTGAGTTCCAGCATGAAGATCTCATTCAACAGACCAGCTGATATATCAGGGCTCCCTGTCCCCAAGGTTCAAGCACCTAAAAGTTAAAAGTCTTGTTCTGTTTTCCATTCCAAAGAGAAGATAGGAAGAATCCCTGGGCCAGAGTGAGGAAGAAGGCAACAGCAAGTACAGAGAGCTGTGGCTATCAGTGACAGGCTGCAGAATTTGGCAAGGAGAGCTTAGTACAGATACAGACTCCAAATGACTCATATGTCCAAATCCCAGGAGGACATGCAAGCAAGAGTCAATGTCCTAATGTCATAAGTCTCCCATCCCCTGAGCCTGTCCATGTGGCCCCTAGCCAGATCAAAGACTACACCTCTGGGCAAAATGACAAACAATGCTACACCGAATCAGAGAAGGCTAACCCCTGGAGTTCTACACAACAAACCATCCTTCACAAGAGAGACACACAGGGTGACTTAACTCCTATCTTTTTTTTCTTTTTTTTTGAGGCGGAGTCTACTATGTCGCTAGGCTGGAGTGCAATGGTACAATCTCAGCTCACTGCAACCTCCGCCTCCCAGGTTCAAGCGATTCTCCTGCCTCAGCCTCCCGAGTAGCTGGGATTACAGGCACGTGCCACCACGCCCAGCTAATTTTTGTATTTTTAGTAGAGACAGGGTTTCACCATGTTGGCCAGGATGGTCTCAATCTCCTGACCTCGTGATCCGCCCACTTTGGCCTCCCAAAGTGCTGGGATTACAAGCATGAGCCACCACGCCCAGCCATCTCCAATCTTTTTAATGACATAATCTACCTGTAAAAAAAAAGCTTTGTACACACATTGCCAATATACGTATATGTGTTTATAAATTAGATTCATTTACTAACATTAGATAGATTGTAAAACACACATAAAAATTAAACAATGAGATAAAAATAAGTACAACATAAATACCACCTCTAGTATCTTCTTCGAATGAACAAATGATGGCAATCTGTGGGTCCTGGATCACTTGTTGTCCATCCCATCAGTATTTATATTATGTTTTCTCACAAAAAAGTATCACTTACCCCCACAGACTACTTACGGAGGTAAAGGGGGGAGGTATAAAAAAATTAAAAAGTACTAATGACACATATCCACAAAGAATCCCAGAAACTGGTGTCCAGTTAGCATCTTGGGTAGTAAAGATATACCCTGGTCTCCATACTATGTTTTATAGAAAGGAACAGACCTTTTATGATTAAGAACAATTTTCATGTAAAAATCAATAAAACCTCCTGTTTTATTCTGAGGTAGCTACAAAAACTAAAGTTATTAAAGACTGCCAAACCCCTGGCATTTTAGAACACTGATTTTTTATTTTAGGATATATTACAAAAAAACACTGAATTTGAAGCTGGAAGACCTTGCCTATCCTATCTGCCATGAACTAGCTTGCGTAAATCACTTAACCATTATGAACCTCAATTTCCCCTTCTGTAAAATATTCATTTTGCTATTCAACAAGCATTTATTTCGTTCTATTCTGAGACCAGGCACTAGGAATAGAGCGGTGATCAAGAGAGAGATCCCTACTCCCATGTAGCTTACAATTTAGCAATATCTGTCTCCCAGAGTTGTTGAATTAAATGAGTTAATGTGTTTGAGATGCCTAGGATTTAATACAAACTCAGTAGTAACTTTTTCTTCATATGTACCTTCATTCAAAAAGGGGTAGATATTAAGGACTGGTCAGAATCTGGATGGACAGAGATGCAGATCTGCCAGAAGAAAGAATCGTGAACAAAGACAAAGAGCTATAAGATGTGAAGCATGCTCAGAGAACACTGACTCTAGTTTGTCTGGAGTCCAAGAGTTATATATAGGGTCAAGGAGAATGAGGTATTGCTGACACCAAATGACAAAGGTCCTTGAAAACAAGTGGTCTCAAACTCCAAAATAATATATTCATTAGGGGGAAAAAACATTTATTGAGCAGCTACTACTTGCCAGGCACCACTCTAGGAGTAAAGATACAACAATACACAAAACAGTCACAGATCCCATGGTGCTTATATTTTGGTGGAGGGAGACAAAATAAAACACTATAAACAAATAATTATATGTCAGATGGTGATAAGTATAATAAAGAACAATTAAGCCATAAGGGGTTAAGGGGATAAAAAATAGTCCTATATTGTATTAGGTCAGATTAGGGAAGGCCTCTCTGATGAAGTGATATTTGAGCAGAAAATGAAATAAAAGGTATGAGGCATGTGGACATTTGGGGGAAGGGCATACCAGGCAGAAGGAACAGTATACTCCCTAGCACTTGAGCTATAGCAATACATCCAGGGATGTGCCAGGGCAAACACTTGGCCTTGGCCAATCTTTTCTCTTGGCAGGGAAGGAATAATAGTAAATGGATTCCCGAATCAGTATCTCTTTCCCATAATGGACCTGTGGTGCCTCCAGACGAAGCCCTCATCTACTTTTGTGGTTTCAAATCCACATCTCAAGAGAATGAGGTCTGGCAGGAAGGTTGCCAGTACTTTCTTTGCCCCTCCTTCACACAGCTGTTAGTTAGTTGGTCACTTAGCCTTTAGTCAGCTAGTCAGATATAGCACAGTGGTTAAGAATGTGAGCTTTGGCCAAGCACGGTGGCTCACACCTATAATCCTAATACTTTGGGATGCCAAGGCAGGAGGATCACTTGAGGCCAGGAGTTCAAGACCAGCCTGGGCAACAAAGTGAGACCTCGTCTCTACAAAAAATAAAATTAGCTGTGTGTGATGGCGCGCACCTGTAGTCCCAGCTACTTGGGAGGCTGAGGTGGGAGGATCACCTGGAGTTGAGGCTAGAGTGAGCCAAGATTGCACCACTCCACCCTGAGTGATAGCAAAGATCCCATCTCAAAAAAAAAAAGAAGAATGTGAACTTTGAAACCAGGTGTCTTGATTTGAATTTGCAATCTGCCACTTACTAGATGTAAGACCATGGGCAAATTACTTAATATTTTGTGCCTCATTTTTTTCACCACCAAAATGATGAAAATCAGAGTTTTCACATCATAAAAATGTAGTAAAGGGAAGCTCCTAGCATACTATAAGTGTAAAAAAAATCATCTATAATTATTATCGCCATTCATTTATTCATTCATTCACTAAGCTTTTATTGGCTTCTACTCTAGCAGGTAAAGGGTGAGTTAACCAGCACAGAGGTGAATATGCATGAACTCCAGCCTCAAGGGCTCTCTTCTAGAGAGGGGAATATACAAGGAAACAAATGAATATAATATAGTGTGATAAATGCTAGGTCACAGGGATATATAAGGTGATGTGGGAGCACAGAGAAAGGAGTGACTGACAGAATCAGAAAAGGCATCACAAAACCCAGCTTCTTATTGGTCTGCTCTGAATAACAGCACTCCAAGGCAGCTATCAAATCCTTCCAAAGTGGCCCTTCCTAAAGATAGTGTGTGACCTGGAACTGTGAATTGTCTCTTTAAGTAGCTTCCTTCTGGTTCCCACTAGCAGCTTCTCATCTGGGACTACAGTGAGGTAAAGGTCTTCATTTTCTAATCTGATGTCATTATCAAACCCTGAACCATCATTGCAAAAATAATCTGGCCTAGGCCTCATGTGATAGGCTCACTAGGCTACCAGGCAAAAACCAGGTCTCCCAGGGCCCAACAGGACATGCTATTAAAGACCACCAAGAGAGAAACCACAAGGTTAGTAGAGACAGATTAGAGAAGTCTGGCAGCATGGCTGCAGAGTAGTAAGAGAACCTAGGTGCTATGAAATGTTGGGTAGGCCAAACAACTTATCTAAGATCACACAATCAAACAGTCAAGGACACATTTTTGTGTGCTGCATTCCTACTCTGGGCCAGGCCCTGTGCTAAGTATTAAGAGATAAAATCATATAAAATGCTGCACTCCAGTAGTCTGATGGGAAAACCGGCAGTGGAACAGATCTTTGCATTTAGTGTGCTAAGGGCTGTGAAGAGATAGGGGCTGTGGGAACACAGAAGAAGACACCTAACTTAGCCTGTGGTTTTCAGGGAAGAAGACTTAAAGAAATGATTAATTGAGTTTTAAACAGATCAACAAATGAGAAAGATGAATAGAGGAAACAGCATATATGAAAGCACCATGGGATGAAAAAGAACAACATTTCCTAGGAACTGCCAATAAAGCAGTGCACTTCCAGAGGAGATGTGGTGTGGAATGATGGAAAACAAGTAGATCAGAGAAATAAGCATGGACCTTGTATGCTAAACTCATCTAGCACAATGCCTAGTATATAGAAGGTACTCAGTAAATTTTTAACACAGAAATGTTTACATAAATTATAGGAGAAAAACACTACCTTCTAGGGCCAATACCACAGAGGTAGATAAGGAATAACAGAGAACTACAGCATTAAAATATAAATAAACTCTCAAGATATAAAATACCATCAGGGCTGAGCACGGTGGCTTACACCTGTAATCCCAGCACTTTGGAAGGCCGAGGCAGGCAGATCACATGAGGTCAGGAGTTCAAGACCAGCCTGGCCAACATGATGAAACCCCATCTCTACTAAAAATACAAAAAATTAGCTGGGCGTCATCGTGGGCACCTGCAAACCCAGCTACTTGGGAGGCTGAGGCAGGAGAATCACTTGAACCTGGGAGGCAGAGGTTGCAGTGAGCCAAGATCACGCCACTGTACTCCAGCCTGGGCAACAGAGTGAGACACCATCAAAAAGTACAATATAATAAAATAAAATATCATCAGATTTTTATTTATGTGTACATATTACTCTTTTCTCCCAGATAAGGTAATTCATTTTGAGATTACAGATGGACATTTAATTTCAATACATCTGACTAACATCTCACAGATAAACATGAAAAAAAAATCACTGACATTTTCTTTCTTTCGTTTTTTTTTTTTTTTTTTTTGAGATGGAGTCTTACTCTGTTGCCCAGGCTGGAGTGCAGTGGCATGATCTCAGCTCACTGCAACCTCTGCCTCCTGGGTTCAAGCAATTATCTGCCTCAGCCTCCCGAGTAGCCGTGATTACAGGTGCCCGCCACCATGCCCAGCTAATTTTTGTATTTTTAGTAGAGACGGGGTTGCACCATGTTGGCCAAGCTGATCTTGAACTCCTGACCTTGTGATCCACCTGCCTCAGCCTCCCAAAGTGATGGGATTACAGACATGAGCCACCACGCCCAGCTTCTTTCTTTTTTTCAGAGATAGGGTTTCATTCTGTCACCCAGGCTGAAGTACAGTGGCATGACCATAGCTCACTGTAGCCTCAACCTCTGGGGCTCAAGTGATCCTCTCACAGGGCTGGAATTGCAGGCATGAGTCACCACACAGAGCCAACATTTTCTATAATTTTTTTTCATCAAAAATTACTAAGCTTTGGATATCTTATTCTGTTGAGTCTCAAATGAGACAGCAGTTGTGATCTAAGCTTATCGCTACTCCTACACAAGCTGAAGGGTTATCCGACCAATAGGAAAGCCAGTATTTATTCTTTCAAAATAACATGATTACTATTTATTGCTATACAGGTATTTACTTGTAACATTTTTAACAGTATCTTTATTTCTCCAACTTCCATTTGAGAATATTTCTTACACCCAGAAATTTGATGCCCTAACTTGTTTGTTTCATGTATGAGAGAAAAATGGGAAAACTCTGAAAAATGTAAGCAAAGACCTCGTCAGATCTGGAACCAAGTGAAAGATACATAGCAGTAGAGCTAGGCTGGGCCAAGAATAATGGTATATGAAGAACAACGGCCCAAGCAAAAGAAGATTCAGCTGACACTTCTGTTTCAGGGTAAGCTGAAGTACCAGAGATGGAATTTACCCTCCCTCCTGAATTAAAATTACCCCTCCCAAAAAAGACAACATATATGAAATAATGGTTTTCAGGACACTGGACATCAGCCTACAAAGGACAATGACTCTTGAGAGATAGGAAACAAATGAGGGAAGTTATACAATTGCCCCAGCTTATGGCCTTGAATTTCCAAGCCACAGTGCAAGGATTAAAATCTAAGCTTGAGAGAGGGAAATGAAAATACACTACTGGAAGCTTCTTTTTTTTTTTATTATTATACTTTAAGTTTTAGGGTATATGTGCTACTGGAAGCTTCTTATACTACATGTGACATGTTATAATATATCTTGAAAGTAGGCCCAGTGCAGTGGCTCAGATCTGTAACACCAGTACTTTGGGAAGCCGAGGTAGGCGGATCACCTGAAGTCAGGAGTTCGAGACCAGCCTGACCAACATGGCAAAACCCCATCTCTATTAAAAATACAAAAATTAGCTGGGCGTAGTGGCATGCACCTGTTATTCCAGCTACTCAGGAGGCTGGGGCACGAGAATCTCTTGAACCCAAGAGACAGAGGTTGCAGTAAGCCAAGATCACACCACTGCACTCCAGCCTGGGTTACAAAGCAAGACTCTGTCTCAAAAAAAAAAAAAAGACTGTGATGAGTTAAAGATACATATCTTTTATCTCCTAAAGCAACCACTAAAATACCAGTTATATCTAATAAGCCAACAAAGAAAATACAATTGAATTATAAAAAATACTGAATTAACCCAAAAGAAAGCAGAAAAGGTAGGAAAAGGAATTAAAGAACAGATGGGACAAACGGAAAACAAATAGCAAGAAAATGGACTAACCTAAATTATCTTATATTAATAATCATATCAATCATATTTGATTAATCATATTAATAATCACACCAAACGTAAATGGTCTAAATAATGCAATTAACAGATATTGTCACATTGCAAAATATACATATATATATATAGGACCCAACTATATGCACCTACAGGAAATGTACTTTAAATATAAAAATACAAATAGATTAAATGTAGAGGGATGGAAAAAGACATTCCAAACTAACAACAGTCAAAAGACAGCTATATTTTTATCAAAGTAGATTTCAGAGCAAAGATTACCACGAAGGATAAAGCAGTTCATTTCATAATGTTGAAGGGGTCAGTTAATCACTAAGAAATAATCATCCTAAATCTTTATGCACCTAGTAACAGAGCTTCAAAATACGTGAACCAGAAACTACAAGGAAAAATAGGCAAATCCACAGTTATAACTGGAAACTTAAATACTCCTCTCTAACAATTGATAGAACAAGTATGCAGGCTGGATGCAGTGGCTCACGCCTGTAATTCCAGTACTTTGTGAGGTTGAGGAAGGCAGATCACTTGAGGTCAGGAGTTCGAGACCAGTCAACATGGTGAAACCCTGTCTCTACTAAAAATCCAAAAACTAGCCAGGGATGGTGGGACACACCTGTAATTCCAGCTACTCAGGAGGCTGAGGCAGGAGAATTGCCTGAACCCAGGAGGCGGAGGTTGCAGTGAGCCGAGATCATGCTACTGCACTCTAGCCTGGGCAACAGAGCGAGACTCCATCTCAAAAAAAAAAAAGAAAGAAAGAAAGAAAAGAAAGGAAAAAGATAGAACAAGTAGGTGGAAAATTGATAAAGATATGTAGACTTGAACAATACCATCAACCAACATGACCTGATTTTCTCCCACTCTGTAGGTTGCCTGTTCACTCCGATGATAGTTACTTTTGCTATACAGAGGCTCTTTAATTAGATCCCATTTGTCAGTTTTTGCTTGTGTTGCATTTGCTTTTGGCATTTTCATCATGAAACTTTTGCCTGTGCCTATGTCCTGAATGGTACAGAATGGGAGAAAATGTTTGCAATCTATCCATCTGACAAAGGTCTAATATCCAGAGTCCTCAAGGAACTTAAACAAATATACAAAGAAAAAATAAACAACCCCATTAAAAAGTGGGCAAAAGACATGAACAGATACTTCTCAAAAGAAGATATTCATGCGACCAACAAACATATGAAAAAAGCTCAACGTCACTGATCATTAGAGAAATGCAAATCAAAACCACAATGAGATACCATCTCATACCAGTCAGAATGGCAATTACTAAAAAGTCAAGAAACAACAGATGCTGGCAAGGTTGCAGAGAAAAAGGAACACTTTTACACTGTTGGTGGGAATGCAAATTAGTTCACCATTGTGGAAGACACTGTGGTGATTCCTCAAAGATCTAGAAGCAGAAATACCATTTGACCCAGCAATCTCATTACTGGGTATACACCCAAAGGAATATAAACCATTCTATTATAAAGATAAATGCACATGTATGTTCACTGCAGCACTATTCACAATAGCAAAGACATGGAATCAACCCAAATGCCCATCAATGAAAGACTGCATAAAGAAAATGTGGTATATATATACCATGGAATACTATGCACCCATGAAAAGGAACGAGATCATGTCCTTTGCAGGGACATGAATAGAGTTGGAAGCTGTTATCCTCAGCAAATTCACGCAAGAATGGAAAACCAAACAGTGCATGTTCTCACTTGCAAGTGAGAGCTCAACGATGAGAACACACAGACACATCAGGGGGAACAACATACATTGTCAGGGGAGTGGGAGGAGCGAAAGCATCAGGAAGAACAGCTAATGGCTGCAGGGCTAAACACCTAGGTGACGGGTTATCTGTGCAGAAAACCACCATGGCACACATTTACCTATATAACAAACCTGCACATCCTGCACATGTACCCTGGAACTTAAAAGTTGAAAAAAAAAAAAAAAAGCAAAACAACAAAAACAGACCTGATTGACATTTATAGAACTCTCCACCCAACAGAACACATACAAGTGCACATGGGATATTTAACAAGATAGACCATGTCCTAGGACATGAAAGAAAAAAATCTTAAAATTTTTTAAAGGCTTCAAGTCACATAAAGTATGATCTCAGATCACAATGGAATTAAATTAGAGATCAATAACTAAAAAAGTCTAAAAAAAATCTCCAAATGTTTGGAAACTAAATAACTTGCTTCTAAATAACTTGTGAACTAAAGATGTCAAAAAGGAAATATAAAATATTTTGAGCTAAGTCAAAAAAAAAAGCACAACATTTCATCCAATATAATGATAAACCAATAACGGATGGATCTAAGGTCTAAAACAGATTTTAAAGGTATGCATTTCCAGGGCAAAAAGAATCTCTCAAATTAGAACATATTATTAAGGGATACTAAGTTATTGAAGATTATATCAGGAAAAAAAGTAATAGGAGAACATTTGCCATTAATTGTGTCTTCACTCTAGGTATTTTTATTCGTCTGCGCTACTAATAAATCAGTTGGAAAAGAGGAAAAAAAAAAAAAAACACAATACACCAGAATTTGGGACATGCCTCTAAAGCAGTAGTTAAGGGAGATTTACAGCACTAAATTCTGTATTAGAAAAGAAGAAAGGTCTCATACTGGTGACCTTAGTTTTCACCTTACCAAACTAAAAAATAAAAGAGCAAATGATATCCAAAGTAGCAGATGAAAGAAAATAATACAGATCAAAGTGGAAATCAATGAAATAGAAACCAGAGAAAAATCAATAAAACCAAACACTGGTTCTGTAAAATTAACAAAGATCTAATAAGACCAATCAGTAAAGAAAAGAAGACACAAATTATTAAGATCAGTAATGAGACATTATTACTGATTTTACAGACATTAAAATAAGGCAATTTTATTAACATATACCAGTAAATTTGACAACACAGGTGAAATAGACAAATTTCTTGAAAGACACAAAGTACCTAAGCTCACTCAAGAAATAGATAACCTGAACAGCCTTATACCTATTAAAGAAATTGACACTATAATTAAAAACCTTCCCACAAAGAAAACTCTAAGCTCAGTTAGCTTCACTGCTGAATTCTATCAAATATTTAAGAAAAAATAATACCAATTCTACATGAACTCTTCAAAAAAACTTGAGGAATACTTCATAATTCATCCTATGAGACAAACATTATCCTGATACCAAAAACAAAGACATTTTAAGAAAGCTACAAACCAGTATCCTTCATGAACAAAGACATAAAAATTTAAAACAAAATTTTAGCAAATCTAATCCAACAATACAGTGAAAGGATAATACATTATGACCAAGGGGATTTATCCCAAGAATGCAGGGTTAGCTTTACACTCAAAACTCAGTCACTGTAATTTATCAAATTAACAAACAAACAGAAAAACCATGCAATCATCTCAATAGACACAGAAAACTCCTTTGATAAAATCCAGTATCTATGCCTGATAAAGGCTCTCAGCAAACTAGGAGTAGAGAGGCACTACAAAAAACCCACAGCCAACATTATATATATATATAATTTTGTTATTTTATTTTATTTATTTATTTTTCCGAGACAGTGTCTCACTCTGTTGCCCAGACTGGAGTGCAGTGGCACAATCTTGGCTCACTGCAACCTCCGCCTCCTGGGTTCAAGCGATTCTCCTGCCTCAGCCTCCCAAGTAGCTGGGATTACAGGCGCCCGCCACCACAACCAGCTAATTTTTGTATTTTTAGTAGAGATGAGGTTTCACAATGTTGGCCAGGCTGGTCTCAAACTCCTGACCTCGTGATCCACCCACCTCAGCCTCCCAAAGTGCTGGGATTACAGGCATAAGCCACCGCATCTGGCCCAACATTATATTTTATGGTGAAAGACTGAATGTTTTCTAAGATCAGAAACAGCCAGGCACAGTGGCTCACGCCTGTAATCCTGGCACTTTGGGAGGCCGAGGCGGGCAGATCACGAGGTCAGGAGATCGAGACCATCCTGGCTAACACGGTGAAACCCCGTCTCTACTAAAAATAAAAATAAAAAATTAGCTGGGTGCAGTGGTGGGCACCTGTAGTCCCAGCTACTCGGGAGGCTGAGGCGGGAGAATGGTGTGAACCCAGGAGGCGGAGCTTGCAGTGAGCCAAGATCATGCCACTGCACTCCAGCCTAGGCGACAGGGCGAGACTCCGACTCAAAAAAAAAAAAAGATTAGAAATGAAACATGGATATCTGCTCACCTCATTTCTCTTCAACACTGTACTAGAAATACTATCCAAGGCAATCAGGCAAGAAAAAGAAAAAAAAAGCATCAGATTGGAAATGAAGTAAAACTGTCTTTATTGGCAGATAAACATGACTGTCTATGGAAAAAAATGTGATGAAATCTACTAAATGAGTTTAGCACTTCATAGAATATACATTTTTAGTTTAAACTACTTTAAAGTTCATATGGAACCAAAAAAGAGCCCGCATCGCCAAGTCAATCCTAAGCCAAAAGAACAAAGCCGGAGGCATCACGCTACCTGACTTCAAACTATACTACAAGGCTACAGTAACCAAAATAGCATGGTACTGGTACCAAAACAGAGATATAGATCAATGGAACAGAACAGAGCCCTCAGAAATAACGCCACATATCTACAACTATCTGATCTTTGACAAACCTGAGAAAAACAAGCAATGGGGAAAGGATTCCCTATTTAATAAATGGTGCTGGGAAAACTGGCTAGCCATATGTAGAAAGCCGAAACTGGATCCCTTCCTTACACCTTATACAAAAATCAATTCAAGATGGATTAAAGACTTAAACGTTAGACCTAAAACCATAAAAACCCTAGAAGAAAATCTAGGCATTACCATTCAGGACATAGGCATGGGCAAGGACTTCATGTCTAGAATATAAAATCAATATATAAAAATCAATTACATTTCTGTATATAAGCAACAATCAGAAATTATTTTAAAATACCATTTACATAGTAAATTTTGTTATATGTATTTTACCATGATTTTAAAAAATACCATATACAACAGCATAAAAAACTATGAACTACTTAGTGATAAATCTGACAAAAGATGTGAAAGTTCTAAATGTGAAAGACCAAAAAATAGTACCCAGAGAAAGTGTATCTCTTAAATAAATGGAGAGATGTACTTTGTTTATGGGTTGAAAGAACATCAGTATTTTGAAGATGTCAGTTCTCTCAAACTCATCTATAGATTCAATGCAATCCTATTCAAAATCCCACCAGGCTTTTTTGTAGAAATTGACAGGTTTATTCAAGGACCTGAAACAGCCAAAATAACTTGAAAAAGAACAAAGTTGGAGGGCTAACACTACCTGATTGAAAGAATTATTATAATTCTATGGTAATCAAAATAGCATGGTACTGGCATAAAGACAGACAGATAGATCAGCGTATCATAATAGAGTCCAAAAATAAACTCACACTTATACAAACAACTTGAGGCATTTTTGTTTGCTTGTTTTTTAGAAACAGGTTCTTGCTATGCTGCCCTGGCTGGACTCCAACTCCTGGGCTCAAGCAGTTTTCACCCACCCACCCCACCTCAGCCACCTGAATAGCTGGGACTACAGTGTATGCTACTGCACTCAGCTTAAACAACTGATTTTTGACAAAAGATGAGAGGTGTGGCAACGCAATGAAGAAAAGAACAGCATTTCTAAAAATGGTTCTAGAACAATTGGGACCACGTGTAAGCACAATAAAGAAGTAAGTTCCATATTTCACACCACATATAAAAATTAATACAAAATGAATTATAGACCTAAATGTAAAACATAAAACTACAAAACTTCTAGAAAGAAACAGAAAGAAATCTTTGTGTGATCCTGGGTTAGGCAAAGATTTATTAGATACAATACCAAAAGCATGATCTGTTAAAAAACAAATTGATAAACTGGACTTCGTCAAAATTACAACTTTCTGCTCTTCAAAAGACACTGTTAAAAGACTGATAGGACAAGCCACAGATCTGGAGAAAATCTTAGCAAAGTATATATTTGATAAAAGACTTAAATGGAGAATATATAAAGAATTCTCAAAACTCAATTTAGAAAAACAACCCAATAAAAAGCAGACAAAAGATTTAACAGATACTCTACCAAAAAAGAGATATGAATGGAAACATGTACATAAAAGGATGCTCAACATTGTTAGTCATTAGGCAAATACAAAATAAAACCACGATCATTATACTATCAGAATGGCTAAAATTAAGTAGACCAACCATACCAAGTGTTTGTAAAGATATGGAAGAACTGAAAATGTCATATACTGCTGGTGGGAATATAAAAAATACAACTATTTTAGAAAACAGTTTGACAGTTTCTTAAAAACATATACCTACCATATCATCTAGTCATTCCACTCCTAGGTATTTACCTAAGAGAAAAGAAAATATATGTCCATACAGACTTACATGTGAATGTTCATAGCAGCTTTATTTGTAATAGCCAAAAACTAAAAGCAGCTCAATGTCTCCCAGTAGCTAAATAGGTAAATAAATTGTGGTATGTCTCTACAATGGACTACTACTAAGCAATAAAAACAAGTTAACTATTTACACATGCAAAACATAAGTGAACCTCAAAATAGTTACACTGAGTGAAAGTGGCCAGATTATTTTTTAAAAGTACATATTATATAACTCCATTTACATAAAACTGTAGCAAATGCAAACTAATCTATGGCAGAAAGCAGACCAGTGGTTGCTAGGGGAGCAGAGACTACAAAGGACTATGAGAAAACTTTCAGGGGTGATTAATATATTCACCATCTTTAATGCAGTGATGGTTTCACAATTGTATACATGTACCAAAATCTTAAAAATAGTAAACTTTAGAGATTTACACCTTTTTGTATGTCAATTGCAACTCAATAAATATCTTTTTAAAAAGGTAATGAAGTTGAGCTAAGGTAGTATCATCGGAGATGCACATAAGATATATTAAACAGGTAGAACCCTCGGGTGAGAGATACTCAGTTTTCTTATTTATTAAATGGGAATACAAGTAAAACTTTTTATCCTCAAGTGTCTATTTAAAATAAATATAAAATGACTGTGATAAAAGTTAAATCACTACATGGATGCTAGTTGTTTTTATTATCAGTATACAAAAATTATCTGAAAGAATGTAAGGGAAAGAAAAAGCCAACTGTATGATTCTTCCAAAAAATACAGCAGCAAACAACTAATGTCTGAGGTTTTTAACTAAATGACTTGATGGTTAACTTAGAAAAATAATTTTTTTAATGACTAAAAGAAAATACTAAACATATCTCTCATTAGGTTTATGTAAAAGCAAAAATGGGCTGCCAGCTCTTTCATACGGATCTGACTTTTGAAATGGTTTAGACAGAAGTCTGATGCCACCTGGCCTCCCTGTGTTGTGTCAACAGAGAGGTCAGCAGCTCTGCTGGGTGCTTTCTTTCTTTCTTTCTTTTTTTTTTTTTTTTGAGATGGAGTTTCACTCTTTCACCCAGGCTGGAGTGAAGTTGC
The DNA here is from genome assembly GCF_000001405.40 of Homo sapiens. Classification (NCBI taxonomy): domain Eukaryota; kingdom Metazoa; phylum Chordata; class Mammalia; order Primates; family Hominidae; genus Homo; species Homo sapiens. The sequence continues at coordinate 4,030,283 of NC_000011.10, read as the reverse complement.
GATCTCAGCTTACTGCAACCTCCATACCCTGGGTTCAAACAATTCTCCAGCCTCAGCCTCCCGAGTAGCTGGGATTATAGATGCCCACCACCACACCTGGCTAATTTTTGTATTTTTAATAGAGACAGGGTTTCACCATGTTGGCCAGGCAGGTCTTGAACTCCTGACCTTAAGTGATCCACCCGCCTCAGCCTCTCAAAAGTGCTAGGATTACAGGCGTGAGCCACCGCACCCGGCCTGGATGTTCTTTCTAAAGGCTTCCTAGCTCTCCAGTACAGTAAGTCCTCAATTAATGTCATCAATGGTTTGTTGGAAACTGCAACTTTAAGCAAAAGCATGTATAACAAAACCAATTTTACCAGAGGCTAATTGATATAAACAAGGGTGAAGTTATTATGGCATATTTCTGGTCACAAAAACATCACCAAACTTACAAATAAAGACCAAAACACTCCTAATATTACACAATGAAATAAACGTGACCTGTACATACATTTAAGGAAGATTAAAGCAAGTAAGATAATTATTTACCTGCTTACTTCAGTTCAAGGTTGAGAGTGGCTGGAGCCTATCCTCGGCAGCTCAGGGTGCCAGGTGGTAACCAACCCTGAATCAGATGCCATTCCATTGCAGGGCACACATACGCACACACCACATACACACGCACACTCTGTCTCTCTCTGTCTCTCTCTCCCACCCCCACCCCGCCCACCCTCCTTCCGTCCCTCCTCTCTCTCCCTCTCCCTCACTCAGATTGGGACCATTTAGACACACCAATTCACCTAAAGTGCACATCTTCGGGATGTGGGAGGAAACTGATATACCTGGAGAAAGCCCGTGCAGACATGGAGAAAATGTGCAAACTCCACAAAGAGACAATGGTCCCAGTAAGGAAGCAATTTTTTAATTTTCAACAGCATTATAATCAAACAAGGTTGAATGAAGTGACGTTATTCAGGAACCTGCTGTACTACTCCACTGCTTCCTGCAGAGAAATTCTATCGTCCAAAGAGTAGCACAGACAGAAAAGGAGATCTGTGAACTTACTTACTGTAATGTTTACTTTATTTTATTTATTTATTTATTTATTTTTTGAGACGGAGTTTCGCTCTTTGTTGCCCAGGCTGGAGTGCCATGGCGTGATCTCGGCTCACTGCAACCTCTGCTTTCCAGTTTCAAGCAATTCTCCTGCCTCAATCTCCCGAGCAGCTGGGATTACAGGTGCCCACCACCACACCTGGCTAATTTTTTTGTATTTTTAGTAGAGATGGGGTTTCACCATGTTGGCCAGGCTGGTCTTGAACTCCTGACCTCATGATCTGCCTGCCTCAGCCTCCCAAAGTGCTGGGATTACAGGCGTGAGCCACCACGCCCAGTCTGTAATGTTTATTTTCTACCAGGCTTTTGGAAACAAAAACTTTTGGAAACAACTACTATGGCAAAGTCCACAGGCACACTAGACTACCAGGTTCTTTTGCTTTCAGCTGCAATCATATTTCATAGAATCAAAGATTGATAGGTACAAAGTCTTGATTCATAAAAACGAGGAAAGAAATTACCACTTAAGAAATACTGGCCAAGTGTGGTGGCTCACGCCTGTAATCCTAGAACTTTGGAAGGCCGAGGCAGGCGGATCACCTATAGTCAGGAGTTCGAGACCAGCCTGGTCCAACATGGTGAAACCCCGTCTCTACTAAAAATACAAAAATTAGCCGGGCGTGGGGGTTCACGCCTGTAATCCCAGCTACTCGGGAGGCTGACGCAGGAGAATCTCTTGAACTTGGAAGGCAGAGGTTGCAGTGAGCCGAGAACATTCCACTGCACTCCAGCCTGGGCAGCAGAGCAAGACTCCACCTCGAAAAAAAAAAAGAAAAGAAAAAGAAAGAAAAAAAAAGAAATATTCACCAGGCACAGTGGCTCACGCCTGTAATCCCAGCATTTTAGGAGGCTGAGGCGGGTAGATCACTTGAGATCAGGAGTTCAAGACCAGCCTAGCCAACATGGTAAAACCCCATCTCCGTTAAAAATACAAAAATTAGCTGGACGTGATGGTGCACACTTGTAATCCCAGCTACTCGGGAGGCTGAGGCAAAAGAAGCCTTGAATCCAGGAGGCAGAGGCTGCAGTGAGCAAAGATCATGCCACTGAACTCCAGCCTGGGCTACAGAGTGAGACTCTGTCTCAAAAGAAGAAATATACTTTGTTTGGCAGATAGCATCATTTAAAATCTAGTGTCCAGGAAAGGAGAAGAGAAACAGTAACGATGCACTTTGCTTAGAAAAAATGAAAGCCATGGTTAGAGGAGAATTCCCTTAGGTCAGTGCCTCCCATCATTCTTCTCCAAAAATGACACTGTTATTGTTTCCAATGGCTCAAATATGCAAGCAGTAATTCTATTTCTCAAGGATTCTACAAAACTACCCAGCCACCCTTCCTTTAAAGAACTGCCACTCCTCTAACCTCATATGATCCTGTAGGGGCTGGAAATTGCAGCTCTCTCCAAACCCTACACACACACTCCCACCATCAACACCCTATTTAAATCTGTAATCCACACTACGCCAATCTGATTCTTCTCTTGTCATATCTGACTCTTGAGCAAAGACACTTAGAAATAAAAAATGAATAAAGCTGGGTCATATGAAAGTAGCTAATTAGAAAAGGCCAATTCCCCAGGCACGGTGGTTCACACCTATAATCCCAGCACTTTGGGAGGCCGAGGTGGGCAGATAATGAGGTCAAGAGATTGAGACCATCCTGGCCAACCAACACGGTGAAACCCCGTCTCTACTAAAAATACAAAAATTAGCTGGGCGCACTGGCACACACCTGTAGTCCCAGCTACTCGGGAGGCTGAGGCAGGAGAATCGCTTGAACCTGGGAGGCGGAGGTGGCAGTGAGCTGAGATTGCGCCACTGCACTCCAGCCCAGGTGACAGAGTGAGACTCTGTCTCAAAAAAAAGAAAAAAGAAAAAAAAGAAAAGGCGAATCCCCTAGTCTCTGCTGCTGGATTTCCTGGAGTGGCCCTCATTCTTGGTCCTTCTTCAACCCTGCTTTACCAGTTCTTCCATACTTAATTATTCAATGTTGTATAATAAAGAATTTGGCAGATCTTTGTCCTGGGTTACTGGGAGGTACCCACTGAACTTTTGGAATATTCCCAGTGATAGGAATGTCTTTATTATTCCTGGTGGGTCCCTTGGATCACACATGAGTTCAGGCTGATAAGATGACTCAGGATGGGGGGTGGTCACTATAAAAATCAACCACGTGACTAGAACATTGGGGCTCTGAGCCTGGTGATACCAATCCAACCTTTATGGAGAAAAAGGGAGCTGGATATTAAGTTCAATCATGTGCCTAAGAATTCAATCAAACTTGCCTATGTAATGAAACCCTAAGAAAAACACTGAACACCAAAGTTCAGTTGAGTTTCCTGGCTGGCAAACACTCTGATGTGCTGGAAATGGAGATGTGTCCTGATTCCACAAGGAGAGGACACAAAAGTGCCATATTCAGGACCCTCCAATATCTTGCCCTATAAATTTCTTCTTTTGGCTGGTCCTGATTTGTAACTTTTATAATAAAATTGTAATCATAAGTATAGGGCTTTCTTGAATTCTCTGAGTAGTCCTAGTTAATTATCAAACCTGAGAAGGCCATGGTAATGCATGAATTGTAGTCAGCTGGTCAGAAGTGCAGGTGACCTGGGAACAGCTTGAAATTATGGCTGATGTCTGAAGTGAGAGTAATCTTATCGGGGGCTGTGAACTTAACTTGTGAAGTCTGTGCTAACTCTGTATAATCATAATATCTATACTTCATATGGTTTCTGTGAGAAATAAGTTAATATATGTAAAACACTTAGAAACAGTGCCTAGCACATATTAAATACTATATAAATGTTAAAGTAGTTTTTCAGTTTTTGTCGTTGCTGCTGCTGTTTTTATTCCTAAAGCCCAGAGTTGGCTAAGATAGAGATTAGAAAACTTTTCTGCTAAGATCTATATAACACAGAGAAAAGACTGGCTCCCAACATTAGTCAGAAAAATGTTAACAATGCTAATCACACAGATGGTACTGACACTAGCCAGCTAATGTTCTGAACACAAGTGACCACTGCTGACATCTACATCATCTAGCTAAACTCAGAACAGCTAGTTTGAGCCGGTGCCAGAATATTAAATGCTTTTTGTAGCTCTGGAAATCATCACTCCGGAGAGATTAGGGGCCTTTTTCTGAATAATGAAGCAAATTATTGGGAGGAAGAGGACATATAAAAATTCTCACTTTTAGTCTGTCAAATCACCAGGTATAACACACAGTGAGCAAATTCTAATAGGGTACATATATATCATTTCTCAGCTGTGAACTACATCACTGCATTGAAATGCTTTTCTCCACTCATGGTTAATGAGGACTCTCCCCCAAAAAACCTCACTCCATTGTCTTTCATTTTCCTGTAATTTAGAATACACTGGAAGTGTTCCAAATAGTTGCTAAGTCCAAAAATAAAGTCCTTGCCAGAAAACTGCCTGGAGCTGTTTTCTAGCATTATGATTTAGTCCCTCTGTTTCTGCCCTCTCACTTTCCTTTCCTAGATACTTCTATGCGAGCTTTCAGAAAAGGCCAGAATGCTCTCCCTGCCATCTTTAATTCTAAGTTCCTACTTTTGAAACCCACTCTTAAAAACCAGCCACCCTGTCCTCATGTTATTAGAGAAAAATAAGAAAGCCAAAACTAAATGATGCTAATGGAAGATTTTTTCCTGGCACCGCTGGTATAGTTCCAAAGCTCATGTCACTGCTTAATCTTCATCAGTACATAGCCTGAGTTGCTCGAGAGCTATTAAAGAAAAGCCCCCAGAAGGAACTCAGCTTCCAAAGATATCCAGGAAGCTCTCTCCTACAGCTGCCTAATTTTTCTTCTACATTGATAAAACATAGAGTTAACAGGAAGCATCAGCCTGTCCATCCCATAATCAGGATTAGAATCCAGGTCTTCCTGCTTCACATTTAATGCTCCCCATCTACAATATAGATTATCCCTTTCAGATCTCAAATTCTATAAGCCTAAATTAAAATGTAAATAAAAATAGAAACTGCCTCATTCCTACCAAAACTAGTCTTCTCTACCTTAGACTAATGCTTTCAACCAAGAGGGTATTGAAAAGCATTGGCCTACAGCTGAAGTTCTGGCTCTACTAAATGCATGATAATGACAAGTAACTTTATACATCTAGGCCTAAGGTTCCTCAAATAAAAACCAGGGATCCTGATGGTTACTTACATTTAACCCCTGTTACATCAGAACCTGCCCTAAGAGACCCTGGGAAGAGAGATTTCTTCTAGTCTTATTGTTATCTGTGCCCTAGCCACAGATATAAATGGAGAGGAAGCTAAAGCCCTGTTTTCCCCTTCCCTGTCAAGTCTCGCACAATTAGACATGCTCTTTCACTAAGAACTCTGAAGGAAATGCTCCAGAAAAAAAAAATGGTAATCATGGTTTAGCAGTTTTACAGAAATCTGAAGTTTTCATTAAGCTCAACATGGGTCAGTAGAGTGGTATGACTAGTGAGGCACCAGAATCTAATCAGACTGCACTAACAGATGCACAGGATTCAGAAACAAGAAGGTGACAGTCCTGCTCAACTCCGTGATGATAAAATCACACTTGGAGGTCTGCAGCCAACTATAGGATCTAAGAAACACATTAACAAAAGTGCTTATAGGCAGGAAATCAAGACAAGAAGGAGGCTGAGAAAATGTTTTCTTCAAGAAGTAGGGCTACTTAACCTGGAAAAAAGAAGACTCAGGAGCTTTCAACCAAAATGGTATAGAAAAGCTTTCAATCAAGATGGTATAGAAGAGGAGAGAGTCTGTCTGTACCCTCACCCAATCTTTGAATTGTCTAGGACTCAGCAGAGCTGGGACTAAGTGGGAAGCTAGAGAAGAAAGGGGCTGCCTCAAGAGACCAGCAAGCTCCCTATCTCTGGAGATAAAGCAGCAGAACCTGGAAGATTCCTATGCCAGGGTTAGGTGGGTGACGAAAGGGGTAGGAATAGGATAGAATTCAAAAAGTATCCTAATGAAGAAAAACGCCAACTCTGGAGAACCTTCCCCCATGCCCAGCAGAGTGACTATATTCAGTCTTTTTTAGTGACTATATGTAGAATAACTTCAATAATTTGCCCTTTACTAAGCATTTTATATACATGTTCTTCTAAGGCCAAGTTGCTGCTTCTCTCTTCTCTAAACCTTCCCACAACTAGGATTGATGACCAGGCTGCCTATTACCTTCTGATGACTTCCATGCCTTCCACAGGTCCTCCACGCTGATGAGCTTATCCTCACCATGGAAGGTGCTGTGTTTCACTGTTGGGTCATGGTAATTGAGGTCTTCCCTCAGGAACTGCAAGGGAAAAGTACACAAGTCACAAGAGATACCTAGGAGTCAGCCCGTCAAGATCTCCACACAGGTCACCTGCCTCTAGCTAGCCATAACACATTCCATCTACCCAACATACAAGTGTATCACATCACTCATGTATCCTTCCTTATGCACATGTCTTAGTTGCCAACTAAACTATCACTTCCTCTTTGTTACATGTCTCACTTGAAAAATATATATAAATTAGAAATCCTTTCCTCATATTTTTTAACTATGAAAAGACAATACATGACAGTTAACTGAAAATCAATAAGCTAAAAGAGGAAAGAAAAAAGGAAGAATTTAAAATGTTTGAGTACTTGCTTATAAATTAGGCAATATTCTAAGAATTTCCACAATATTTTCTCATCAAATCTTCACAACCAATGAATTATCACACTTATTTTATAAATGAGAACAGTGATACTCTTGAAGATAATGCCATTTGCCCCAAATTACATTAGGTTTAGACAGGTTAATTTACTGTGATGGTTGTTTGTTTGTTTGTTTGTTTGTTTGTTTGTCTTGAGACAGAGTCTCGCTCGTCACCCAGGCTGGAGTGCAGTGGCGCAATTTCAGCTCACTGCAACCTCCACCTCCGAAGTTCAAGCAATTCTCTTGTCTCAGCCTCCTGAGTAGCTGGGATTACAGGTGTGTGCCACCCGACCCAGCTAACTCTTTGTATTTCAGTAAAGATAGGGTTTCACCATTGCCCAGGCTGGTCTCAAACTCTTGAGCTCAGGCAATCCACCCATCTCGGTCTCCGAAAGTGCTAGGATTACAGGTGTGAGCCACCATACCCGGCCGACTGTAATGGTTTTAAAACATGTCCACAAATTGTTTGATAATCCTCCCGTTAAAGGTGGATTTCCCTCCCCTTTAATATAGGCTGACATTAGTGACTCATCTTCTAACAAATAGAATGTGGCAACAGTGATGTTGCACGACACCCAAGTCTAGGTTAGAAAAAGCAATATAAATTTCACCTAGCTCTCTCTCTTTTGGGCCCTGAGGGGCCCTGAGTCAAAATGTAAGAAGCCTGGCTACGCTGAAGCCACCCTGCTGGAGATATCATGTGGAAAGTCTATGTAGAGATAGAAATGTGTGAGTAGCCCCAGCTGTTTGAGTCTTCAAGTTCAGGAGTCAGGTATGTGAGTGACTGAGACTTCAGTTGATTCCAGCCCCCAGCTCTGCAATCAAATTAGGTATAGAAGGAATATACCTCAACACAATAAAGGCCATATATGACAAACCCACATCTAATATATTGAACAGGGAAAAGTTGAAAGCTTTTCTTCTAAAATCTGGAACGAGACAAGGATGCCTTCGTTCACCGCTATTATTCAACACAGTAATGAAAGTCCTAGCCAGAGCAATTAGGCAAGAGGAAAGAAAGGAAAGGAAGGGAAGGAAGGGAAGGAAGGAAAGAAGAAAGGCATCAAAATTGGAAAGAAGGAAGTCAAACTGCCCCTGCATGCAGACAACATGATCTTCTCTCTTTTTTTTTTTTTTTTTTTTTGAGACAGGTTCTTATTCTGTCACCCAGGCTGCAGTGCAGTGGCATGATCTCAGCTGACTGCAACCTCCACCTCCTGGGCCTCAAGAGATCCTTCCATCTCTGCCTCCCAAGTAGCTGGGACTATAGGTGTGCACGCCACCCCACCTGGCTAATTTTTTGTATTTTTGGTAGAGACGGGATTTTACCACGTTACCCAGGCTGGTCTCAAACTCCTGATCTCAAGGGATCCACCCACCTCTGCTTCCCAAAGTGCTGGAATTACAAGTGTGAGCCACCATGCCCAGCCAATAACATGATATTAAATCTAGAAAAACCTACAGACACCACCAAAAAACTGTTAGAGCTAGTAAACAAATCTGAAAAAGAAATTAAAAAAAATCCCATTTACAATAGCTACAAAAAATAATAAAATACCTAAGAATAAATTTAACCAAGGAGGTAAAAGATCTCTACAATGAAAACTGTAAAATACTGATGAACTAAATTGAAGAAGACACAAATAAATGGAAAGATACCCTATGTACATGGGTTGGAAGAATTAATATTGTTAAAATATTCATACTACCCAAAGCAATCTACGGATTCAATGTAATCCCTATCTAAATTTCAGTGACATTCTTGACAGAAATAGAAAAAAAAATCCTAAAATTCATATGGAACCAAAAAGAAACCTGAATAGCCAAAGCCATCTTGAGCAAAAAGAACAAAGCTAGAGCAATCACACCATCTGACTTTAAAATATTCTCCAAAACAATAGTAACTGAAACAGCATGGTGCTGGCATAAAAACAGACATGGAAAAGAATACAGAACACAGGAATAAAATCCACATATGTATAGCCAATTGATTTTGGACAAATGCATGAACAAACACTGAGGAAAGGACAATCTCTTCAATAAACTGTACTGGGGGCCGGGCACGGTGGCTCATGCCTGTAATCCCAGCACTTTGGGAGGCCAAGGCAGGTGGATCGCCTGAAGCTGGGAGTTGGAGACCAGCCTGGCCAGCATGGCGAAACCCCATCTCTACTAAAAATACAAAAATTAGCTGGGCATGGTGGCACATGCCTGTAATCCCAGTTACTCGGGAGGCTGAAGCAGGAGAATCACTTGAACCCAGGAAGTGGAGGCTGCAGTGAGCTAATATCACGTCACTGCACTGCCAAAAAACAACAACAACAACCACCACCACCACCACCACCATAGGCAACAAAATACAAAAATAGATAAATGGGATTAAATCAAAATAAAATGGAAACAATGAAAAGTGAAGAGACAACCTACAGAATGGGAGAAAACATCTGCAAATTATACATCTGACAAGCGGTTAACATCTAGAATATATAAGGAACTCGAACAACTCAATAGAAAAAAAATCAGATTAAAAAATGGGTGAAAGATCTAACTAGACATTTCTCAAAAGAAGACAAACAAGACTGAGCACAGTGGTTCATGCCTGTAATCACGGCACTTTGGGAAGCGAAAGTGGGAGGATCACTTGAGATCAGGATTTTGAGACCAGCCTGGGCAGCATAGGGAGACTCCGCCTGTGCAAAAAATTAAAAAAAAAAAATTAGCCAGGTGTGGTGGTTTATGCCTGTGGTCCCAGCTATAGGCTGAAGCTAGAGCCTGAGGTCAGAGGATCACTTGAGCCTGGGAGATCAAGGTTGTAGTGAGTTGTGATCATGCCACTGTACTCCAGCCTGGGTGACAGAGCGAGACCTTGTCTCAGAGAAAAAAGAAAAAAAAAAGTCCAAAAGATATGTGAAAAATATGCTCAATATCACTAATCATCAGGGAAATGGAAATCAAAACCACAATGAGATATCATCTCACCCCAGTTAGTATGGCTATTACCAAAAAAATAACAAATAACAAATGCTGCCAAGGATATAGAGAAAGGGAAACCCTTACACACTGTTGGTGGCAGTGTAAATTAGTACAGTCACCATATAAAACAGTATGGAGGTTCCTCAAAACATGAAAAATAGAACTACCATATGATCCAGAAATCCCACTATTCGGTACACATCCAAAGGAAATGAAATCAGCATGTTGAAGAGACATCTTCACTTCCATGTTTATTGCAGCACTATTCACAATAGCCAAGATATAGAATCAACCTCAGGGCCCATCAGCAAATGAATGTTTAAAGAAAATGTCGTATATTTACACAACAGCATACCATTCAGCCATAAAGAAAAAAAGAATGAAATTCTGTCATTTGTGGCAACATGGATGTGCCTCGAGGACATTATGCTAAGTGAAATAAGCCAGGCACAAAAAATAAATACCACATGTTCTCACTCATATATGGAATCTTAAAAAGCTGATCTCATAGAAGTAGAACGTAGGATAGTGGTTACCAGAATCTGGGAAGGGTAGACAGGGAGATGGGGAGAGATTGGTCAGTGGGTACAAATTTACAGTTGGGAGGGTAAGTTTATAAGTTCTAGTGTTCCATTGCACAGTAGGGTGATTTTAGTTAACAATAATATAGTGTATATTTCAAAATAGCTAGAAGAAAGGATTTTGAATGTTCACCACAAAGAAATGATATATGTTTGAGATGACAGATATACTAATTTTACCCCCTAATTTGATCATTATACATTGTATACATGTATCAAAACATCACACTGTATCCTATAAATATGTACAATTTTTTTGGATGGTTGGTTGGTTGGTGGGGTTTTTTGTTGTTGTTGTTTTTGAGACAGTGTCTCGCTCTGTCACCCAGGCTGGGTGATCCTCCTGCCTCAGCTTCCCAAGTAACTTGGACTATGGGTGTGCACCACGGTACCGAGCTATTTTTTTAAATTTTTTGTACACACGGTGTCTCACTATGTTTCCCAAGCTGGTCTCAAACTCCTGAGCTCAAGCAATCCTCCTGCCTCAGCCTCCCAAAGTGCTCGGATTACAGGCGTCAGCCACCATGCCTGGCCAATATGTACAACTGTTATGTATCAGTTACAAATAAAATAAAATTTTAAAAATGTTTTTAAATAAAATATAATTTAAATAAAGAAAAAAACAGCAGGGAAGAGGAATAGGAGATGCCAAGAGTAGTGGTATTCACAATTTGTCATTTTAATGAGAGGAATCAAGGTGTCATTAAGAAGCTGACTTCATTTTCTTCATTTTTATTTTATGTACAAACAGCTAATATGATTTTTCATTGTGTGGATGCCTTGGATAATCCATTCAAGGAAGATCACTTAGTCCAATTTAATGAAACCTATATCCTTCACGTACTGATGGCAACACTGGAGGCACATATTGAGGCTATATTTCCAGATCAGACCATGCTGGTTTGAGCAGATGCAACAAGAGCGAGAACTCTGGCCAGATTTTTGTGGGTGGCTCCAGCAGAGCTGCTTGTGATCCATTTTGCCTTCAGGAGTGCAACAAGGCAAAAGATAAGAAGGTGACTTCAAAGCAAATATTTAAAAGAGGTGTGGGAGAAAGGCATGCAGAATAACTGGGAGAAGAGTATCCCAAGAATGGAGAAGGGCAGAAGCAAAGTCCCTGAGGCAAGAGAATATACTTGGTATGTTCAAGGAATAACAAGAAGGCCAGTATCGTTGGAGAGAAATGAGTAAGGTGGTAACCAGCAGGAGATGAACTCAAAGAAGCCACAGGGTTCCAGAACACAGATCCCCCTTTTATGCCTTTTTTTTTTTTTTTTTTTGAGACAGAGTTTCATTCTTATTGCCCAGGCTGGAGTGCAGGGGCACAAACCTGGCTCACCGCAACCTCCACCTCCCAGTTTCAAGCAATTCTCCTGCCTCAGCCTCCCGAGTAGCTGGGATTACAGGCATGCACCACCACTCCTGGCTAATTTTGTTTGTTTTTTTTTTTTTTTTTTTTTTTTTTTTGAGACGGAGTCTCGCTCTGTCGCCCAGGCCGGACTGCGGACTGCAGTGGCGCAATCTCGGCTCACTGCAAGCTCCGCTTCCCGGGTTCACGCCATTATCCTGCCTCAGCCTCCCGAGTAGCTGGGACTACAGGCGCCCGCCACCGCGCCCGGCTAATTTTTTTTTGTATTTTTAGTAGAGACGGGGTTTCACCTTGTTAGCCAGGATGGTCTCGATCTCCTGACCTCATGATCCACCCGCCTCGGCCTCCCAAAGTGCTGGGATTACAGGCGTGAGCCACCGCGCCCAGCCAATTTTGTATTTTTTAATAGAGATGGGGTTTCTCCATGTTAGTCAGGCTGGTCTTGAACTCCAGACCTCAGGTGATCCACCTGTCTCGGCCTCCCAAAGTGCTGGGATTATAGGCGTGAGCCATGCACCCAGCTGACTTTTTAGGCTATTATCAAGACTTTGATTTTTCACTCTGAGATGGGAGCTGTTACAGGGATTTGAACAGAGGTATAACATGAAGACATTTATATTTTTAAAACGATTTCTCTGGATACTGTGTTAAAAAGTAGACTATAAAAGGGAAAGGGCAGATACAGAGAAATCACTCAGGTGGGTATTGCAATAACATGAGCTAATGGTGGTTTGAAACAAGGTGGTAGCTGTGGAAGTGATGAGAATTTGTCAGAATTGGGATATATTTTAGAGATCAAATCTGCTATCCTCATGATTTTTTAGGTTTGATTAATCAGGTTCTTCAAGATATACCCTTCTTTGGTCCTCATAGGCTCCAACCTAGAACCTCTTAATCTAAGACTAGAAAGACAGTTACCACAAGCAAGCCTTGGGAGCAGAAACACCAAAATCTCCAAGGAAGGGGATTTTCTCCCATTATCAGATAACTCCAGGAAACCATCTGACATGAGATACCAGCTGCTTATAGGAAATCAACAAGAAATAGACTCATTTTTATAGTCAAGTCTGATCACCGAGGTAAGTGGAGAGCAGAGAAACTCAGAAAGAAAGTATAAGGAAGATCTGCATAGGGACTCACATACAGACCCTACTGGTGCCACAAAACACACAAAAAACAAGTAGGGTCAGAAAACAAGGTCAGAGAGAAGATGATGCCAAAAGAGGAACTGGCAAATAGAAGCTCTACCTGAAGGAAGGTACTTATGCTGAATGGGACCTCTTTAGAAAATAAAGAAATGAAGCTGCAACAATCAGGCCTTAAGAGTCAGAAAGGCAGAACCCAGTGGACTTCCAAGATGGCCAAATAGGAACAGCTCCGGTCTACAGCTCCCAGTGAGATCAATGCAGAAGACGGGTGATTTCTGCATTCCCAACTGAGGTACCTGGTTCATCTCATTGGGACTGGTTGGACAGTGGGTGCAGCCCATGGAGGACAAGCCAAAGCAGGGTGGGGCATTGCCTTACCTGGCAAGTGCAAGGGGTCAGGGGATTTCCCTTTCCTAGCCAAAGGGAAGCCGTGAGTGACTCTACCTGGTGGAACAGTGCACTGCTGCCCAAATACCGCACTTTTCCCACGGTCTTCGCAACTGGCAGATCCAGGAGATTCCCTCCTGTGCCTGGCTCGGCGGGTCCCACACACACAGAGCCTTCCTTGCTGCTAGCACAGCAGTCTGAGATCGACCCGGGACACTGGAGCTTGGTGGGGGGAGGGGCATCCACCATTGCTGAGGCTTGAGTAGGCAGTTCTATGCTCACAGTGTAAATAAAGTGGCAAGGAGCTCAAACTGGGCGGAGCCCATTGCACCTCAGCAAGGCCTACTGCCTCTCTAGATTCCATCTCTGGGGGCAGGGCATATCTGAACAAAAGGCAGCAGACAGCTTCTGCAGACTTAAACGTCCCTGCCTGACAGCTCTGAAGAGAGCAGTGGTTGTCCCAGCACAGCGTTTGAGCTCCGATAATGGACAGACTGCCTCCTCAAGTGGGTCCCTGACACCCGTGTAGCCTGACTGGGAGACACCTCCCAGTAGGGACTGACAGACACCTCATACAGGCGGGTGACCCTCTGGGACAAAGCTTCCAGAGGAAGGATCAGGCAGCAACATTTGCTGTTCTGCAGCCTCCACTGGTGATACCCAGGCAAACAGGGTCTGGAGTGGACCTCCCGCCAACTCCAACAGACATGCAGCTGAGGGGCCTGTCTGTTAGAAGGAAAATTAACAAACAGAAAGGAATAGCATCAACATCAACAAAAAGGACATCCACACCAAAACCCCATCTGTAGGTCACCAACATCAAAGAACAAAGGTAGATAAAACCACAAAGATGGGGAGAAACCAGAACAGAAAGGCTGAAAATTCCAAAAACTGGAACGCCTCTTCTCCTCCAAAGGAACACAACTCCTCGCCAGCAAGGGAACAAAACTGGAGGGAGGATGAGTTTAACGAGTTGACAGAAGTAGGCTTCAGAAGGTCGGTAATAACAAACTTCTCCGACCTAAAGGAGCATGTTCTAACCCATTGCAAGGAAGCTAAAATCCTTGAAAAAAGGTTAGACAAATGGCTAACTAAAATAACCAGTGTAGAGAAGAGCTTAAATGACCTGATGGAGCTGAAAACCACAGTACGAGAACTTCATGAAGCATACACAAGCTTCAATAGCCGATTTGATCAAGCGGAAAAAAAGATATCAGTGATTGAAGATCAAATTAATGAAATAAAGCAAGAAGACAAGATGAGAGAAAAAAGTAAAAAGAAACGAACAAAGCTTCCAAGAAATATGGGACTATGTGAAAAGACCAAATCTACGTCTGATTGGTGTACCTGAAAGTGACAGGGAGAATGCAACCAAGTTAGAAAACACTCTTCAGGATATTATCCAGGAGAACTTCCCCAACCTAGCAAGGCAGGCCAACATTCAAATTCAGGAAATACACAGAACACCATAAAGATACTCCTCGAGAAGAGCAACCCCAAGACACATAATTGTCAGATTCACCAAGGTGGAAATGAAGGAAAAAATGTTAAGGGCAGCCAGAGAGAGAGGTCGGGTTACCCACAAAGGGAAGCCCATCAGACTAACAGTGGATCTCTTGGCAGAAACCCTACAAGCCAGAAGAGAGTGGGGGCCAATATTCAACATTCTTAAAGAATTTTCAACCCAGAATTTCATATCCAGCCAAACTAAGCTTCATAAGTGAAGGAGAAATAAAATCCTTTACAGACAAGCAAATGCTGAGAAATTTTGTCACCACCAGGCCTGCCTTACAAGAGCTCCTGAAGGAAGCACTAAACATGGAAAGGACAACCAGTACCAGCCACTGCAAAAATATGCCAAATTGTAAAGACCATTGATGCTATGAAGAAACTGCATCAATTAATGGGCAAAATAACCAGCTAGCATCATATTGACAGGATCAAATTCACACCTAACAATATAAACCTTAAATGTAAATGGGCTAAATGCCCCAATTAAAAGACACAGAGTGGTAAATTGGATAAAGAGTCAAGACCCATCAGTAGCTGTATTCAGGAGACCCATCTCACGTGTAAAGACACACATAGGCTCAAAATAAAGGGATAGAGGAAGATCCACCAAGCTAATGGAAAGCAATAAAAAGCAGGGGTTGCAAACCTAGTCTCTGATAAAACAGACTTTAAACCAACAAAGATCAAAAGAGACAAAGAAGGCCATTACATGATGGTAAAGGGATCAATTCAACAAGAAGAGCTAACTATCCTAAATATATATGCACCCAATACAGGAGCACCCAGATTCATAAAGCAAGTCCTGAGTGACCTACAAAGAGACTTAGACTCCCACACAATAATAATGGGAGACTTTAACACCCCACTGTCAATATTAGACAGATAAACAAGACAGAAAATTAACAAGGATATCCAGGACTTGAACTCAGCTCTGGACCAAGCAGACCTAATAGACATCTACAGAACTCTCCACGCCAAATCAACAGACTATACATTCTTCTCAGCACCACATCACACTTATTCTAAAATTGACCACATACTTGGAAGTAAAATACTCGTCAGCAAATGTAAAAGAACAGAAATCACAACAAACTGTCTCTCAGACCACAGTGCAATCAAATTAGAACTCAGGATTAAGAAGTTCACTCAAAACCACACAACTACGTGGGAACTGAACAACCTGCTCCTGAAGGACTACTGGATAAATAACGAAATGAAGGCAGAAATAAAGATGTTCTTTGAAACCAATGAGAACAAAGACACAACATACCAGAATCTCTGGGACACATTTAAAACAGTGTGTAGAGGGAAATTTATAGCACCAAATGCCCACAAGAGAAAGCAAAAAAGATCTAAAATCGACACCCTAACATCACAATTAAAAGAACTAGAGAAGAAATGGCAAACAAATTCAAGAGCTAGCAGAAGACAAGAAATAACTAAGATCACAGCAGAACTGAAGGAGATAGAGACACAAAAAACCCTTCAAAAAATCAATGAATCAGCCAGGCGTGGTGGCTGATGCCTGTAATCCCAGCACTTTGGGAAACCAACACGGGCGGATCACGAGGTCAGGAGATCGAGACCATCCTGGCTAACACGGTGAAACCCTGTCTCTACTAAAAAAATACAAAAAAATTAGCCAGGCATGGTGGCGGGTGCCTGTAGTCCCAGCTACTCGGGAGGCGGAGGCAGGAGAATGGCGTGAAACCGGGAGGAGGAGCTTGCAGTGAGCCAAGATCATGCCACTGCACTCCAGCCTGGGTGACAAAGGGATACTCTGTCTCAAAAAAAAAAAAAAAAAAAAAAAAAAAAAAAAGAAATCAATGAATCCAGGAGCTGGTTTTTGAAAAGATCAACAAAGAAGAGAGAAGAATCATACAGATGCAATAAAAAATGATAAAGGGGATATCGCCACCGATCCCACAGGAATACAAACTACCATCAGAGAATACTATAAACACCTCTACACAAAGAGAATAAAATAATATAAAATATAAAATAAATAAACTAGAAAATCTAGAAGAAATGGATAAATTCCTCGACACATACACCCTCCCAAGACTAAATCAGGAAGAAGTTGAATCTTTGAACAGACCAATAACAGGTTCTGAAATTGAGGCAATAATTAATAGCCTACCAACCAAGAAAAGTCCAGGACCAGATGGATTCACAGCCAAATTCTACCACAGGTACAAAGAGGAGCTGGTACCATTCCTTCTGAAACTATTCCAATCAATAGAAAAAGAGGGAATCCTCCTTAACTCATTTTATGAGGCCAGCATCATCCTGATACCAAAGCCTGGCAGAGACACAACAAATAAAAGAATTTTAGGCCAGTGTCCCCGATGAACATCGATGCAAAAATCCTCAATAAAATACTGGCACACCGAATACAGCAGCACATCAAAAAGCTTATCCACCATGATCAAGTTGGCTTCATCCTGGGATGCAAGGCTGGTTCAACATATGCAGATCAATAAACATAATCCATCACATAAACAGAACCAACCACAAAAATCACATGATTATCTCAATAGATGCAGAAAAGGCCTTTGACAAAATTCAACAGCCTTTCATGCTAAACACTCTCAATAAACTAGGTATTGATGGAACATATCTCAAAATAATAAGAGCTATTTATGACAAACCCACAGCCAATATAATACTGAATGGGCAAAAGCTGGAAACATACCCTTTGAAAACTGGCACAAGACAAGGATGCCCTCTCTCACCACTCCTATTCAACATAGTGTTGGAAGTTCTGGCCAGGGCAATCAGGCAAGAGAAAGAAATAAAGGGTATTCAATTAGGAAAAGAGGAAGTCAAATTGTCCCTGTTTGCAGATGACATGATTGTATATTTAGAAAACCCCATCGTCTCCGCCCAAAATCTCCTTAAACTGATAAGCAACTTCAGCAAAGTCTCAGGATATAAAAGCAATGTGCAAAAATCACAAGCATTCCTATACACCAAGAACAGACAAACAGAGAGCCAAATCATGAGTGAACTCCCATTCACAATTACTACAAAGCAAATAAAATACCTAGGAATCCAACTTACAAGGGATGTGAAGGACCTCTTCAAGGAGAACTACAAACAACTGCTCAACGAAATAAAAGAGGACACAAACAAATGGAAGAGCATTCCATGCTCATGGATAGGAAGAATCAATATCATGAAAATGGCCACACTGCCCAAGGTAATTTATAGATTCAATGCTATCCCCATCAAGCTACCACTGACTTTCTTCACAGAATTGGAAAAAACTACTTTAAAGTTCATATGGAACCAAAAAAGAGTCCGCATAGCCAAGACAATCCTAAGCAAAGAGAACAAAGCTGGAGGCATCACACTACCTGACTTCAAACTATGCTACAAGGCTACAGTAACCAAAACAGCATGGTACTGGTACCAAAACAGGTATCTCGACCAATGGAACAGAACAGAGCCCTCAGAAATAACACCACACATCTACAACCATCTAATATTTGACAAACCTGTCAAAAACAAGCAATGGAGAAGGGATTCCCTATTTAATAAATGGTGCTGGGAAAACTGGCTAGCCATATGTAAAAAGCTGAAACTGGATCCCTTCCTTACACCTTATACAAAAATTAACTAGAGATGGATTAAAGACTTAAATGTAAGACCTAAAACCATAAAAACCCTAGAAGAAAACCTAGGCAATACCATTCAGGACATAGGCATGGGCAAAGACTTCATGACTAAAGCACCAAAAGCAATGGCAACAAAAGCCAAAACAGACAAATGGGATCTAATTAAACTACAGAGCTTCTGCACAGCAAAAGAAACTATCAGCAGAGCGAACGGGCAACCTATAGAATGGGAGAAAATTTTTGCACTATCCATCTGACAAAGGGCTAATATCCAGAATCTACAAAGAACTTAAACAAATTTACAAGAAAAAAACAAACAACCCAATCAAAAAGTAGGTGAAGAATATGAACAGACACTTCTCAAAAGAAGACATTTATGCAGCCAACAGACACATGAAAAAATGCTCATCTTCACTGGCCATCAGAGAAACGCAAATCAAAATCAAAATCACAATGAGATACTATCTCACGCCAGTTAGAATGGAGATCATTAAAAAGTCAGGAAACAACAGATGCTGGAAAGGATGTGGAGAAATAGGAATGCTTTTACACTGTTGGTGGGAGTGTAAATTAGTTCAACCATTGTGGAAGACAGTGTGGTGATTTCTCAAGGATCTAGAACTAGAAATACCATTTGACCCAGCAATCCCAATACTGCGTATATACCCAAAGGATTATAAATCATGATACTATAAAGACACATGCACACATATGTTTATTGCGGCACTATTCACAATAGCAAAGACTTGGAACCAACCCAAATGTCCATCAATAACAGACTGGATAAAGAAAATGTGGCATATATACACCATGGACTACTATGCAGCCATAAAAAAGGATGAGTTCATGTTCTTTTCAGGGACTTGAATGAAGCTGGAAACCATCATTCTCAGCAAAATATCACAAGGACAGAAAACCAAACACCACATGTTCTCACTTATAAGTGGGAGTTGAACAATGAGAACATACAGACAGAGGGAGGGGAATATCATACACCAGGGCCTGTTGGGGGCTGGGGGCTGGGGGAGGGATAGCATTAGAAGAAATACCTAATGTAAATGACAACTTGATGGGTGCAGTAAACCAACATGGCATATGTATACCTATGTAACAAACCTGCACATTGTGCACATGTACCCTAGAACTTAAAATATATAATAATAAAAAAAAGAAAGAAAGAAAGGCAGAACCCATAGAAACAGGCTACTTACTTGCTGTGTGACTTTTGGGCAAGCTACTTTGCCTCTCTGAGCCTATTTTCCTCTCAAAATTAGGGTTAATAATGTCCCTCATTTCAGGTATGGTAAGGATTAAATGAGACAAGTTTGCAGAAGTCATAAATTGCCTTTGTGTGTGTCTTTTACTGGCCTGCACAGCATTTTGAAAAGTTGAACCTAAATTTAAAAATCATAAAATTTTGGCCGGGCGCAGTGGCTCATGCCTGTAATCCCAGCACATCGGGAGGCTGAAGCAGGTGGATCACCTGAGGTCAGGAGTTTGAGACCAGCCAGGCCAACACTGTGAAACCCTGCCTCCACTAAAAATACAAAAATCAGCTAGGCAGGATGGCACACACCTGCAATCCCAGCTACTTGGGAGGCTGAGGCACAACAATTGCTTAAACCTGGAAGGCGGAGGTTGTAGTGAGTCGAGATCATGCCACTGCACTACAGCCTGGATGACAAGGCCAGACTCTGTCTCAAAAAAAAAAAAAAAATCAGAAAATTTCACTAAAAGTCCACCTTCTCAGGCTATCTTTTAAACAAATCAAAACAGGTTGGGCTCCATGGCTCATGCCTTCAATCCCAGCACTTTGGGAGGCCGAGGTGGAAGGAGATTGCTTGAGCCCAGGAGTTCAAGACTAGTCTGGGCAACATAGTGAAACCCCATCTCCACAAAAAATTTTAAAATTAGCTACATGTGGTGGTGTGCACTTGTGGTCCCAACTACTTGGGAGGCTGAGGTGAGAGGATTACTTGAACCCAAGATGTTAAGGTTGCGGTAAGCCGTGATCGTACCACTGTACTCCAGCCTGGGCAATAGAGCAAGATCCTGTCTCAAAAAAATAAAAATATCTAGCCACAGTAAGCTCCAATGACTTTAGAATTTTATACAGGAGTGGCTTAAGGACTAACAATTTAATTGGAAAAGGAGAGTGAGAGCTAAGGGACTTGTCATGAGGTTGCATTTGCATAGCAAGCACACTATTTTTATGAAGATTATTCATTACAAATTAATTTTATTTTACTTTATTTATTATTATTATTATTATTATTATTTTGAGATGGAGTCTCACTCTGTCTGCCCAAGCTGGAGTGCAGTGGCATGATCTCAGCTCACTGCAACCTCTGCCCGCCGGGTTCAAGCAATTCTCCTGCCTCAGCCTCCTGAGTAGCTGGGATTACAGGCGCCCACCATCATGCTAATTTTTGTGTTTTTAGTGGAGGCAGGGTTTCAGCATGTTGGCCAGGCTAGTCTCGAACTCCTGATCTCAAGTGATCTGCCTGCCTCGGCCTCCCAAAGTGCTGGGATTACAGGCGTGAGCCACCACACCCGGCCACAAATTAATTTTAAAATGCAACTTTTTTTTTTTTTTTGAGACACTCTTTCCCTGTTGCACAGGCTGGAGTGCAGTGGCGCGATCGCAGCTCACTGCAAGCTCCGCCTCCTGAGTTCACGCCATTCTCCTGCCTCAGCCTTCCAAGTAGCTGGGACTACAGGGGCCTGCCACCACACCCGGCTAATTTTTTTTTTTAATTTTTAGTAGAGACGCGGTTTCACTGTGTTAGCCAGAATGGTCTCGATCTCCTGACCTCGTGATCTGCCCGCCTCGGCCTCCCAAAGTGCTGGGATTACAGGCGTGAGCCACCGCACCCAGCCAAAATGCAACTTTTTATGAAGATGTTTTTATTAACCTTTTACTTAAACTTAAGGAAAAAATCAATTCTCCATATCAAAGAATAAATATATACAGCAGCTCCTCAAATAACACCATTTCTTTCAATGTCATTTCTTTATAACGTCAATGAAAAAAAAATCAATTCCTGGCTGGGGCTACTGTCTGTGTGAAGTTTCCATGCTCTCCCCATGTGTGCATGGGTTTTCTGTGCATTCTCTGATTTCCTCCCACATCCCAAAGATGTACATTTTAGGTGAACTGGCATGTCTCCATGGTCCTAGCCTGAGTGAGTGTGGGTGTGTGAGTGTGCCATGCAATGAAATGGCGTCCTATCCAGAGTTGGTGCCCACCTTGCACCCTGAGCTGCTAGCATAAACTCTGGACACTCTCAACCCTAAACTGAAATAAGTAGGTAAATAATTATAAATAATTATCTTACTTGTTTTTATTAATCTTTCTTAAATGTATATACAGCTCACATTTATTTCAGTGTTTCATATTGTAAGTGTTTTGGTCTTTATTTGTAAGTTTGGTGATGTTTTTGTGACCAGAAATATGCCATAGGAACTTAACCCTTGTTTATAACAAATTAGCCTCTGTTAAAATTGGTTTCATTATATGTCATTCACTTATGACATATGATGGGGATACATTCTAAGAAATGCATCATGTGTCAACATCATAGAGTATGCTAGATGTGTATAGCCTACTACACACCTAGGTTATATGAAATAGCCTATTGCTCCTAGGCTACAAACTTGTACAACATGTTACTGTACTCAATATTGTAGGGAGTTGTAACACAGTAGTAAGTATTTGTGTACCTAAACATATCCAAACATAAAAAAGATATAGTAAAATATATTATAATCTTATGGAACCACATTGCATATGTGGCCCACTGTTGACTGAATGTCCTTATGTGGCCTATGACTATATATAAAATATGTATAATTCATATTATATATGAGTATGAATATATATATGTTATACAATTTGGGGTATCTTAAAGGTTGGGGAGTTGGTGCTAAAGGAGCTATGGAGGTCTCAATCCCCTATCTCTTAGAACTGCTCTTGGAGTACATGACTACATGGCAACAGTCTGCCAGAGCTGCTCCTTCTGAAGAGGTGTGGGCTCTCCATTTTCCCACAGCTCTCACCACTCACAGACTTATGCACATGCATTTATACAGCCCACATTACTCACTTACAATGCCCTCTGACCCTTCAGGGGCACAGTTTGTAATTCCTGTTGTACACTAAAGTACTGAGTTTGAAAGCACAATTCAGATATTAATTGAGATTATTATTGGAAGGAGAGTGAGATAAGGACAGGAAAGTAACAGAAAAAGATTCTTGATCAAAGGTGACTTCTTCTGTGCTCCCATAGTGCCTATGAATACCTTTATCAGTCTTATTAGATGTCTATCTCCCCTGCCAAACCATATACCCTCAACGGAAGTTCCCAGTTACCCAGCCACAAGCTGGGTACTAGCACCCAAGAATATTATATTGAGCTGTAACTTTGATGTTCAATATACTTGAAGTAGGCATTACCACATCTTACTTTGAACACTGTCCCACATCCAGCTAATAGCTAAAGTCTGATTTAAGACAAAGTTTAAAAGTAACGAAAGGTGATAACAAAGCTAAACAGGCAGCTTTTGGATCCCACCAAAGGGATTTACTATTTCAGACTTAGAACAAGCAGCTCTTCTCTCAGGAATACCTAAGGAGGCTCCCCAAGAGTCCTGCCTTACCATGGGGAATGCAACATTGGCTAGAACTATACAGCTCAATAGTTCTACAAAGAGCCAAGCTACCAGCTGTCAGTAAGTATATTTAGTTCCATGCGCCCAGAAAAATGATCTCCCAGGAGGTGGCACATGGCATAAACCCATCCCAAGTGTCAAGCAGTAGTGAAGTAGTGAGAGTGGGAGCAGAGAAGAGGGGAGACATCTCTCTATAATTTCTACAAAATAGGCCCAGCCAGCTTGATCCACCAGAGAAGAGAATTCACTGACATAAAGCCAGAAGAAGAGCAGCACACCTTTGGGTACAGCAATCTGGATGGCTTTCCTGGGTTCTTCCTTAGAATCAATAACACTTCCCTCCCCTTTCCAACCTTGTTCCCTACTACTTACCTTCCATATTTCCCAAACCAAATTGTCCCACCTCCATTCCCACTTTCTCTGCTGCTCTCCAACCCCCATCCAGCCCACAATATTTAGAACCCTACATTAGTCCATTATTACATTGCTATAAAGAA
This sequence comes from Homo sapiens, assembly GCF_000001405.40. Taxonomy (NCBI): domain Eukaryota; kingdom Metazoa; phylum Chordata; class Mammalia; order Primates; family Hominidae; genus Homo; species Homo sapiens. The sequence continues at coordinate 4,006,721 of NC_000011.10, read as the reverse complement.
ATACCTGTGGCTGGGCACAGTGGCTCACACCTGTAATCCCAGCACTTTGGGAACCAGAGGTGGGCAGATCACTTGAGGTCAGGAATTCAAGACCAGCCTGGCCAACATGGTCAAATCCCGTCTCTACTAAAAATATAAAAAATAGCTGCCATCATGGCTTGTGCCTGTAATCCCAGCTACCTGGGAGGGTGAGGAAGGAGAATCGCTTGAACCCAGGAAACAGAAGTTGCAGGGAGCCGAGATTGTGCCACTGCACTCCAGCCTGGGCAACAGCATGAGACTCCGCCAAAGAAAATTTTAAAAAGAAAGAAAAAAAGAAATACCTGAGACTGGGTAATTTATAAGAAAAGAGGTTTAATTGGCTCACCATTCCGCAGGCTGTACAGGAAGCATAGCAGCTTCTGCTTCTGGGGAGGCCTTGGGAAACTTACAATCAAGGCAGAAGGTGAAAGGGAAACAGACACACCATACACAGCCAGAGCAGGAGGAAGAAAGAGCAAAGGGGGAGGTGCTACCACACTTCTAAATGACCAGATCTCATGAGAACTCACTCACTATTCAATACTGAGAGGGGATGGTGTTAAACAATTCATGAGAACATCACCCCGATAATCCAATCACTCCTAACAGCCCCACCTCCAGCACTGGGGATTACAATTCAACACGAGATTTGGTGGGGACACAGAACCAAGCCATATCAAACCCATAAGTCACATGTTCCAGATCTGAAAAGTTTACCAACTCTTATTTACCTCTTGAACATCTAGCAAGGAAGCATACCATATTTCAGGTACAATAGCTCTAAATGTCATTTACAGAGTTCTAGGACATGTACGTTTCATGAGTGAAATATCTGTTTCCACTGAGATCAGAAGCTGTTGCTCAAGGCAGGGATACAGCAGTCATTTCTCACTTATCTTTGTACGTCTAGTCTCTTTTCTGTCAGTCTATCTACCATATTAGACACTAGAATAATCTTTTTTATTATTATTATTATACTTTAAGTTTTAGGGTACATGTGCACAATGTGCCGGTTAGTTATATATGTATACATGTGCCATGCTGGTGTGCTGCACCCATTAACTCGTCATTTAGCATTAGGTATATCTCCTAAAGCTATCGCTCCCCCCTCCCCCCACCCCACAACAGTCCCCAGAGTGTGATGTTCCCCTTCCTGTGTCATGTGTTCTCATTGTTCAATTCCCACCTATGAGTGAGAACATGCGGTGTTTGGTTTTTTGTCCTTGCGATAGTTTACTGAGAATGATGATTTCCAATTTCATCCATGTCCCTACAAAGGAGATGAACTCATCTTTTATGGCTGCATAGTATGCCATGGTGTATATGTGCCACATTTTCTTAATCCAGTCTATCATTGTTGGACATTTGGGTTGGTTCCAAGTCTTTGCTATTGTGAATACTGCCACAATAAACATACGCGTGCATGTGTCTTTATAGCAGCATGATTTATAGTCCTTTGGGTGTATACCTAGTAATGGGATGGCTGGGTCAAATGGTATTTCTAGTTCTAGATCCCTGAGGAGTCGCCACACTGACTTCCACAATGGTTGAACTAGTTTACAGTCCCACCAACAGTGTAAAAGTGTTCCTATTATTCCACATCCTCTCCAGCACCTGTTGTTTCCTGACTTTTTAATGATTGCCATTCTAACTGGTGTGAGATGCTATCTCATTGTGGCTTTGATTTGCATTTCTCTGATGACCAGTGATGATGAGCATTTTCTCATGTGTTTTTTGGCTGCATAAATGTCTTCTTTTGAGAAGTGTCTGTTCATATCCTTTGCCCACTTTTTGATGGGGCTGTTTTTTTCTTGTAAGTTTGTTTAAGTTCATTGTAGATTCTGGATATTAGCCCTTTGTCAGATGAGTAGGTTGCGAAAATTTTCTCCCATTTTGTCAGTTGCCTGTTCACTCTGATGGTAGTTTCTTTTGCTGTGCAGAAGCTCTTTAGTTTAATTAGATCCCATTTGTCAATTTTGGCTTTTGTTGCCATTGCTTTTGGTGTTTTAGACATGAAGTCCTTGCCCATGCCTATGTCCTGAATGGTAATGCCTAGGTTTTCTTCTAGGGTTTTTATGGTTTTAGGTCTAACGTTTAAGTCTTTAATCCATCTTGAATTAATTTTTGTATAAGGTATAAGGAAGGGATCCAGTTTCAGCTTTCTACATATGGCTAGCCAGTTTTCCCAGCACCATTTATTAAATAGGGAATCCTTTCCCCATTGCTTGTTTTTCTCAGGTTTGTCAAAGATCAGATAGTTGTAGATATGCGGCGTTATTTCTGAGGGCTCTGTTCTGTTCCATTGATCTACATCTCTGTTTTGGTACCAGTACCATGCTGTTTTGGTTACTGTAGCCTTGTAGTATAGTTTGAAGTCAGGTAGCGTGATGCCTCCAGCTTTGTTCTTTTGGCTTAGGATTGACTTGGCGATGTGGGCTCTTTTTTGGTTCCATATGAACTTTAGTTTTTTCCAATTCTGTGAAGAAAGTCATTGGTAGTTTGATGGGGATGGCATTGAATCTATAAATTACCTTGGGCAGCATGGCCATTTTCATGATATTGATTCTTCCTACCCATGAGCATGGAATGTTCTTCCATTTGTTTGTATCCTCTTTTATTTCATTGAGCAGTGGTTTGTAGTTCTCCTTGAAGAGGTCATTCACGTCCCTTCTAAGTTGGATTCCTAAGTATTTTATTCTCTTTGAAGCTATTGCAAATGGGAGTTCACTCATGATTTGGCTCTCTGTTTGTCTGTTATTGGTGTATAAGAATGCTTGTGATTTTTGTACATTGATTTTTTTTATCCTGAGACTTTGCTGAAGTTGCTTATCAGCTTAAGGAGATTTTGGGCTGAGACAATGGGGTTTTCTAGATATACAATCATGTCATCTGCAAACAGGGACAATTTGGCTTCCTCTTTTCCTAATCGAATACCCTTTATTTCTTTCTTCTGCCTAGTTGCCCTGGCCAGAACTTCCAACACTATGTTGAATAGGAGTGGTGAGAGAGGGCATCCCGTCTTGTGCCAGTTTTCAAAGGGAATGCTTCCAGTTTTTGCCCATTCAGTATGATATTGGCTGTGGGTCTGTCATAGATAGCTCTTATTATTTTGAGATACGTCCCATCAATACCTAATTTATTGAGAGTTTTTAGCATGAAGAGTTGTTGAATTTTGTCAAAGGCCTTTTCTGCATCTATTGAGATAATCATGTGGTTTTTGTCTTTGGTTCTGTTTATATGCTGGATTACATTTATTGATTTGTGTATATTGAACCAGCCTTGCATCCCAGGGATGAAGCCCACTTGATCATGGTGGATAAGCTTTTTGATGTGCTGCTGGATTCAGTTTGCCAGTATTTTACTGAGGATTTTTGCATCAATGTTCATCAAGGATATTGGTCTAAAATTCTCTTTTTTGGTTGTGTCTCTGCCCGGCTTTGGTATCAGGATGATGCTGGCCTCATAAAATGAGTTAGGGAGGATTCCCTCTTTTTCTATTGATTGGAATAGTTTCAGAAGGAATGGTACCAGTTCCTCCTTGTACCTCTGGTAGAATTTGGCTGTGAATCCATCTGGTCCTGGACTCTTTTTGGTTGGTAAGCTATTGATTATTGCCACAATTTCAGATCCTGTTATTGGTCTATTCAGAGATTCAACTTCTTCCTGGTTTAGTCTTGGGAGAGTGTATGTGTCCAGGAATTTATCCATTTCTTCTAGATTTTCTAGTATATTTGCATAGAGGTGTTTGTAGTATTCTCTGATGGTAGTTTGTATTTCTGTGGGATAGGTGGTGATATCCCCTTTATCATTTTTTATTGCGTCTATTTGATTCTTCTCTCTTTTTTTCTTTATTAGTCTTGCTAGCGGTCTATCAATTTTGTTGATCCTTTCAAAAAACCGGCTCCTGGATTCATTAATTTTTTGAAGGGTTTTTTGTGTCTCTATTTCCTTCAGTTCTGCTCTGATTTTAGTTATTTCTTGCCTTCTGCTAGCTTTTGAATGTGTTTGCTCTTGCTTTTCTAGCTCTTTTAATTGTGATGTTAGGGTGTCAATTTTGGATCTTTCCTGCTTTCTCTTGTGGGCATTTAGTGCTATAAATTTCCCTCTACACACTGCTTTGAATGTGTCCCAGAGATTCTGGTATGTTGTGTCTTTGTTCTCGTTGGTTTCAAAGAACATCTTTATTTCTGCCTTCATTTCGTTATGTACCCAGTAGTCATTCAGGGGCAGGTTGTTCAGTTTCCATGTAATTGAGCAGTTCTGAGTGAGTTTCTTAATCCTGAGTTCTAGTTTGATTGCACTGTGGTCTGAGAGACAGTTTGTTATAATGTCTGATCTTTTACATTTGCTGAGGAGTGCTTTACTTCCAACTATGTGGTCAATTTTGGAATAGGCATGGTGTGGTGCTGAAAAAAATGTATATTCTGTTGATTTGGGGTGGAGAGTTCTGTAGATGTCTATTAGGTCCGCTTGGTGCAGAGCTGAGTTCAATTCCTGGGTATCCTTGTTAACTTTCTGTCTCGTTGATCTGTCTAATGTTGACAGTGGGGTGTTAAAGTCTCCCATTATTATTGTGTGGGAGTCTAAGTCTCTTTGTAGGTCACTCAGGACTTGCTTTATGAATCTGGGTGCTCCTGTATTGGGTGCATATATATTTAGGATAGTTAGCTCTTCTTGTTGAATTGATCCCTTTACCATCATGTAATGGCCTTCTTTGTCTCTTTTGATCTTTGTTGGTTTAAAGTCTGTTTTATCAGAGACTAGGATTGCAACCCCTGCCTTTTTTTGTTTTCCATTTGCTTGGTAGATCTTCCTCCATCCTTTTATTTTGAGCCTATGTGTGTCTCTGCACGTGAGATGGGTTTCCTGAATACAGCACACGGATGGGTCTTGACTCTTTATCCAATTTGCCAGTCTGTGTCTTTTAATTGGAGCATTTAGTCCATTTACATTTAAAGTTAATATTGTTATGTGTGAATTTGATCCTGTCATTATGATGTTAGCTGGTGATTTTGCTCATTAGTTGATGCAGTTTCTTCCTAATCTCAATGGTCTTTACATTTTGGTATGATTTTGCAGTGGCTGGTACCGGTTGTGCCTTTCCATGTTTAGTGCTTCCTTCAGGAGCTCTTTTAGGGCAGACCTGGTGGTGACAAAATCTCTCAGCATTTGCTTGTCTGTAAAGTATTTTATTTCTCCTGCACTTGTCAAGCTTAGTTTGGCTGGATATGAAATTCTGGGTTGAAAATTCTTTTCTTTAAGAATGTTGAATATTGGTCCCCACTCTCTTCTGGCTTGTAGAGTTTCTGCCGAGAGATCAGCTGTTAGTCTGATGGGCTTCCCTTTGAAGGTAACCCGACCTTTCTCTCTGGCTGCCCTGAACATTTTTTCCTTCATTTCAACTTTGGTGAATCTGACAATTATGTGTCTTGGAGTTGCTCTTCTCGAGGAGTATCTTTGTGGCGTTCTCTGTATTTCCTGAATCTGAATGTTGGCCTGCCTTGCTAGATTGGGGAAGTTCTCCTGGATAATATCCTGCAGAGTGTTTTCCAACTTGGTTCCATTCTCCCCATCACTTTCAGGTACACCAATCAGACGCAGATTTGGTCTTTTCATATAGTCCCACATTTCTTGGAGGCTTTGTTCGTTTCTTTTTATTCTTTTTTCTCTAAACTTCCCTTCTCGCTTCATTTCATTCATTTCATCTTCCGTCACTGATACTCTTTCTTCCAGTTGATCGCATTGGGTCCTGAGGCTTCTGCATTCTTCACGTAGTTCTCGAGCCTTGGCTTTCAGCTCCATCAGCTCCTTTAAGCACTTCTCTGTATTGGTTATTCTAGTTATACATTCGTCTAAATTTTTTTCAAAGTTTTCAACTTCTTTGCCTTTGGTTTGAATTTCCTCCTGTAGCTTGGAGTAGTTTGATTGTCTGAAGCCTTCTTCTCTCAACTCATCAAAGTCATTCTCCGTCCAGCTTTGTTCCGTTGCTGGTGAGGAACTGCGTTCCTTTGGAGGAGGAGAGGCGCTCTGCTTTTTAGAGTTTCCAGTTTTTCTGCTCTGTTTTTTCCCTATCTTTGTGGTTTTATCTACTTTTGGTCTTTGATGATGGTGATGTACAGATGGGTTTTTGGTGTGGATGTCCTTTCTGTTTGTTAGTTTTCCTCCTAACAGACAGGACCCTCAGCTGCAGGTCTGTTGGAGTTTGCTAGAGGTCCACTCCAGACCCTGTTTGCCTGGGTATCAGCAGCGGTGTCTGCAGAACCACGGATTTTCATGATCCGCGAATGCTGCTGTCTGATCGTTCCTCTGGAAGTTTTGTCTCAGAGGAGTACCTGGCCATGTGAGTTGTCAGTCTGCCCCTACTGGGGGGTGCCTCCCAGTTAGGCTGCTCGGGGGTCGGGGTCAGGGACCCACTTGAGGAGGCAGTCTGCCCATTCTCAGATCTGCAGCTGCATGCTGGGAGAACCACTGCTCTCTTCAAAGCTGTCAGACAGGCACATTTAAGTCTGCAGAGGTTACTGCTGTCTTTTTGTTTGTCTGTGCCCTGCCCCCAGAGGTGGAGCCTACAGAGGCAGGCAGGCCTCCTTGAGCCGTGGTGGGCTCCACCCAGTTCAAGCTTCCCGGCTGCTTTGTTTACCTAAGCGAGCCTGGGCAATGGCGGGCGCCCCTCCCCCAGCCTCGCTGCCGCCTTGCAGTTTGATCTCAGACTGCTGTGCTAGCAATCAGCAAGACTCCATGGGCGTAGGACCCTCCGAGCCAGGTGCAGGATATAATCTCCTGGTGCGCCATTTCCTAAGCCCGTCGGAAAAGTGCAGTATTCGGGTGGGAGTGGCCCGATTTTCCAGGTGCCGTCTGTCACCCCTTTCCTTGACCAGGAAAGGGAACTAACTCCCTGATCCCTTGCACTTCCCGAGTGAGGCAATGCCTTGCCCTGCTTTGGCTGGCACACGGTGTGCTGCACCCACTGTCCTGTGCCCACTGTCTGGCACTCCCTAGTGAGATGAACCCGGTACCTCAAATGGAAATGCAGAAATCACCCGTCTACTGCGTCGCTCACGCTGGGAGCTGTAGACCAGAGCTCTTCCTATTCGGCCATCTTGGCTCCTCCCCCCACCACAATCACTCTAGAATGATCTTAAAGTAAATATCTATTCCAACTCCCTTACTTAACATCTCATGGCTCCCCATTACCTACAAGATAAAGCCCTAGCTTCTTGGCCTGGCATTCAAGGTCTTTTACAATATGACACATTAACTTCCTAAGTACCTTCCTGGCCACTCTCCCTCCCTACCAGACACCTTACACA